>NC_000016.10:49714015-50017045 GCF_000001405.40 Homo sapiens
GAAGGAGGAGAGAGTGAACCCACCAGGCACAGTTGCTTCTGAAGCCCAGCTCTGGGTCTCTTGCTTAACGCCCCAGCAGTGCTTCTCAAATCCCATCCCCAGGAGCCGGAGCATCTTCCTGTGCCCTGCAGACGGCTCATTCTCCCAGGAGATCATGGGCTCCGAAGGGCGGGAGCCAATTGTATTTATTCATCACCTCACACATGATGGTATGACGGTATGACGAAGCACCCGGTGCTTACCTCCTTATTATCTGTTTCCCCAACCAGGGCAGGGATCTGGTCTACTCAGGGTGCTGCTATATTTCAACACGCAGCCAGGGCCTAGTACATACTAGGAGCTAAATTAAAAACTGATGGGGCCAGGTGCGGTGGCTCACACCTGTAATCCCAGCACTTTGGGAGGCCAAGGTGAGCAGATCACCTGAGGTCACGAGTTCAAGACCAGCCTGGCCAACATGGCAAAACCCCATCTCTACTAAAAATACAAAAAATTAGCCAGGTGTCTGTAATCCCAGCTACTTGGGAGGCTGAAGCAGGAAAATTGCTTGAGCCCGGGAGGTGGAGGTTGCAGTGAGCCAAGATCTCGCCACTGCACTCCAGCCTGGGAGAAAAAAAAAAAAAACTGATGAGGCCGGGTGCAATGGCTCACACCTGTAATCCCAACACTTTGGGAGGCTGAGATGGGTGGATTGCTTGAGTTCCAGATCAGCCTAAGCAACATAGTGAAACCCCATCTCTACAAAAAAAAAATTAATTTAAAAATAAAAATGGGTGGTCTGAAATATGAACTGCCCCCTCCACTGAAGACCGAAATGCACCCTGGGGTTTGTCCCGCGGCCCCTGCTCTCCAGCCCCCAGGAAGCCATGGGAAGAGCCATTTCTGGAATGGGAAGGGAGGTGTGAGTTGGGTGTGGCTTGGTGGAATTTGAGGAGGGGAAGGCTTCTTTCCAGTCCCGAGGAGACGGCCCAGCTGCAAGCCCCCAAGAATTCCTGGTGTTCGTGCCATCCAAGGGAACAACTTAGCACCACCCAGGCCACTTCCAACAAATCACTGAGTAAGTATTCCCTGAGCATTTACTATGCACCAGGTCTGCCACAAGGCCAGAGACAGGAACAGGCATGAGGGAGACAGCACAGGACGGGACTCCTAAGAGGGTCACCTTCGAGTGGCAGAGACAATAATTCAAAAACATCAAGCAATCACTGCCATAAAGGAAATAAATGGTGTGATGTGTTTGGCGTTGAAGGGAGCCGCTGCTGCAGGAGACGGGGGAGGGTGTCAGCAAGGAGGGCCGCGCTGAGGAGGTGACCTTGGAGACACAGAAGGAAGTGAGAGAGCTATCCACGTGAAAAGCTGAAAGAACACCCGGGGAAGGCAGGTGGTGCAAAGGCCCTGCAGTGGAATGAGCACGGCCTGTTGACGGCTCAAGAGGAGGAACTGAGGCCGGGCACGGCAGCTGGCACAAGTATCCCAGTGCTTTGGGAGGCCAAGGCAGGAGGAGTACTTGAGGCCAGGAGTCTGAGACTAGCCTGGGTAACTTACCAAGACCACATTTTTTCAAAATTAATATAAAATACTTAGCTGGGCATGGTGGTGTGCACCCATAGTCCTAGCTACTGGGGAGGCTGAGGTGGGAAGATGGCTTGAGCCCAGGAGTTCAAGGCTCCAGTGAGCAACAATCGTGCCAGTGCCCTCCAGCCTGGGTGACAGAGTGAGACCCTGTCTCCCAACAACAAAAGCCAGACACAGTGGCTCACACCTGTAATCCCAATACTTTGAGTAGCTGAGGCAGGAGGAATTTTTGAGGCCAGGAGTTCAAGACCAACCTGGGCAGCATAGAGAGACCCCATGTATGCAAAAAATCAAAAAAGTAGCTGGGCACAGTGGGGCATGGTGGTGCAAGCCTATAGTCCCAGCTACTCGGGAGGCTGAGGTGGAAGGATTGCTTGAGCCCAGGAGGTCGATGCTGCAGTGAGCTGTGATAATCAAGCAGGAGGAGGAGAAGCCGCAAGAGGCACAGGGCCAGGCAGGGGAGTGGATTCATCCCCAGGGCAGTGGGGGAGGAGCAGAGTCAGATGCAAGCTGTCCTGAGGACAGCGGAGGGCAGTTGAGGAGAAAAGGCTGGGTACAGGCTGGGTGCCCACAGGCAGATGCCAGCCATTGCCCCTCCCAAGTCTCCCTGCTGCCTGCCCCTCAGCCACCTTCCTTCCACCTACCTCCCACAACACACCCCACCAACCCTCAGAGGGGTCAGACCCGCTCCAGCAGATCTGACCTCATCACCCCCATCATGAGGCAGCACCAACCTGCTCAGCCAAGCCCTTGGAGAGGCTGAGACACTCCATATCCAAGGGCGGGGACAGAGGTGCAGGTGTGCTCCCCCAAGCTGGCTGCCATTCCCCCACCTGCAGAGCCACCTCGCCTGCCTCAGTCTTCCCACATGCACCCTCATACCCATGACGTCATTTCCAAAGGCAGCCAAATCCTAGCCAGTCAACTCCAAAATAAAACTGTTTAACACAAAATGAAGCATTTTATAATCCCCTGTACATTTTTTCTCTGAGTTGGCACAGAGTGTTTAAAAACACTGCCAAAACACTCAACCAATAGTAGCGCTTTATTTTAGACCAGTGCCAGAGTTAAATTTCCTTGCTCTTTTCCTGTTCCGAATCCCCCGCCTCTCCCTGCTCCCCGGCTTTTGCTGCGACACTAGAAGCAGTTCCTCCTGATCGCCCCTCTGAGCCACTAGGCCAGTGGGCTGGGGTGCTGGGGAGGCTGTGACCAGAGGAAAGTGGAATCCGCATTACGGGATGATCTGCTGGGAGCACTCCTTGACCTGCAAGCCCCAGTCAGCGGGAGATAAATTTGGTTGGTTTCTCATTTTGTTTGGGGATGTTCTTTATTTTTCTGTATTAGGGTGTCATGTTAGGGATGTCAATCACAGGATCTCAAGGTTTGAAGGAACCTGATAAATCCACATGCCCATCTCTCAGCCCCAAGCCTGCATCCCACTCTCCTCCCCCGCCACCCTCTGATGTGTTCATCTCCAGGCTTGCAAAGACTCTCACCAACCAAAACATCACTCCTTACACATAGGCCAGGCAGGTGTCCCTGGGGACTTCTGGAATTGGTCCTGGTCTGGCCCTTGGAGTATCAACATTAATGGAGAAAGGGGTGGACAGGTCTCATCCCCACTCCCCCACTGCCCTGGCACACAGAGGCATCTTACCCAGAGGCAATAATAAAAGCATCAGCCACTCAAGCCATACCTTCACCATCATAGGAACAGGCCCCCATGGAACTGGTAGGGCTGGCTGGACTTCCAGCCAAGCTCTTGCCTACCCCTCAGTTCAGGAGGTCAGGTCACCTGCTGTCTAGGTTAAATGGCCTCAGCTCCTTCTCTCTTCAGGCTGCTTCTGCGGCCAGCATCCATCCCCACTTCTTCTGCTAGCAGCACCCTGATTTCCTCTGGGGAAACTTTTCAGGTCTGCTATTCAGAGCACTTGACTTGACCTGAGCCAAAAGCCATCATGGCATTCCTCAGAGCCAGGAGATGCAGGAAGACTGGGTCCTTCGCCCTTCACTGGAGTCCCTGGATTCAGCTGCACCTGAAGATAGTCCTACACCTAGGTTTCTATTTACATGAGCCAATACATTGCACTGTTTGATTTCAGCTGGTTAGGATTTGGTTGTCTGACACTGGTCGGCAGGGAATCCCAACCTTCCAACTTGCAAGCATGACCCTGAGATCTCTCCTTCTCTGTCCTCCCTGAACCACTCCCTCCAGCAACACACAGAACAGACACTCTTTCTGCTTCTGCTGACATAGCGTCAGAGCACAGTAAATAACCCTTTGGCAGTGAACCGGCTCCTGTTCTTCATTTCCACACCACTCATGCACACATTGGCCAGTACTGAACTACTGGACTACCCCACAGAGGGAGGGGACCAACCAACTCATAGGAGTACATTCAAGAATCCCCTGGCCAAAGTTATCGAGGGGCCCAGTAAGCTACACAAGGGCAGGAACTGTTGTCTGTTTTGCTCACCCAGTGCTCACCCAGTGTTTTGCTCACCCAGTTCCCAGCACACAGTAGATGCTTTTAAAAAAAGCCTCTGTGGCTGGGTGTGGTGGCTCACACCTGTAATCTCAGTACTTTGGGAGGCCAAGGTGGGAGGATCACCTGAGTCATGAGTTCAAGACCAGCCTGGCCAACATGGTAAAACCCCTTCCTACTAAAAATACAAAAATTAGCTGGGTGTGGTAATCCCAGCTACTCAGGAGGCTGAGGCAGGAGAATTGCTTGAACCAAGGAGGTGGAGGCTGCAGTGAGCCGAGATTATGCCACTGCACTCCAGTCTGGGTGACAGAGTGATACTCTGTCTCAAAAATAAAAGATCTGTGAATGAACGCACACGTGCCAGGGGATGCTGTGGTTCTAAGGAACACACTTCTCTTTCATCCGTTAAGTTTGCTTGTTCCTTTGAGTGCCTGGAATTGTGGAGTAAGGAATGGAAGAAGAGAGCATCAACACTTTTCAGCTCTGTCTTAAGTCTGTTCAGGCTCATATAACAACAATACCAGAAACTGGATGGCTTCTAAACCACAAATGTTTATTGCTCACAGTTCTGGAGGCCGGGAAGTCCAAGATCAAGGTGCTGGGAGATTCTGTGTCTGGTGAGGGCGCATTTCTCATAGACAACACAGTCTTGCTGCGTCCTCACATGGTGGAAGGAGCTGGGCAGTCCTCTGGGTCCCCTTTTGTAAGAGCACTCATCCCATTCTTCCAGAGCCTTCATGACCTAATCACCTCCTACAGGCCCACTGCTTAATACTACCACATTGGGGATTAGATTTCAACAAACGAATTTGGGGGAAAAGCAAACATTCAGACCATAGCCAGTTATAATAAAGGACTCTTCTAGAACAACTCCCCTCTATTTGCCTCTTTTACCCCAAAATCAGGTCAGGATCCCAGCTGGAGGCTATTCCTATCCTCACCCACAGGCATTTCTCAAAGCTTTTGCAAACCTCAAATTGGTAGTAACCGAGATTGATTACTCAGGGAACACAATTTTCAGATCTTTATGCCCAACAGAATCCAGAATTAGCACAAGCACCTCCAGGAGAAAGGCAGCAGGGCCTCTCTGGGGGGCTCTGGCCTTTGCTTTTCCCGCCCAGGGGTGAGACAGAGGATAAGGAGGGCAGGAAGTGCCGGCCTAATGAAAAAGCAGACCTGACGGGAAAGGAAGAGCAGCTCCACGTGACGGGCCCTGAGCTGGCTCAGTGACACTGAGGTTTTAGAGCTATACACTAATACACTGGGGGAAAAAACTTATTATTGAAATATCTACAGAATAAAGAAAAGACCTTGTTAGTGCAATTTTAGAATACGTAGCTGCATCCCTCTTTCTCCCTCTGGCTGATGGCAAATGATGTGGTTTTTTGGTAACACTTGGGTGATATAGTCTGGCTCTGTGTCCCCACCCAAATCTCATGTGGAATTGTAATTCCCAGTGTTGGGGAAGGGGCCTGGTGAGAGGTGATTAGATCATGGGGGCAGATTTCCCCCTTGCTGTGCTGGTGATGAGTGAGTCTCACAAGATGTGGTTGTTTAAAAGTGTGTGGCACCTCCCCCTCACCCTATCTCTCCTGATTCACCATGCTATGATGTCCTTGCTACCCCTTCACCTTCCGCCATGATCGTAAGTTTCCTGAGGCCTCCCAGCCATGCTGCCTGTACAGCCTGAGGAAATGCAAGTCAATTAAAAACCTCTTTTCTTCATCAATTACCCAGTCTCAGGTAGTTCTTTATAGCAGTGTGAAAATGAACTAATATACTGGGTTTCTCAGGAACGCACGAGAGAGGTTCAGCATAGCTGGCTGATTTCAGAGTTGCCTCTCAACACCATCTGGGCACCTGAGCCACTCAGGCTCAAGGCTCCGACTAACTTGGTGGCTGCCCAGCCTCTCTCCAGCCTGGCCTGAGACCTGAACATAATATTGTAGGGGCCAAGCCGCTGGTGGATGCCACGAGGGCTTGACACACCATTACCCCACCTTCCACCTCCCAGAGCACTGCCCCCAAAGGACCAAGCAGCAGAGGTTCAGGGGGACCATGGCTTTATGGAACACCCAAGGTGGGGGCACAACTTCTATGAAGTTTGTTAGAATTCAAGGGTCAAAGTCACTCTTCCACAAGATGCAAACAAAGAAAAGGTCCAGTGCAAACAGTGTGAGGTCCGTGGGTCTGGAGACCTCAAAGACAGTGAGCTCGATGTGGCATTCCCAGAAGCACCCATGAGCCAGGCAGGAGCTGCATATACACGGGCACCTCCTGCCAGAAAACATGGGTGCCCTGCAGGCTGCACTAGTCCCCTGTCCACCCTGGGAGCTGCAATCCCACCCCCCACCAGCAGTTAGCAGATAACCTCAGAGAGTGCTGGCTAAGCTACCACCTCCCTGTGTGACCTGGGACAAGTACTACCTCACTAAGGAGCCTGGTCCAGTCAGTGCCCTGGCTGTGTTTGAGAGACTGGTTCTGCCATTGTTTCAACCACATTCAAACCAAAAAAGGTTTGAGGATATACACACCAAGGATTCTGCTTCCCTAAAATTCTAAGATTACCTGACTAGACACTGTCAAAAGCAAAAGTATTGGTTATCAATTGATAACTGATACCTGACAATCTGGCATTTCATTGCACTCTTTTACTACTTCCTGTTTGTCTGCATGTAATTCCTACCTCCTAAAGAAGATGTCTGTGGCTCCTGACCACCATTCAGGGGAGCCCCTCCCCAGCTCTCAGGCCCAGTGGTCTGCATGGAGCTGCCCTGATTCCCCGCACCCAACCCTGACCCTTGCTAACATGTATGTTGTCTCCCTGGCCGCATCATGGGCGGGGGTGAGTCTTGGTCCTGGCCATTCTACAGAGTCAACCTCAGGACTTCTACCCTGGCAATGGTAAGAGGCTGCTCATTCCATTGTCACTGCTGAGTCGAAAAGGTGGAGCCTGGAGGTGCTGGGGCACCTCTGCTGATGTACACACGGTGATGGGGTTCATGTCAACAGACATGGGGCAGTGTCTCTGGAGGCCCTGGAGGACCAAGCTTGAGGCCAGCCTTACATCTGCATTTCTCAGTTCCTGGAGCCAATGAATCCTCTATTTTCTGCTTGTCAATTTGAGCCAAGTCTCTATGCAGATAGCACATTAACTGAGGACCAACTATGTGCTGGCAGCCAAAAGGATCACAGCAACTTCATCCTCCAGCTAGACTATACATTTCCCTTAACGGGAATGAATGAACACCCATGCACAGGCATTCACGGCCCCGAATACACAGCAGGTATGGTATCACTGCTTGCTGACAGGTGCCCTCTGGAAACTCCCAAGATGAAATGGACAACAGCAGGCTGGACCCAGACCACACCGGGAACACATGTACAACCAGCCTAAAGGCCAGTTTGGTGTACATCCTGGGCCCAGGAGGACACCGGAAGCTTTGGCTGCTGCCAGGAAGGTAACAGAAACCGGGGACAGCCCACCTCGCTCCCCAAGAACCATCTCCAGAATCAACCCCCAGGCTCATCCCAGGGGCTTTGTACAGCAGCAACACCCATCGTGCCAGGCGCCACACTGGATCCCACTCTGGCGCACCCTTGGAAACCAAAGAATCCAAGAAGCTCAATTATTCAGAAAATCATGAAGGTGGTCAAGCAGGCTGGGTAGGAAAGAAGCAAAAACCTCCTCCACTTTGGAGAGTCCTCAAAACCTCCAGAAAGACACATAGACTGTAGACACATAGACACGGTCTATGCCTTTTTTCCCATGGAAAACACAAGAAATGCAGAATCTTCCCACCTTGACCCCTGCCTTCTATATTGTTAATTTGTCATCCAATTTTGGGGAGGTTTACAGGCCCAACAGTGTGATAACAGCATTCGCTCTATGTAATCAAGTCAAGGGAGGGATGCTCTGCAACCTGCGGACTTCGCAGGCGGTGAATAAAAATGTCAGCAACTAAGAAACAAGTCCCCACCACCACCACATTACCACCAGGAAGGAACCCAAGACACAGCTGTCTGAGCCAAGACTCAGAACCACCGTCTATGCAGCCTGCTGGTTCCCCAGCTTACTCCGGATGGTTCCCCATCAGAAGCCATCGGAGGGCAGGGGGCAGGCAATTTAGGGAAGGCTTCCACAAATGCCACCAGCCAAGCAGACCCAGGCTGGCCGGTGGTCCACCCTGCCCATCCACTTCCCTCCCAAGTGGAAGCCTGCTAGCAGGTCAGCATCTTCCTGAGAGCTATAGAGAATAACGTCTCTGTTCATCAAAGCCCCTCTTAAGGACACTAGAGAAGGAGGCTGTTTAAAGACCACCACAGCACTTCATCACACAAGTCAAAGCATCCTTTTGTGAAGTGAACACCTTCTCCACTGAGCTACCTTTTATAATAGCCTCCACATCCCTAGAGCCCAGAGGGTCCCTGCTAATAGCACACACTAAAGAAACACTTATTGTATGAACGAACCATCTCTTCCATCTCTAAACTTACCCTTCTGATTATACATTAATTGAGGACCTACTATGTCCAGAACTTCTGTTTTTTCTATCTCATATCCCAAAGCACTGTATCCATGGCATTTCCACTTTTCTTACTGCACACACCCCTTTGCCTTGCAGGAGGGCTGTAGCCTCCTTAGCCCCAAGAACAAACATTCCTTGAGCACCTACTATGTGTTCTAGCCACAGGCCAAAGCAATCCTGCGGAGAGGGAAGAGAATAAGACCCCAAGCCTGGACATCATGGAACACAACCTGACCAGTGAGATGGTGTTGGCAAACTTTTTGATCTGTGCCATTCTGGTATTTTTAAAATGGTATTTCCTTATGGTTTAAATTTGCAGTTCCCTTACTATAAACGGGGTTCTAATTTTTTTTTTTTTTTTTTTTGAGACTGAGTGTCACTCTGTCGCCCAGGCTGGAATGCAGTGGTGTGATCTCGGCTCACTGCAAGCTCCGCCTCCTGGGTTCATGCCATTCTCCTGCCTCAGCCTCCCGAGTAGCTGGGACTACAGGCACCCGCCACCACGCCCGGCTAATTTTTTGTATTTTCAGTAGAGACGGGGTTTCACTGTGTTAGCCAGGATGGTTTCAATCTCCTGACCTCGTGATCCGCCTGCCTCGGCCTCCCAATAAATATTTTTTAAATATTTAGGATCCCACTAGTATTTCTTTCTCTGGTTCCATTTCTGTCCATTTCTGTAGTTTGCACATGGGAGATATTCAAAACATCTAACCACCAGTGTGGCACCAATGGATCAGAGACGGTACAGACCTTGGGGAAGGCCAGGCATCTCAAGCAGGCTTGGCTGTGCCTCAACCTAGCCTTTGCCATGTTTTTTTGTGTTGATTTATTGGCTATTTTCTTAGCATTTGTAGGAGTTCCTTACACATTAAGGAAAACATCTTTTGCCTGTGATATGTGTCCCTGGCTTGATTTACTGTGGTTTTCACAATGTAGAATTTTTTTATTTTTATGTAGTTGAATGTTTTGACTTTGGTTTTATGGCTTCTGACACTGGGGTTATATTTAGAAAGGCCTTCCTCACTCTGATACTATTGAATTAAAATATTTAAAAGCTCTCTGTTTTCTTTTAGTATTTTAAAGTTTTCTTTTTATGTTTAGATTCCTGATCCACTTGGGATTGAGTTTGGTGTCAGGAGTGAGGGAAGGATCCAATTTCCTTTTTGGGGGATGGCCACCTTTTCATCCTAATCCCAGTTGCTGAGAGAGCCATCTGTCCTCCACTGTCGTGCAGGGACACCCTTCTCATACACTAGATTTCCAGTTGTATTTGGGTCCATTTCTGTTTCACACCACTTCGAATCCTTTCCGCTCCAGAGCAATCTGAGCTGGTTCCTGTCCCCACTCCCTGTTCCTTTTCCAGAAGATTCCTTCTGATGCCTGCATACCCACTATTTCTTATGAACTATAAATTCAGCACATCCATTTCTAAACAAATCTTACCATTGCTTTCATTAGCTAACATTAAGCCAATAGGTTCGTTTGGAGGAAATTGGCATATTTATGATACTGAATCTTTCCACAAGAATAAGAGTAAGGTCTCTTCTGTGTTCCCTGTCTTCCCCCCACCATAATTGATTTTGTTTGTCTGTCCTCTCCATGCCGTTTGAATGTTTCTTACTGGGTTTGCTCCCTGGTTTTTATACATTTTGTGGCTGACATAACGGGACCATTTCTTGCTCTGTGTTTCCTAACTGGAAGCTGTCTGCATGCAGGAAAACTCTTAAGATAGGGGGCGGATATCAATTGTGCTCAAGCCCCTAGCCTTTTGCGCCATGTGAAGTCAACTGACACCAAGGCCCCGAGTGCATTCCCTGTGGGCAGAAGGAGCCCACACCCAGCACCTGTGTATCAGGTAGCACAGTGTCTGGCACTGGCCCCAGCCCCACACTGCACGACCAAAACAGAGCCAGTTCGAGGAGCGCCGCAAGTCAGTAAGGCAGGGAGCCCCTCATGCTTTTGGAGCAAGAAAGGGGCCTGAGCCAGCACAAAAAGGCAAGCGCTGGCCAGCCGGCCGACAGCACACGGCTGGCAAAGGTGCCAGCTCCACACAGCACCAGCCCTGTAATTGGGGCCCACAGGTCACTCTGGCCACAGCTGAACAAACCAGGGTGTAATTAACTTTCCACCCGGCTTGTTGCACAGCAGCATTTCACCTTCGCCAGAAAAGGAGGGCCTACCTTTCACAGGGGCCAGGGAAACACTCTTTGGTCCCAGTCCTCAAGAAGGGATAGCGGAGAGGGGAGCCGCAAAATTAACCCACCAGGAACACATTTTTTGCTGTTGCTATTTCAACAAAGTCCCCCCTCTTGTTTTTTTGGAAGTTGAGCATTCAAAAAAGCCATCTGGAGTTTAGTTTGAAATTGCTCACAGTCCCCAATCTGTGTTCTCAAGCACAGGCAAGCTGTTCCGACCTCAGAGCTTGCCTTTACTGACACGATCTGTAACCTTGAGCAAGGTCCTCCAGCTCTCTGAGCCTCAGTCACCCAATTGCAAAATGAGGACGAATGGTAGAAAATAGTGCCTAGCTTTGGGAGGCCCAGGCAGGAGGATTGCCTGAGGCCAGGAGGTCATGATCAACCTAGGCAACATAGCAAGACCTCATCCATACAAGAAAAAATTAAAAATGAGCCAGGTATGGTGGGGCATGCCTGTGGTCCTAGCTCAGGAGGCTGAGGCGGGAGGATCGCTTGAGCACAGGAAGTCGAGGCTGCAGTGAGCTACAAATGGCACCACTGCACTCCAGGCTGGGCAACAGAACAAGACCCTGTCTCTTAAAAAACTAATTAATTAAAAAAAATGAAGACAGCGTCACCTTGGACACCAAAGGTGATTGTTATAAAGACTAGGTGAGATGATTCATTCATTCAACAAACATGTTGAATTCTACTCTAGCGCTGGGCTAGAACATAACGGGGAACAAAACAGGTATGGCTGTTGTCCTCATGCAGCTTAATAGTAGGGAGAGAGATGGGTGAGAAACACGTGAAAGACAATTACAGAAAGGGATGGGTGCTCTGGACTGTGTGGGCGTGGGGGCTGCAGAGGGCCAGCAGGGAGGGCTGCAGGGCGTGTGTTCCAGGCAGAGTCCCATAGTGCCTCGCGGGCAGTAGGCACTGAAAACACAAAGAATATCAGGACTACAGCCTTCACTGCAGTGTGGAGGAGGCAACACCTGCTCACACATTTGCCCCCAGCACCAGACTGCCAGCCCCTGGAGGGCAGCACGCACCCCATCTGCTTCAGAGCCACCTCTCTAGGGCCCGCCAGGAGCCTGGCCCAACTCAGAGATCAGGGAACGGAGCTGAAGGGAAGACACCAATGCTGAGCTCCAAACTGGTCCTGAAGGCGATTTCTATTCCAAGGCAAGTGCCTGGAGCCCGCAGTCTTACTACCTACAACAAAAAGCCATATATCAGGCCAGCAGCCCCTTTAGCAAAGAGGCCAAAGACCCCAAAAGCTGTCAAGTGCTCCAGCCCCGGGGACCTGGGCTGGCATGTTCCAGGACTGGCACAGCACAGGCCCCTGCTGACAGCCCACTGTGGACACTCTGAGGAACAGCACTAGGAAAGTCAGGTCTCAAGCATGACAGCGCAGACGGAGCACCCACACGCCCTCCAGCTGCCAGCCTCTTAATTCAGGCCAAAGCAGGGGTCAACATAAATTGCAGTATCTCTAAAAGGGAGTATTTGCACCAGGAAGTGAAAAATCCAGACTACAGGCCCACAGGTGACTGGCTTCAGTGAGCACATAAAAAACCACCATCACCCCATGGGCAAACCAAACCTCTCGCACCTGCTTCTATGGTACCCCAGGCAGTTCCTAGAGAAACTTTCTAAAGCAGTCCAAGTCCTCCTGGCTCCTAGAAGATGATGATAAACACCCCCTGCTGCAGTTTAAAGGACCCAAATTTGCTTGGCCAGCGCTTCACAAATTATGACGTTATTTGTTCCAACATGATTTAAATCAGTGAGACCTGAATTGACAGGGACTGCCCATCCTTGGCAATTCAGACAGCCACCAAATCCTTTGCCATTTCCTGACTTGGTGCCCACAAACAATGTCTCCATTAGGAACAGAGAAGCCCATCACACTTACCCAGTCAGCCCCTATCTACACTGTGGCAAAAAGCCTCATCTACAGACATCTTAGTCTAAATTTAATATTTTCAGAGTATGGACACAGTACCTGCAACCCAAGCTTCCTGCCCTTGAGCACTGCTATTTAAAAGACAGAGTTCCCCCTAGCAAAAAAAAAAAAAAAAAAAAAAAAAAATGGCGAAGACCAGGTAACCACATGGGAACCCCTTCATAACATGTTATGTGACAAACACAGAACGTGAAAACGTATGTGCTCACAACCCCAAGCATGCGAACGTGTGGCATCCTGTGGCCAGGGGCTGGAGAGGAACAAAGAAAAATCAAACAGACATCAGGGCGGGAGAATGAATGGAGAGGACTGGATTTTTGCTCTTTTCAGTTTGTGTCATAAAAATGCAATGTTTGATACCTCATGGGTTTAAGGTTGGTTTCTCCTCAGACACAAATGAGAGCGAGAGGGAGAGAGAGGAACAGGACTTGATGGAGTTGTCCGAGACCTTAAAGTCCACGCTTCAACAGCTCATGGGCCCGGCATGCCACTCCTGCTGAGGACAACAGAGAGGTGCCTTCTCGAGCTCCCAACTGGAAATGAAGGCTCCTTAGCACAGAGGCCGGGCTCCAGGTTGGGGACGGGGGGGTCTTCCATCGTGGCCATTCTGGCATGAAGCTCCCCTCCCACCCCTGAGGGGTAAGCATCCCCCCACCTCAGAAAACCCCCAAACCTCACCACAGCACTGTCCCAGATTCTGAGGGAGCAAAACGCTGCCCCCAATCTCCCCCTCAACACCACCCCAACTGCCATAGAAAGATACAGAAGCAGTTTTCAGGAAGAGCCACATTCACGGTCACCGCCCACAAATACACCCCCGACACCCCAACACACAGCACTCTCCCCAGAAGGCCAATGGCTTGCAAGGGCTGACCCTGCCAGGACACACCCGTTTGGGGAGGCACGTGCTGCCTCCACGTTCCAGCAGCAACAGTCCCTATGAAGGGGAGGGTTGTTCACACCCCAGGTCACGATTCCTGAGAAGCAGGCCCTCTGCTCCAGGCCAAGTGGGCAGACCCTCTGGTTCCTACAGAAACATCTGCAGGGCACCATGGTCTGCCCAGCCTGCGCCCAGCGCGGCCCTCTCGGACACGGTCTCTATTGGGCTTCTATCGAGTGACCAGTGGTGAGAGTCCAGCAGACCCATCAGCCTGGCCAGGGGGAGCCTGCGATTGCACATTTATATCAGTTCCAAACCTTTAAATCAGAGGCCAATTTTCAAACAACATCATCTGCTAAAGCCCCAGGTATAAAACAGACTTTTAAGGTGAATCGCTCCGACTGGACTGGACATCAGTGCCCCCTCAGTCTGACAGGCCCCAGTACTCACTTCCTACACCCCAAACACACCACACCATAGCCCCAGAGATACCTCTGGGAACACAGTTCGAAAACCACTGCACAATGGAAGGGTGTGGAGGCATTCCAGGTAGGGAACTGTTTTGAATAATACATACGCAATTCCCGGTGGTTTATCCCATCATTGAGTAATCCTAAGAACCGAAGACCTGGGGGAAAGTAACTCCTCACACATCTAGGAAACTATCCCAGGCTGGGTCATGCCTTTACCAGGCGGTAATGAATTTCTCAGGGATGCGCTTAGGCAAGGTTGTTTCCCTCATTCTTTCAAGGAATTTCTGACTCCCTTCCAATGCTCCAGGATTTGGGGGTATTCCTAGCTCCTGCGTCCCCACGGAGGTCATTAGCAGGGTCCTGTTAGGAAGCGGGCAGGAGTGTCGGTGGATACCACCAGCATCAATAAGGACAGCTGGGGACCCTGCAAACAGGGCTGCCATGGATTTCACCTGGAGTCAAAGGCTGATGAGAGAAGGGTTTGCCACTGGGAGGAGGATTCTTCCTGGGGACCAAAGCACAATTAGCTACCAGTTCTTATTTCTGGCTCAGACTCTCACATATAGCCCAGTTTCCCAGTTTCCTTTTTCCACCTAGAAGTGCCACCATTCTTTTATTTATTTATTTATTTTCCTTTTTTGAGATGGGGTCTCGCTCTGTCACCCAGGCCAGAGTGCAGTGGCATGATCTTGGCTCACCGCAACCTCCATCTCCCGGGTTCAAGCGATTCTTTTGCCTCAGCCTCCCAAGTAGCTGGGACTACAGGCATGTGCCATCACGCCTGGGTAATTTTTGTATTTTTAGTAGACATGGGGTTTTACCATATTGGCCAGGCTGGTCTTGGACTGCTGACATCGTGATCCGCCTGCCTCAGCCTCCCAAAATGCTGGGATTACAGGCATGAGCCATCGTGCCCAGCCCGAAATGCCACCATTCTTAAAAGTGAGACTGAAAGACAGGAGAATCTCCTTGATTTGAAGGGCTGGAGGAAGGGGCAGCCTCTAAGAGCTGCAGGGACTCAAGAAAGCACAGCTTAGCAGAAGGTGTGGGGCCCTGCTCTAACAACTACACAGAATGGCCTATTCTCTTGCATTTAGAAAATAAAGAGAATAACTTTTCATTAGATCAATTAGTTGATTATAAAGTAAGTGGCAATATTTTATTCTCTTATAGTTAAGATTCCATGTTAATTCTTGGCTAAATCAAGAAATATACCAACATCTATAATATTATTCCTCAAGTAGGATGAGGGTCAATAGCTCAGTGTCCAGAGGAGGTCCTAGCTTGGCCACCAAACAGATATGTGACCCCGGCCAAGCAATCACCTTTTCCTCCCTTTGCCCTAGTATTTCCCTTGGGGAAGTGAGGAGACTTAAAAAGCTAACCTCATAGGTCCCTTCTAATTCTGATTTAGAATTGAAAATTAACCATCACCTCTGCCTCTGGTTGCAATATCACAAATTCCAAATGACTGGGGTTTGGATTACTGGGCCCCAAAATGTCCAAAACTGTAAGATTCCTCTTAGGTCTATTATTATTATTATTATTATTATTATTATTATTATTATTATTATTTTAAAAATATCTGTTCCTCCAGAGGTTGAGAATGGGAACTTGGTCTAGCCAGCCCTGTGCAGGCACAGATGTCACTAGAGGGCAAATCATAGCAGTTCCCCAAACACTTAATTTCAAAATTCCAAGATGATATGAGGAGTAGAAAAAGCAAGAGCTTTGGGTGCCAATCTAATCCCTACCAGTAAATGTTCCCCTCAACAAGTGATGGGTTCCCTTTAGAATGCAGGCCTGAGATTTCAGGCTTTCTTCCACAAACCAGTATCCAAGGAGCTTCATCAACAACCCTGATGGAAGAAGGTCTCTCAGGAAGACTGTGTAAGGAACACAGGTCCTATGGACTCCCTCTGCAGATCTCAGAGCCCAGAAATGTGTCATCCCTGTAGCATGGCTTCCACATCCCAGGGAATGCACATGCCCTCTGACTCCCCACCCCAATCACCCCAGACAAATACACATATACACACAAAACTCCTGAAGTCTTCAGTAGCTCCTAGAAAACTGGTCTTACACACCCTCTCCAAGGCACCAAGTAAATGGAGAACAGAGCTCCAGTCAAATCTAGCAGAAGCAGCTCCCAGCTACCCTTCTCCTCCTACTCAGAGAAGTGTGAGGTCAAGCACAGAGTTGGAAACAGGTCCCTTTTTCACGGGCTGTCCTTGGCCTTTGAAATTTCCTCATCCCATCAGAAGCTCTGCCTCGGAGCTTACTCCTTTATGCAGCTTTCCACACTTAAGCTGCTTAACTTTGCACTAACAACCTCTTAATTACTGCGTTTCCAAAAGGCCTTCCAGAAATTCAGGGTGCACATCCACCCATTCATGGCCTGAGTACCAGAGCACAGCTTGCGGGGAGAGGGGGCCGGGACAGAGCACCACCATCTAATTCCTGCCTGCCGGAAAGCTGTTGCTTTTATTTTTAATTGTATTTAAAAGGCGGATACAGGGTACCCAAGACACCACAATAAAATGACATTAACTGTAAAATTACATTATTAATTCTTTAATCTCACTTGAGGCTTCAAGCTGTTGCTATGTCCAATTACCCGTGTAACCACCTGTCAGAGTCCTGGGGCTGTTTTGCATTACCTCCAGGACAGCGGTGGGCCCGGTGGTCCGTCAGGTCTGCCAGAGACTCGAAGTCCTGCTGACAGTGATCGCAGGTGTAAATTGATTCATCCTCCATGTCTTCATCATCCTCATTTCTCTCCTCTTGACTTGTCACGCTGTTCCTGTCTTCCAGCGCACGGCTGGTTTTCTGATCGCACTCTGGCTCTCCTTCTAGGCCTCCTGCCAACAGGAAGAATACAGTCCATGTCAGCTGATGGGGTCTTGGGAAAGGGTTTTAAAAGAATCGCCCGGCATTTATTAAGATACATTTAATTACTCTACCTCCCGGGGTCCATTATCCTTGACACCTCTCAGTATATTAATAGATGGGGTTTTTTTGTAGCATGTGGTGCCATAATTCTCAACCAGATTCTTTAATTCTTGGTGCAAATCTTCTAGGGGGATTTCCTGTCATCTCCCCTCTGTGCACGGATGCTGGGGGCCGTGACCCATCGGAGAGGTGAAAAACCTTATTTGTCTCCTAAAAACCAGATTCAGTTACACACCTTTTTAAAGCCTCCATCAGCTGTTCCTAACACACCTAAACTTTTAGTTTTCCCCACAGCCTTGCAATTTAGAGCTGGGAGATCTCTTAGCCAAGTTCGCCTTCCACACAACAGGCCTCCCAGGGCAGTGACGTTGGCTCAGTTCTTTGCAAAGATGTCCAACTCTGAAATAAAGGAAGTACACATGTTTGAAGAACCATGGATGGTCGAATCTCAAGCTTAAAATGCATCCAGGCTGGGCATGGAATCTCACACCTATAATCCTAGCACTCTGAGAGACCAAGGTGGGAAAATTGCTGAAGGCCTGGAGTTTGAGACCGGCCTGGGCAATATAGCAAGACTCTATCTCTACAAAAAAAAAAAAATTTTTTTTTAATTAGCCTGGTATAGTGGTGTGTGCCTGTAGTTCTACCTACTCAGGAGGATTGCTAGAGACCAGGAGTTCGAGGTTACGGGGAACTATGATCGTGCCACTGTACTCCAGCCTGGGCCTGGACCCTATCTCTAAAAAATATAAAATAAAATAAATAGTGTCACCTGTGACCTGGTACAGGCCTAGACAGTTAGAATCAGTCGTGGAATGATCTCACTGATTTCTTTAAAATAAAACAGCTACTGTGCTTAGCACTGTGCAGAGAGTGGCTAATCTATAGGGAAAAGTGAATTCGTAATCATAATGATGCCTTGCAATTGTGCTGTGTTCCGTGCTTCTTCAAAGCCACCATTATATATGCACAGCCCCATTTCACAGTCTTGCATATCCTAAACTCAAAGAAGGCTCAAAGGATCATGTGATCCAACCCCCTGCAGAGAGGGACAGCTTTGTCTCACAGGTAAGGTACCTGGCATCCAACCAGAAGAAGCAACAGCCCAAGCACCCTACAGAGGCTCAGCTCAACTTCGTGACTCCTGGTCTAGTTCACTTCCCTGCACAACTGTGGGTAATGGAGCACAGCCCCAATCTTACAGATTAATAAGACACACCAGGAACTTGTAAATCAAAGTGCAAAAGCGTGTGGTAAATATAACCCACAGAATATATCAGTAATCCTAATAAATGTCAATGGATAAAATTTGTGTGTTAAAATGCAGAGACCCTCGGATTGGAAAATAAAAGTGTGTGTTGTCTCTTCCCACAGCCTGTCCTGGAAAACAGATTTACCCATCCGGAAACTAGCTGCACTGATTTAAATCAAAGAAAGAGATCTTATTATCCATAAAGGTGTTTTTGAAAGCATATGTACATATGCAAAAGTGCGTGTATGTGCACCTGTATGTACATGTGTGTACATGCAACATCACAGTTACAGGAAAAGGCTCAGTGCACAACCTGCAAACCCCTGAGGGCGGGCGCCAAAGCAAGAAAGACAGACACGAAGCAAAGAATGCACTCAATTCAAGGTGGAAACCACAGTCCTGTGAATATTTCAATTTGGAAACAGATAATGTTATAAGGGCTCTATTTCTCCTGTCTGCACAGAACATGCCCTTCCAAGCACCCGACATCAAGAACCTGGGAACACAAATCGGCTCATCGGAGAGCCAGCTGCTTCCTTCCAAGGCGGGGAACGTTGCACGACACGCCGCCTGGAACTGCGCGGAGGCAGTAAAAATCAATGTTTCCATTTGTGGCCCATCAAAACATCTCTCTTCTTACCAATTAAGGGATGTACAGTTTTTAGGTTCTTTTATTATCAGAACGCGCCAACTCCTGGCAATACAGAAATCCCATTAAAAGTCAGGCAGCATATTTATCTCAGGGAATCTGATCTGCCGCTGCAGTGAGGGTAAGAAATAGAAAGCAAAGAAATGAGAAATATCATTTGGAGCCTTCGATATTGTAAGTCATCATACAACCATGGTTACACAGTCAAGTGCCCGTCTCCGAAATTCCTCGTTTACAGTCTTTCCTTAATAAAAAAAAAATGTTCTGTAGAAAGGGAAAATAAAAGAGCCATAATTCTGGCTTTATCTACTACACCGACCCTCCAGATAATAAGTTACAATCAGCACCACACTTGTGCTACTTTACTTAACACACAATTTAATAGACATATTTAAATTATCCCCTCGTTATTTTTTTGCCGTATTTACTTGGCAGCACTTTCTATAATAGCTCATCTAATCCACAACTGGAACCACAAACATCACAATGTATTTGATCTCTTTAAATCTGGTACATCCTGTTGACTCGGGAGTAGATAAATCAGAATGTCAACTCTCAGGTTTTTATAAGGCAAAAACCCATAAAGTCATCCAAGAGTATAAATCTGTTTTAAGCAACTGTCACCTCCCCTATGGCCGGCTACTAATGGGAAGGGAGGGTGGCTGTGCAGAAAGGGATGGAGACGAAGGCGAGCTCAGGCCACACAAAGGCGCGGACCTCATCCTCTGGGCTCCCAAGGGGTCCCAGCCTGGCCCTCAGGGAGGTGACACAAGACAGGGAAGACTCAGGGGCCTGAAGAAGTTTTGGGGAGTGGGACTTCCCTGAAGACCCAAGGGCCCCTCTGCTGATTCAGCAGAATCAGGCGCTGGAGAACAGGAAGGCCTCCACCCCAGGCAGGGTTTGCCTCTTGCAATGCACTTTCATGCCCAGGAGTTTCTGAACCTCACCATAAGACAAAAGAATAAATGGTGTTATTTTTCCATTTGCAGATGAGAAAACTGAGCCTCTGCAAGGCCACCCAAAGCCATGCCAGGATCGAATCTACACGTTCACGTGTTCATTAAGCAGCACACCTTTCCTGAAGTCCCTGGGCCTGTTGGAGCCCCAAGCTCTCCAAGGCCCAGGAGGCAGAAGTTCTAACAACAGGGAGCTCCAAGGACATCAGACCTACCTGGAGACCGTCTGGGGTTCCTCTTTTCCAGGCCCACCTGATCGGTTGCTCAGTAAGTCCTGGGGATGGAATGATTGGACCTTCCCTACTCCTTCAACCCAGCTCCGCCTGTCCTGTGTGCTGCTCTGTCCAGCCCCAGAGGCCCCTCAACTGGTCCCTGTCCTGAGTCTGGACATCACCTGTGCAAACTCAGAGAACATAGGGCCCAGAGGCCCAGCACCTGGCCCTGCCTTGTGAGTCCCATCACAAGCGCTGGCTCATTTCAATGACCTGGGCTAGAACTGCAGCTCACTGGTTCCTCCAATCACCCCAGAGCCCAGTGAAGCAACTTCAACAGGCCGAGGAGAAGGCCAATGGCTCAATGCTTTTCTGCAGAGGCCTCCAGGGCTGGGGAGGGCTTCCCGAAAACAGCCGGCTGGCTCCTTTCCCTCTGGCTCCTCCCCTGTCCTCCTGGGGGCTGTCTGCAGCAGCATGAAGACAGCTCGCTCAGGGAAGGCCCGAGCCAAATGGATTTCAAATCAGGGACCTCTCCCTCAGGGCCATGTGCATGGGACAGAAACCGAACCAGTGCTGTGAACGCCGACCTGTCCGTCCAGCTGACAAGATTCCCTACCTCCCAGAGCTCATGCTTTCCACGATGGACAACTGTTTTCTGATGTGCACACCTGCATCCTTTTGCCCAGGCATGCCCCAAGAACAGTGAGCATTGATTAAGCACTCAATGCTTAATCAAGTGCAGGCACCTTATGAGTTGATGTCATCATATCCCCATTTTACAGGTGAGGAAAGCAGAGCTCTGGGAAGTGACAGAGCTTAAGTGAGGCCACAGAGAAGTGGTGGGGCTGAGTTTCAAGCCCACTGCATGTGACTCTTAACCACTCTACTACATGGTTTCCTCACAGTAAGACGCAATGAACACCTGAGCCAGGTGTTGGGAGTTTGTAAAACCCCTCAAAGTCCCATGTAGGGTCCTGGTCACAGCCCCTAAGGTTCAGCAACGGCTCTGCTGATCTCTCTCACTTATCGCCCATCTCCACAGCCTTGAAGGTCATCTTTCAACCCCATAAACTTCCAAGTCTCTTTGGTCCAGGGCTTCCCACTCCTGATCTCCAGCAGGAAGATTTCCGTTAAGTCTTCACACAGTTCCCAAAGATCTCCACCAGCCTGGGCACCTACGGAAGTTGGGGCCCCATTACTCTTTCCCCAGGGCTCTCTTCCCTTTGCAGTCAGAGCTCTCAGCATCACGTGCACTCATGCTTTTGTGGGCTAATTTGTCTACTTTCTCTCTCCCTTGGCAGGCTGCATTTTCCACAGACTGCCACAGCAATATCTCCCACCCCACCTGCCCTTCTGCAGGGAGACCTTGACTCCCTCATCATAACGAGGGACCGAATTCTCCTCCACAGTCCCCCTCGGGGCTGGCCAGACTCAGTGGCTCCTTGACCAACAGGATGCAACAGAAGTGCTATTCTAGACTTCTGAGGCTAGGTCAGAAGGAGGCTTGCAGCTTCCCCCTGCATCTCCTGGGACACTCCCCCTTCAAGCCCAGCAGCCATAATATATGAAGCCCAAGCCACATGGAGAGAGAGCACATAGGGGCTCCAGTCAACAGCTCCCAGCTTCCAGCACCGACTTCAGCCATGGGAGCACACCATCTTGGACATCCCACCCCAAGAAGCCTTTGGATGACAGCAGCTCCAAACACCATGCGGCTGCAACTGTACAAGAAACACCCAGTGAGACTGCCAGCTGAACCCAGTTAGCTCATAGTACTGTGAGAAGTAGTAATAAATTATTGCTTCAGGCCATTACATTTTGGGATGGTTTGTTACGTAGCAATGGATAGCCGACCTTCTCGCCCCACACCGGACTATAAGCTCCATGAGGGCAGGAGCTGTGTCTAATTTAGCTCAGTGCCACCTCCCCCAACCCTGGCATACAGAGGGACATATAGTAGGGGCTCAATAAATGTTGAATGAATGGATGAGTGAATTAATTGATTGGTTTCAAAAAAGCAGGCCTCTGAATCCCCACACAGGTAGAGGCAGAAGGAGGGGAAGGGGCCACAGTGCAGTTTATTGTCTGACGATAAGTATTAGATTGAATCATATAAAGGTGCCATTTTTTAGGTCAAAAAAGTTGAATATTGGCAATCTCAAATGGCTCAGCCTCACATATGACGAGGTTGCCCTGTCCTGCCAGCTTCTTCCTGCAGCCAGGAGGAAGAGGGTACACCCACACCAGGAAACCCCACTACACCACACCCACCCAAACCCAGCTTCCCTGAACCCAAGATATGGACTTGGGGGACATTCTATGAGCAAAGAGAGGCAATAACAAAACCTTTCACCTCAATCATGTTTCGCTGGAAAGCACTGAATTTTCAGGCCAGTCACAATGGCTTACGCCTGTAATCCTAGCACTTTAGGAGGATGAGACAGGAGAACCTATGGAGTTTGAGACCAGCCCAGGCAACACAGTGAGACCCCATCTTTACAAAAATTTTAAAAATCAGCCAGGCATGGTGGTGCACGCCTGTGGTCCTAGCTACTTGAGAGGCTGAAGCAGGAGGATCGTTTCAGCCCAGGAGTTGGAGGCTGCAGTGAGCCGTGTTCGCACCACTGCACTCCAGCCTGGATAACAGAGCAAGAGTCTCAAAAAATAAAGTAAAAGTAGTGAATTTTCCCACCTCACTGAGCTACTGCCCTTAAGAAAGGGCTTGCATTCAAGATGATGACGTTGAGAGCAGACAGCGGACCCTGCAGAAACGCTGTGCAGCAAGACAGATGGCCCCATGCCCTCTAGAGGGAAGGAGCAGCAGAGGCCTTGCCAGGGACAGAGGGCCTTGCCAGGGACAGAGGGAGGTGGCACAGCCTCCCCTACACCCTGAGGGGAGCTGAGTATGGTGTGAGCATCTCCTGGTACCATTTTACACTCACACTGCCCCATTTCGATGAGGACAGAAACTCTATGTGGTAGGTACAATGGATATCCCCATTCTGCAGGTAGGTGCAATGGACTCACCCACTTTGTCAATGAGGAAAAAAAAAAAACAAGGCTCAGGAGCCCATTCAAAGCACGTGCCAGGAAGGGCAGAGAGGAATTTGTATCCAGGTCTTCTGACTCTAGATCCTGACTCTTTTTTTTTTTTCCAAGACAGAGTTTCACTCTGTCACCCAGGCTGGAGTGCAATGGTGCAATCTCAGCTCACGGCAACCTCTGTCTTCCAGGTTCAAGTGATTCTCCTGCCTCAGCCTCCTGAGTAGCTGGGATTACAGGCAAGCACCATCATGCCTGGCTAATTTTCATATTTTTAGCAGAGACAGGGTTTTGCCATGTTGGCCAGGCTGGTCTCAAACTTCTGATCCACCCGCCTCGGCCTCCCGAAGTGCTGGGAATACAGGTGTGAGCCACCGCACCCAGCTGATCCTGACTCTTAACCACTATACGGAAAGGCAGAAAGGGAATGCCTGCAAAATCACGGGGCAGGGGACAGCTGGCTGGGTCCACTGCCAGGAAAAGGGGAACGGGGAGAGGCCCCAGGGGACCAGACTGCCCACAGGCTGCCAGGTCTGAGAACAGCACATTTCCTACCTTCCCAGCAGGGCTTCGCAAGGTCATGAGCCAGGGCCACCAGGGCCTCACCCTCCCAAGGGCCAGCTAGAAAAGGGTCAGCCAATGTCGGCCCCTGGCCAGCACACGAATCAGAAGGAAACTCACCCAGAAGGATGCCTCTTCCTTGCTCTCGTGTCCCGGGAGTCAGCTAGTCAGCAGAGAGCCCTGGGCACACTGAAAACCTCCCAGCCACCATCAGAGGTCCCACCTCTGGGGCCACATGGCTGAGTATCCACAAGATGGAGGCAGGGGGCCAGGAGCTGCCTCCATGCACCCGAGACAGAGAGACCTAGGACAGAGCTTGAGAGACATGCGACAAACCAGGGTCAACAATCACACGCACTCACCCATTCTTTCCTTCATTCTTTCCACAAATACTTATTAAGTGCCTACGGTGTGCCAGGCATAACACATGCACATTTGCTGCAACATACGGGGTGCTCCCCAACCCCATTCATCTTGGCGGCCTCAAAGCCCACACAAAGGCTGGCACAGAAAAGATGCTTAATAAATATGGGGTGGGCAAATGAGTGATTAGATGAATAAATGAATGCCCAAGAGGATACGCTAAGTAGTAAGGGGCCGGCATCCAGGGCTGGGGCTGGTCGGGGACCCAGATTCCGGTCTTAGCTCCAGTACACCTCAGCCCCCAACCATGAGTGACCTTGACCAAGGCAAGTCCCCTACCTGAGCCTCTGATTCCTCATAGGCCCAAAAGAAGCCTGAATCTCATGAACGCCATCCTCTCCAACCTCACAGTGGGGAGGCGGGGCTCACCTGAATGCATGGCCACTATGAGACAGGCACACAGCTCAGCTCCACATCAGGGGATATAGGAGCCTTGTGGGGTTTCGAGGGGATAGGGGAGGCCAGAGCAGGGATGGACGGGAGGAGAAAGGGTGCAGGGGAGAAGGGAGACCAGTGGAGCGGAGAAAGTGAGAGAGCCAGGAACACTGCCAGGTGAGAGTGAGAGGGCAGCGGGGTCAGCAGGACCAGCAAGGCCAGCAAGCCCTGGAAAGGCTTCCCCACCTCTCACTTCTTCTCCCAATCAGATTTGGATGGGAGACCATACCACCCACCCCTGCAGAAAGCAGAACCACCAGGCGCCACATTCTAGGCATATCCAGGGGTTACCAGAGAACCCAACTGTACAGGAGCCATCGGGACACTGGGGTAGAGGAGTGCAGTGGAGCTGATGGAACCAAGTTGTTGAAATAAAGACAGTCATTAAGTAATGACACATACAAGCAGCAGATGGCTGGATGCATGTTCCAGGGACTGTCGGGGATGACAGAGAAAAAACAGAAAAGAATCACAGGCTCTGAAGCCAGCCTGTCTGGGTTCAAATCCACACTCCACCATTTAGCAGCTGGGGGACCATGAACAAGTCACTTGCCCTCTCTGGGACTCATTTAATTAAGTCACATAATTTTAATAAGGTGATATATACAAAGCCAGATGCTTGGCTCATAGTACAGCTTGAGACAATGGTAGCTGGTAAGCACTGTCTTGCTGCTGGGTTATGATTCAAACCAACATGTGCAGCATCGCAGTGCAGACAAAAGCTGGAGGCGTCAAACCCGGAGGGGTCTGGCAGGAGGCCTCACATGCTCCTGAGGATGCAGGAGGACAAGGAATGTCATGGCACAGGCCCTCTTGCAAGGCACGAAAATGTCCATGCATACCAAAAGAAAAAAAATCCACTCCATCAGGAGAGGAAAGTCCTGGGTCCAAGTGTGAATCCTCCCCTTCCCAGACTGTGCGATCCTGAGTAAGGTGCGAGCCACCTCCTCCGTGAAGGGGTGTGATCAGCTTACAACCCACAAGCCCACTGTTCTTGTGCCCGCCCTCTGTAGGTGGCTGAGGGAAAAACGGTCCAGGAAGATACCTACCATTTCCAAAGTCTTTACCCTGGAGCAACACGTTTGTTTTTTTGTTTTTGTTTGGTTTTTTTTTTTTTTTTTTTGGAGACAGGATCTTGGTCTGTCACCGAGGGTGGAGTGCAGTGATGCGATCTCAGCTCACTGCAGCCTTGAACTCCTGGGCTCAAGCAATCCTCCCACATCAGCTTCCCGAGCAGTCAGGATTACAGATGCACCATCAGACCCAGGTAATTTTTTTTCCCCCAAGACAGAGTCTTGCTGTGTCACCCAGGCTGGAGTGTAGTGGCACAATCTCGGCTCACTGCAACCTCTGCCTCCCGGGTTCAAGTGATTCTCTTGCCTCAGCCTCCCGAGTAGCTGGGATTACAGGCGCCTGCCAACGCACTCGGCTAGACCCAGGTAATTTTTAAAATTTTTGTAGAGATGGGGTTTTGTTATGTTGCCTAGGCTGGTCTCAAACTCCCAGCCTCAAGTAATCCCACCTCAGCCTCCCAAAGTGCTGGGATTACAGAAGTGAGCCACTGTACCCCGCCGACATTTCTTTTTCATTAAAAAAAATATCCTCCACCCTAACAGCCTGCACGTTTCCTAAAAACATGTTCCCGAGGGCAAGATGCCTTTTCTGAATCTGAGCACCAGGTCAAAGCCCTGGCTTAGCCTCTATTCAGTGTTCGTTTGGGTCCTGCTCACAGAGAAGAACCCTCTCCTCCATGAACACTCTCTCAAGCAGGCCCCGGGAGGGGTGTGGCCAGGGCTGGGCAAAGAGCCCACCAACCCCAATTCCGCACTCGGCTTGTGCATCCATTGCTGGCCCCAAATTCCAAAAGGCAGCCATTATTTATCTTCAGGTTTAAAATATTTGCAGTGCAGGCAGCGGGGTAACATTTAACACTCAGCCTAAAGGGTCCCCTTGGCAGCAGAGCTCTAGGCAAATATTTTAACACATAATTTGCTGTCCAAGTTCGGCTTCTTAAATAAGGAAGCAACTTCCTGATGGCTGTCTGGGGAGACCCCGGTGTCCCTATCGGTGCCTGTGGCTCTGTGGATGGAATTTCAAGCCAAGGTCCGTCAGAGACATTGAACCTGACCTCGGCTACATCACACAAGCCTTGCTGGGCTGCTCCGTCTGGCCATGAGGGACTGATACAGGACAACCCTCTGCAGAGGCCCACAGAAATGACTAGAAACTTCCAGAGAACGTATCTTCAGTTGTCAGCAAGTCTAGAACCTAAAGGACTAGCAGTGTGATGGCAATCGCCTCCTTCAGGCCAGAACTTCCAATTCCTTTGTATCTTTCGCCTCGTGACCCCCAGCCCCTGTCAGGGAGACGTTACCACCAGACCTATTTTACAGACGGCAAAACTGAGGCTCCGATGGCTGAGACAGCCCCCTCAGTCACTCGGATAACGAGTGGAGAGAAGCTCTCAACTCCAATTCCCCCACCACCACACAAATTACAGAAATGAGTGTACAAGCGAATGGGGTGTGGAGTGAGCACACAGAAGCCCACCCAGGGAGGGGTCTCAACTCCTCTAGATGGTCAGCACTGCAAACACACCTGCTGCTTTTTTTTTTTTAAAGAAGAAAATCCATGGCTCACAGCTGTAATCCCAGCACTTTGGGGGGCCAAGGCGGGTGGATCATTTGAGGTCATGAGTTGGAGACCAGCATGGCCAACATGGTGAAACCCTGTCTCTACTAAAAATGCCCCAAAAAAATAAAAAATTAGCCGGGCATGGTGGCGCATGCCTATAATCCCAGCTACTCGGGGGGCTGAGGCAGGAGAATCACTTGAACCTGGGAGGCAGAGATTGCAGTAAGCCAAGATTGCACCACTGCACTCCAGCCTGGGCAACAGAGTAAGACTCTGTCTCAAAAAAAAAAGAAGAAGAAGGAGGAGGAAATCCACCGTTCTCTATAAAATTTCTGGATGATTTCTAAATGTTGACTTCAAGTTTTAAGAAACACAGTATGGGCTAAACAATATGCCTTGGAGGGCTGGTCCAGCCTGGGGGCTACCCACTGAGGGTCTCTGCCATGGAGTGTGTCCAGCAAGAGCCCCTCAGAGCCCCTAGAGCACAGGGTCATCTGCTCATTCCTCACCAGAAAGAGCAGTCAGCTGAGCAGTCAGCTAAGCAGTGATGAAAGTGTCTCTTCTTTAGAGATTCAGGAACTGAGTTCAAGTCCATTTTTGTGCAAGACCTTGGTTGCTTGTACTTCTGAGCCTCAGTTTCCTCACCTAGAAAATGAGGATGGTACTCATGCTGTGGATGCTCCCTATGGGACCACTTTCCAGGTGACCTCACTCCAGGTCTCTGCCCACCAGGCGCTGGTCAGCAGTGAGCTCCCTAAACGTTGGAACCATGTCAGACACAAATCCTCCACATCTTCAATCAGTCAACAAACATTTACTGAGCACCTACTATGTGCCAGCCCCTGTTCTAGATGCAAACACATGAAAGAACCATACACAGCTCCATGACCAGGACAGGCTGACATTTGGTCACAAGGACCTTGTTTTTTATGGGTGTTCCATACATGCACGAATGAATGACTCTACCCTCCCTGCAGGGCTCAGCTGCCACAAAATCCCCGGAAGGTAAAGAGAGATGGCAGCTTCCCCAACCTCACAGACACTTGCACTCAGCTCTCAACTACAGTGGGTCAGGAATGAGTGGAAAGAAAAGAAGGCAGATGAGAGGGAGGGAAGAGGGGAGGAGGGAAGCAGGGGGGAGAAAAATAAACCTCAAACACCCCCTGCAAGAAAAAATCAAATTTATTTTTCCAGCAAGTAGTTAATGGTGTCACTCCTCCAAGCCTTACAATCTTAATAAAACTGATCTCGCCGCGTGCAGTAATGAAGAACAGTCAGACAAAGCCACCCTGGAACCATGAAAATTGTGCACTGTTACCTCCTCGTGACCTCCTGAGGCAGTGACCATTCTGCCCTCGCCTTGCTGTCATGTTTTGTCTCTGGGAAGGGGGAGATGGGGGAGCAGGGCCGGCGGTGGGCAGGGGAGGGAGGATGGTCAGGCAGCGTGGGGAGCTCGATAAATCCAGCTAATTTGTGGCCAGTGCTAGTGCCTGACACTCCTAATTGCTCTCAGTCCTGGAGCAGAACTCAAGGCTAGGATGCTGGGGCGCAAATCACCCCCCTTGTGGCTGCAAAAAAAGGATCCCGGTTAGGGGAAGAAAAGCAGGGAGAGGAGGGATCTGTACCCCTAAAACCAGAACCAGTGGCCAGGCTAATGGAGTTTGGCTCAGAGCCAAGGATAAACAGAGGCGGTGTGAATGGAGAGCCCAGAGCCCAGGGGCCAGGCATCATCGCTGTGCATTCCGGGCAAGGTGTGCCCTCTCTGGGCCTCAGCTGCCCCATCTGTAAATTAAGGCATGGACCACAGAGAAGCAATTTTAAAAACCATGCACCTTAGCAGCTCAACACTGTGCCAGGGGCAGGCCTGAGGACAGAACTCTAAGACAACACCTCCACACCCAGGGAGCCCCGCTGCCGCCCGCCTTCCACGCCAGGGTCCCGCAGCAGCACTTTGCAGAAAGAGCCTCACTGTCAAAATAGAAAGTGTGTAAAAGTTCACCTGCCCAACTCCTCCTCACCGTTCAGGTCTCAGCTCAGTGAATCTGCACCCCCACAGGGTCAGGCCTCCCCTGTGAGCTCTGGGAGCTCGCTGGGCACCTCTCCTTCTCCACTTATCATAGCAGTCCTCATGATTTTATTTGCTGGATGTGCGAAGGTCTCCTGGGCATGCAAGCTCCAGGCAGGCAAGTCCGCATCAGTTTTGTTCACTCTGCTTCCCCCTTCTCCACCTCTCAGCACCCAGCATAGGGCCTGGTACACAGCAGGTGATTAATAAGGATGTGTTGAAGAAGCTGTCTGGAAGGGCCCTTCCCACTCTGACATTTAAAGATCCAGCCACAGGTCTGTATTTCCAGGGAGGGATGGGACAACAGGAATGAAGCCCGAAGCAGGCCCCTGGTCCTGCCTGCTGCCCCGGGACACAGGGGGCTCAAGGGACTCCCCAGACCCGGCTCTAGGGCCTCTATTATAACCCAAAAGCCAGCAGCTCCCTTCCCACCAATGATCCTCCTACCAACGAGCCTCCAGGTGGGCCTGGAGGGCCAGGGGAGCCCCCTCTCCCTCCAGTCGCAGTGCAGAGGCTCCACAAAAAGCCTTTAAAAATTAACCAGTTGCCAGGCATGGAGACAGCCTGGTGCGCAGCCACGTTCCAGGGAATACGGAAGTGGCGCCTGGAGAAAAGGGAGCAGGACTCGTGGAGTGGCTTTCCCGTGCTATCCCACCCCAGGAGGAGTACACTCAGATTCCAAGGAGCCGCTCCCAGTAAACCCCCATCTAGGCACCCACTCACTGGAGGAGGGTGGCAGCCTCAGCCCACCTCCAAGGATCCATGCAAGCAGCTGGCTCCTCCAGGAGACCCCAGGGGTCTCCCCACCGCTTACCCTCATCCACTTGCTCAGGTCTGCCGGCTTTCTGCCGACTTCCCGTCAGTCCCCAAGAGGGTGTTTGGAGCCCCACAAGTGGGCTGTAAGACATTCTCTGATGTCTCCAGAAACCTGGATTCTGGAAGCAAGGCACAGAACAAAGCCAATGGCCTGGGCAGCATGACACGTCTGCCACAGAGGTCCGAGAAGCCTCAGCACACACACAGCCAGGCAGGGTGTCCCCATGCTCAGCACACATGTGGCCAGGCAGGCTGTCCCCAGGCCGAGCACACACATGGCCAGGCGGGGTGTCCCCAGGCTGAGCACACACGTGGCCAGGTGGAGTGTCCCCAGGCCGAGCACACACATGGCCAGGTGGGGTGTCCCCAGGCCCAGCACACACGAGGCCAGGCGGGGTGTCCCCACGCTCAGCACACATGTGGCCAGCCAGGGTGTCCCCAGCTCGGGGTTGGGGTGTACCCAGCTCGGGGTCAGGGTTTTGATGGGGACTGCACTCAGACCCCCCAGCCAGTGACAGCAAGGCCTGTTTGGCAGCCTAGGACCCCTGGATTCACATTCCTAGGCAAAGAGATGCAGAGACATGGGGGGATTAGCCACAGGCCAAAGGTCAAGTGAACCGCACCAAGGAAACTTCCAGACCCACCCCAGGGACCTGGCTGCCTCTGCCTGATGGCCAATATCAGTGTGATCTACATGCACACGCACACCCCACACCCCACTCACCACCCCCAGGCTCCTCCTCAAACCATCACTTAACTCGGATTTCAAACTGCTGGCGATGTTCTTTAGTCAACATGAAGCAGAAACCTTTTATTAAATGCTGCTAATTTTTTATTGATCACACTGTGAATCATTTCATTTTCCATTACCGCAAATGTCTCCTATCAGAGCTCCACGATCAGGCTTCTTTCTTCATTCTTGAGTAACTTGTCACTTTTAATCAGTTTTCAGTTTCGGTCTGGCTCAAAAATTAGAAAGCGGGCTCTTTGTATCATTATTGCTTTTGTTTAAAAAAAAAAGTTTCCATGCAGGAAAGGTTATTATACTCAGAATAAATATACATGAATCAAATTCAGATGAAATTCCTCCCTGGCTCTAACCAATTTTACCATTAGCTTTTATAATTTTTTTAGGTTTATTTTCACAGAAAGACTGCTCATAATTATTGCTCGTGCTCTCCCAAAACACTTATGTTACTAAAGTGCGAAATGTCTTCTAACACAAAGACAGATCTCTGGGAAGTAATTACAGAAATGCATTCAGGGGCAATAATTCTATATTAGCTGTCAGCAGCAGACATCCTCTGAAAGGCACTTGTTATGAAGGAATTATTTGTGCTACTATTGAAGGCATGGCAGGCAAGCCCAAACTTAAAGACTGCATCTGATCAGAAACATGGGCTCCCTCATCAAGGGTCAAATTAAGTTTAAATCATTACCTTGAAGCCCAGCAAACTCGTACCTGACTGTCTATTGTGAAGACATTTTTGAGGCGCACTCGAGCGCGACGTGGTCTTCCCGTTCGCAGCGTGGTGCAATTACCCTTAGTCTCAAAAGGATTCTGCCAGGAGCTTGTCACAATAGGGAGAGAGGAGGTGGCAGGGTGTCTATTAAATGCTAACTCGTGTCACCAAACAGAATTTTCAAGAATTATAAATTGCCGAGATGCCTTGCCGCTGACCCCCTCGTGTTAAGAAGAGCCCAGAATATTATCAGGAAAGTGCAAGAATTTGCATCAAAGGCAGGAAAGGACTCTCTATGGGGAGCCCACGGGGATGGAGCTGAGGGGACTGGGACCCAGTGAACTATCCCCTCACCCCACAGAAGGTCCAACTGGGATCTGCGCCCCAACACCAGCTTACTCAGGGCAGAGAAATACCCTAAAATGAGGACAGGTGCAGGGGGATCTGAGGAAGTACGTAATTTCATCTGAGCTTTGTCCCTAACTCTTGGCATGACCTCAGGCCAGTCACTTCCTCTCCCCGAGCCTCAGTTTCCCCACCTGTAACAACATCCTACATCAACTCTGTGTGGAGGGCATTCTGTGAGTGGAATGCAATGTTGGCCCCTGCTGTTCCAGGCTCTGTTTCCCCACCTATAAAAGTGCAGGATTAATTTCCTGCACCGTTAAAGGAATCACCTGGCCACTGGGTGCGGGAAGAAAATGTGGGACAAAGAGCAGAGCAGCTTCCTGTGAGAGCGGGTCTCACAGATATCTCAGATCTGCTTGGACTCATCGAGCCTCAGCTTCCCCACCTCAAAAGAGGACAAGCTAAAGGTCATAGCCTGGGGTTGCCCTTATCAATCACAGTGAAGCACAAACCCAGGCTTCTTTCATCTGCTCACCTACTGCTATTGCCAAAAAGACAGGGTACTTTCTCTTTTTTTGAGACAGAATCTTGCTCTGTCACCCTGGCTGGAGAGCAGTGGCACAATCTCGGCTCACTGCAACCTCCGCCTCCTGAGTTCAAGAGATTCTCCCGCCTCAGCATCCTGAGTTGCTGGGACTACAGGCACCCACCACCACACCTGGCTAATTTTTGCATTTTTAGTAGAAATGGGGTTAGCTGGCCAGGCAGGTCTGGAACTCCTGACCTCAGGTGAACCACCCACTTCGACCTCCCAAAGTGCTGCGGTTACAGGCGTGAACCACCACGCCCAGCCAAGACTGGGCGCTTTCTAAGACAGCTCAGGGCAAGAAGCAAAAGAACTACTTCCTCCTAACAGCTGGAGCCCATCTACCCGAAGCAGCACCTCACGGTGCCCAGCAGTGCTCAGCAGTTGTGGCACCCCTAGCCGTAGCATCCTGACCTTTCCCTGACCTCCGAGCTCGGCCCATGACCCAAGTGGGGACACTAAGACACAATCCGGAGATATGCTAGAACCACCGGGAAAGAAGGTACTTAAAGTGGGGAGAGCAGAGCGGGCAGACAGAGATCGGGGGAAAGAGTTTGAGCCATGCCCTTCGACTCAGTCACTGCCCACAGAAGCTTATATCCTAGAAAACTCCTGTTTGTGAAAGTCCGCCGTGAGAGTATCTGCTGCAGGATGATTTGTAATAGCCAAAAAAAATTAGCATCTACATCTCCATGAACAGCAGATCGATAGATAGATTGTGGTACATTTACAGAGTGGACACCATGCAGCAATTAAAATTAATGAAACAGCTACATGTATCAACACGGATTAATCTTCCAAACATAATGTTGAGAGAGGGAAAAAAAAAGCAAGTTGCTAAAGATAAACTATCTATATGGTAAAATATGGTATCTATATTGTTTTAAAACATGTATATCAGTAGTATTTAAATACCATTTATATGTATTTCCAGAAACAAGACATACAGGGAAATGAAGAATTGATATCATCTATAATTAAATATCACATATCTCCAGAAGCAAGGCATACAGGGAAGTGATGAATGCCAAGCCCTAACGGGGCAGGAAGAGTAGGGCACTCTGGCACTCAGCTGGGTGAACGATTCCTTAAGCTGAAAGGTATATCCTGGACAGTCGTTATTCTCTTCTGTTTATCTGAGATATTTCATTTAAAAAAAAAAAAAACACCATTGCTGAGCCACTGAAAATTTTTAGATCATAAAAGTTTTTAAAAGAACAGTGAATAAATTGGAGAACCACAGGGAAGCACAGAATTTTAGATGGAGAAGGCACTGAAGAAGACAGCCAATCCAATCCAGCGCTTTCTCAGAATCTGTGACGCAAGAGATTGTCCCCAGGGCACAAGGCAAGTTAGTGGCAGAACCAGGGCTATTGCCCCAGCCCTGTGCTCCTTCCCTCCCTCCGGTGTGGAGGAGCCTAGCCCTGGTTAGGGGATGAGCTTGAATAAATGGTACTGAGGTGCACAGTGGCTGTCACTTGTAGTCCCAGCTACTTGGGAGGCTGAGGCAGGAGGATCACTTTAGCCCAGGAATCCAAGGCCAGCCTGGGCAATAAGTGAGACCTTGTCTCTATAAATAAATAAACAAATAAGACCTAAGTATATTGTTCTCTCAGAGCAGGAACTTCTATCTGTTCACTGTGGAATCCGAAGCACCTAGAACAGTGCCTGGCACGTAGTAGGTGCACAATAACCCCGTGTTGAATGGATGAATGAAGGTAGACTGAGGTGATTAAAGTCATGCACATCATTCCATAAAGCAGACCTTCTTGGACAAGCCCCATTGCTGGACAACACCAAGTTAGTCATTTTTCAGTAAATGCAGATTTTCCACCTCTGAGTTTAAAAAGAAAATCACTTCTCACCAATTTTCTGACCCTCCTGTGGGTATGCTGAGATTGTGAGTCATGGCTGAGGCTGGAAAACCACCTTCGGGGAGATGAGAATGGAAAACGGCCTAATTCAAGGAGGAGCCAGGTACTGCCTAAAACGCGTCTTGGCCCCCTTCCAGGAGTGCACATCGAACGGAAAAAATTACTCCAACTCTCTCCGTAGGAGAACATCTGCCAGCTGGCCGACCAAAGTAGCTGGTTGCTAAGAAATCACACCGGGTGACATCACCTGATCACTTACTACAGGCAAGACATGGCCAGGGTCAGAGTTCAAAACAGTTTCTGGAAATCTTTCCAGCGAAGCCCCTTTTCCGTGCAGGGATGGGAGGATGGGAAAGTATCTTGATGGGTACCCACCTGTGACCCCCTGCCCTATGACAGAGGTACTATTACAGATAGGGAAACTGAGGCCCCGAGGGGGAAGGTCACTGCTAGAGGGTGGTAGAAGAGGGGTTCCAGCTTCTTCTGAGCATCGAGGTGCTTCCCGGGATACCAGGTTCTGAGCCCCGCTGTGTGCACCCCTCTCATGCAGAAAGAGGTCAACAGAGAAGTCCAGCGCATGGTAAAGACCAGCGTGACCACAGGCTGCAGCTTTTCCACATGGACAATGCGGTTTCTATGGAGTCCAGGGGCTACGGTCCCATCTCCACGGCATTAAATAAAGAGACGAGGAAGGTGGCGAAACAGCATAGGAGAGTAACCTCCTCTCAAGCCAAGGCACCACTCCACAGGGGTATCTAGCAGCACCAAGTCTCACCAAAGACAGAAGCCCCAGAAGTGAGGTCCCCTGGGAGCCCTGGGCTATGCCAGGAGCAGGAGTGGGTGCAGGAAGGACCCAGCCCACCCCCACAAGAAACGCCCATGCCGGGGAATCTGCCCACACTGCAACAAGCATCCCAGGTCCTGACCTTGACAGGGATGCAGGGCGTGCATTCGGCCAGCCTGTGGTCTTACCCGGCTTTCTCCCCAGAACTGCTTCTGTGTTTCTGAGTATCTTTCCTTCCCAGAAAAAAACGATGCTTTACTGTTATTTCTGATTACAAAGATAACTGCGACTGATGTCAAAGATACAAGCCATACAGAAAAGTATAAAGAAAAATAGTAAAAAACACCTGAAATCTCACTACCAGAGCTTGGGGCTGTGACCACTTTGATGAGCGCGATCCCGCACATCCTCTCCTGCGTTTACGGACACGCGCAGCAATCGCCGTGTGCGAATGGGATCCTGCGCCACACGCTGATTTGTAACCTTTCTACACTTTGTTCCACTCGCCCCTGGGCCATGGTCATCTCTTCCAGGGATCGTTTTGAGAGTCTGCCTTTAAAGTTTCGTCTGGAGGGAAATCACACGGGTCCACAACTCCTAGTTAAATGTGAACAGGCCCCAGTAGTGAATTGGGGAGGGGTGGGGGTGGGGTTTCTATCTTAGAAAAGGTTTCCTCGCTTTGCAAATGGGTTCACCCTGGGAGTCTTTGCATTAAGGAGATTCTCCCTCCCGCGAACGCATGTGTCTCTGGAGGTGCAATTCAGGGGGCCACCTGCTTCAGCATTGCTGCCATCCACTCTCCCCACATCCCAGTCCATCCGTGCAGATGGAAAGGGCCATGTGGTGGAGAGTTGGGGCTGACCTTGAAGGGAAGGCTGCCGTCAGCCCATACCTTGCCGAACAGCCCATCTCTGGCTGTCACTCACACCTGTGCAGGCAAGTGCAAGCTCACCTATCATGCTGCTGCTCGGGGTGAGTCACATCGGGGCTGCTTCCTTGCACCCAGTGATCTGGGGAAAAGTTTAGGAAATTCCTACTCTGGGAATTCTCAGTTGGCGGCTTCCTCTCCTCTTTCTCCTCCACCAATACCCCTTCCTAGGCACAAAATTGTGAGGCTTCCTGGGTTTTGTCACTAACATTTAAATATGGGGCTTCAAGTCATCACCCTCCAGGGGCCAAGTCAGGGGTTTCCAAGAAGTCCCTGCATTCCTCTGTCCTGGGGGATCCCAGGTGGGGGAAGTGGGCTGGGTGTTTCTGGGAAGCAGACTCCTCTGGGAGGTACCTTCCTCTCTTTCTGCCAACTGCCAGCACTGAGTCACAGAAGACGTGTCAGCCAGACACAGGGAGGAGGGCCAGAGCCCCCAGGGTCAGCCAGACGCTCCTCTCCAGAAGAGAGGCGCAGGGGCATTTAAGGCCATCTGTGCACTCACAAAACACTCACGGAGACCCTGCAACGTGCCAGGGACTGTCCCAGAGCAAAACCGGGAATGAGGTGGACAGATCCTCTCAGGGAGTTTACCCTCTAGTGGGGAAAAAGACAGAAGATGCATAAATAGAGAAATAAAATCATTGCTGTGAGTGATCAGCGCATCCAAGGAAATAAAATAATTGACGTGACAGGGGCTGGAAGACGCCAGCTCCAGCCAGAGTGGTGAGGGAGGGAGAGCCTCACTGAGGAAGCAGCGTGAGCCAAGCTGCAGGGAACCAGACGGTGATGGTGACAGTGATGGGGAGCAGCAAGCACAAAGGAACCTGAGGCATGGAGCATCGTGCACTCCAAGAACCAAGCGGAGGCCAGTGTGTCTACAGCACAGAGCTGAGAGACAGAGGCCCGACGGCGACGAAAGGCCCGAGGAAGGCCCAGGACACGCCATCAAATCCTGAAATCAGAAGGTGCTGGGAGAGCCCCTCAAGCGGCCCAGAGTCCAGTGCACACAACTCCATTCAAGGCACACATGGGAACTCCAGACTGAAGATAGACTGCAGGTGCTCATGTCACATACAAGACTGTTTGACAGCCTCCGTACTTTAAAATAACTCAGCTTGGTCAAATCTTTTATTTTTGTTGTTGTTGTATGAGACAGGGTCTCATTCTGCTACCCAGGCTGGAGTGCAGTGGTGCTATCACAGCTCACTGCAGCCTCCAACTCCTGGGCTCAAGTGATCCTCCCACCTCAGCCTCCCAAGCACCACCACACCTGGCTAGTTTTTTTCAAAAATCTGTTGTAGAGATGAAGTCTTACTATGTTGCCCAAGCTGGTCTCCAACTCCTGGCCACAAGCAATCCTCCCACCTTGTAATCCTAGCACTTTGGGAGGCAGAGATGGGAGCCCACATGAGCCACCGTGCCCAGCCTAAATTGGTCAAATCTTATTGGGAAACATTTCTAACATGAGAGTTCTGAGTTAGCAATATGTACCCAGCTCCATGCAAAGTGCCTTGGCCTGGGCACTGGCTGCAAGGTCAGACCTGGGTTCAAATCCCATCATGACCTCAGCCAGAACTAGTCTTCTGATTTATTAAAGAGTAAATGATCTTCAAACCCATGCTGGGCTTCTGAGTGTCGGGAGAGGAAGAAGCAGTACCACCCATGCATGGGCTCTGCTCCCCAAAATAATGATGGGATCAGCCTTGCCAACTCAGCAACTATGACAGAGAGTGGAGCTTGGTGTTGTCTGCCCCAGAGGTGCACTGGAGCCACAGTCTGTTTTTCTTCCTTCCAAGGCTAAGGTTCAGTGGTTCAGAACTCAAACTCCCACCCAGGCAGGACAGTGAAGAGGCCCCCACAGCCCAGGGAGGGCAAGGTCTTGGCCAAAACCCCACAGCAAGGAGGGAGCAAATGCAGAGCAGCAGCTCATCTCAGGACCCCTAGTGCCCACCCCAGGCTCTCCTGGCCCGTATCAAAGTGCTCACCCCCAAATCCAGCTCCTGCAGAAGAAAGCAGAATTGTGTGGCCACATTTCCCCCTGCCTGATATTCACTACCTCAGGAATCAAAGAATGCGGGCCACTGTGCCCGTGACGTGGCCCAGGAAGGCATTGCAAACAGGTGGCCTGATGCCTCGCCTGGCTTCCATGGCCCCCAGGCAAGAACTGCACACCGGAATTGGGAGAGGGGGTGCACACCAGTGGCCCTCCCCCACCCCACATGGCTTGGGCCTGGGGTCTTCAACATCCCTTCCTGACGGTGTCCCAGCCACAGAAACCCTTGCATAACCACCTGGGCATCCACAGCACCAGCCATTTGACCCAGTAGGGGTCTGGGGGAGCAAGGCTGGTCCCCCTTTCTGACCATAGCAACATCACCAGAGAACTCTAGCCCTGGATATCTCTCCAAGCCTCCTGTCCTTTTCAAAGGGGAGCCCAGGGAGGCCAGGGAGACTGTCTAGGGACCACAGGAGGGTGGCCCATAGAGCAAGCAGGCTTGCTCCAGGAGGTCACAGAGCACAGAACAGACCCCACGGGCTGATCAGGAGGAGAAAAAACCTGCACAAATTCATCGGGACAACTGAGGGCATGGGCTTGACCTTCTACTGACTGGAGATGCATCCCCGTGTGACCCTAGGTTAATTACTTAACCTCTCTGAACCTCCATTTCTTCATCTGTAAAATGGGAGGTTGCTGTGGAGCTCATTCAAGGTAACAGAGAGGGTAGCATGAGCCTCACATGTCCTCACCCACTCAACAAGTCAGGACTGCGGGGCTGCTGTGTGCCAGGCAATGTCCTGGGCTGGGAACACAGCAGTCAACCGCAGAGACAAAATCCACTAGGCAGCAAGGAATATAATCATCAGAAAATCGACCAGGCACAGTGGCTCACGCCTGTAATCCCAGCACTTTGGGAGGCTGAGGCAGGTGGATCACTTGAGGGCAAGAGTTCAACACCAGTCTGGCCAGCATGGTGAAGCCCCATCTCTACTAAAAATACAAAAATTAGCCAGGCGTGGTGGCGTGAGCCTGTAGTCCCAGCTACTTGGGAGACTGAGGCAGGAGAATCACTTGAACCCGGGAGGCAGAGGTTGCAGTGAGCCAAGATCATGCCACTGCACTCCATCCTGGGCAACAGAGCAAGACTCTGTCTCAAAGCAAAATAATAATAATCAGAAAATCTCAGGGGGTGATAAATGCAAGGCAAGTATTGAAACAAAGGTGATAGGAGGCTAGGCGCGGTGGCTCACACCTATAATACTAGCACTTTGCGAAGCTGAGGTGGGAGGATTGCTTGAGCCCAGGAGTTTAAGACCAGCCTGGGCAACATAGCAAGACCCTGTCTACAGAAAAAAAAAAAAAAATTAGCCAGGCGTGGTGATGTGCACCTGTAGTCCCAGCTACTTGGAAGGCTAAAGCAGGAGGACTACTTGATCCCAGGAGTTAGAGGCTGCAGCGAGCTGTGACTGCACCACTGCACTCCAGCCTGGGCAACAGAGTAAGACCCTATTTAAAAAAAAAAAAAAAACAATAAAAGGTGTTAGGACAGGAACTGTTGAAAAGCAAAGAGGCAGCTTCAGCTCTGGCTATCAAAAAAGGCCTCTCTGGAGAAAGGACATTTGAGCAAACACTTGAATGGCACGAGGAAGCCAGGCATTTGGCTGGGCATGGTGGTTCATGCCTGTAATCCCAGCACTTTGGGAGGCCAAGGCGGGCGGATCACCTGAGGTCAGGAGTTCGAGACCAGCCTGGCCAACATGGCAAAACCCCGTCTCTACTAAAAGTACAAAAATTAGCTGGGAATGGTGGCGGGCGCCTGTAATCCCAGCTACTCCAGAGGCTGAGGCAGGAGAATCACTTGAACACGGGAGGAGAAGGGTGCAGAGAGCTGAGATTGCGCCACTACACTCCAGCCTGGGCGACAAGAGCAAGACTCCGTCAAAAAAAAAAAAAAAAGCCAGGCATTAAAAGGTGGAGGAAGAATAGTTTGTTTATGCAAAGGCCCCAACCCAAGGCCAGGTCAGGTGGGGTTTCATAAAGAAACGGGGAGAAGTTTGGCTTTAGTAACTCCTCCTTGTTGAGCAAGGCAGTGGCATTGCCCCCACCTAACCTGCCCTCTCTCTACACACTTTTAGTTTTCAAAGCATTCATCATTGCATTTATCAGTTCCCTCCTGCATTCAATCTGGCGTAAGCTCCAAGAGGGCAGGAAACCTCCATCCAGGGTCATTGATTAATCCCCGATGCCTAGCACAGTGCCTGGTCCAGAAGAGATTCTCAATAATGTTTGTTTAATTAAGTAATTATAGGCACTCAGTAAGTGCTCAGTAAATGTGATCATCAGGGCTGCCAATAGGGATCAAGCTGCTTTGGAATGAGATGAGACTCCCATCCCTGGAGGCATCCAAGCAGGACCTAGAAGAAGACATGCTAGGGACCCTCAGACCCAGAAGAGGCTTCCAGGTCCTCTTCCACTATGAAAGCTGTCAGGTCTGCCCTATGCCCAGTGCAAGGGATGGAGGGGCAGCTCGGGCTGCCTCAGGGACAGACAGCGTCTCAGCAGCCGTAACACATGTGCACCAAGCCGGAGAAGCCGCCTGCATTTCTCAATCACTAGAGATGTATTTGCACCTCAAAGTGCGGCCTCCTGCACTGCTTAATGAGGAAAGCAATCATTATGGGGGGCTTGCGGGCCTGGGGTCGGAAGGAAAGAAAAAACTTTTTTTGCCAACATTGTGTACAGAGTGCCAGGCAGAATGGACTTAAATCCTCCCTCAAAGGGCCCCCTGGGCAGGGCACTTCCTGCAGACAATTGGAACTTGGCCTGTAGGGTTCAACTTCCTTTGTGTTAACTAATTTCTGACTCAGGGTTTTCAGCTATTTCTTTCTAGAACAATACACTCACTGCAACAGTCCGCCGGTGCGGCTATCTTCCGCGGTGGCAGCGGCACGCTCTCCCCTGCCTCCCTCCTCAGCAGGAGGGGAGGGAGGTGTGAAAAGCCATCGAAAAGAGGTGGCTGGGAGCGGTCAAGCCCTGTCCCCCCACAAGTGCAAGTCTCATTTTCAGCTCTCTGGAGCCAGAATGCAAGACAGGACCCCAGGAGGGGTCTCGGAGCCCCCAGGATTTCTGGGCAAGCAAATAACAAAGCAGGCGGGAAAAGAGGGCACAGCCCCCAGAAGAAAACCTTCCTCCCTCGGTCATTAACCGAGCCCACCAGAACCCTCCCGCCTCCTCGCCCGCTTTCCCGTTTCTGTAATCTTTTTCTAATCTGCTTGCCGCTTCCTGCTTCCTCCAAACCACCTTAATTGGGAACTCTTTAGTTCACAAGGAAAGTTCATTTCTGCTCTCTGAGGACACCTATCGAGGGTAAGCCAGGCTCTTCATCATAATTCTTACCAGACATGGCTAATAATGACCCTCTTTCGCTAATGAAAAAAACACACACATGCACACATTGTGGCTGCGGTAATTAAGCCTGTGACGAGTTGAGTTGGAGAGAAATTAGATTTATTTACACGCTGTTCTGTTGCTGATGAAGCACAAGCTATCGGGAAGCTTTCTCATTAACCCTCGTTTACAGGGTGTGTGCTCTTTTGTGCCTCTACGAACCCTCTGTAAATTGTAGTTGGTTAAAAAATAATAATAATTAGCCATTCTTAGAGTGGAGTTTTCTCCTATAACTCTGTTAATCCTCGAGTTACACTGCCCAGATGCTGATGGTAATAAAATGCCCAAAGGACTTCAGGTCTGAGCTGCAGCCACATCAATGCATCAGCCAACAAGTGTTGCCGGAATGCCTGCCACCCGAAGACCCTGTGCTAGGGACCCGGTGGAGTCAGAGACGGCCCTGCCTCGGAGGAGATCATGAAATCTTCCTACTGGAAAGGAACTGGGTGAGTGGCTGATTGAGGCAGAAAGAATGATGCAGGGGCCAGACTGAAAGCCAGGCTGAGTCCAAGGTTCAGGTAGAAGAAATAGGGAGCCACTGGAGGTTTGTGAGTGAGGGAGGGGAGGCAAATGCAGTGTTTAAGCAAAATTAGATGACAGCCCACAGAGATGACTGGAAGGTTTCAGAGACAAGGGTTTTCAAAACGGACTTGCTGTTTTGAATCCTGGGGGCAGCCTGCATCAGCCCAGGCCGCCTATCACCAGTTACGACAGCCTGTGAGGTCTAAGAGGCTCTAAGTGTGTGGCCCACCACTATCTTAATGACAGCTCTCTCTTTGGAGGGACTGTCATTTTATTAAACACACATACAGACATTAAAATGCTTCCCAATTTCAGAAATGTTAGGCAATGACAAAATACACATCTTAGAATGAAAACAGCATGAACATCAAGCGCTTGGAAAACAGCCTTTTGGAAGGCCAGTCCCCGCCACACTGATACGGAATTGGACCCCTCCCCGGAGTTCCAACACTGGCCTAGACAAAGAGCACCCGGACTGCCACAGATGACTCCATGGCACCTTTCAGGGGCATCTTCCCACCAAATGCGTGTCTCGAAAGGTCCCTGCCCATCCCTTAAGCTTGGACCCAGGGAAGCTTCAAGTTGGAAGGGACCTAAGAGACCACCTCATCCAGCCCAGCTCTCACCTGCATGGAAAGGAGGAGGTGGCAACCATCACCACCTCCCAGGGCACACGGGCAAAAAGGCACGGGTCATGGGTGGGCTGAGAACAGGGGGAAGCACCCATGATGAGTTCGGACACTTGTGAGCACCCCTGAGGACAAGTCCATTGCGAGATGGCGGGGGGAAGCCAGCATGCGCGGGGAGGGGCAGACATGAACAGGCCTCAGAACCCATGTCCACATGGCTGCATAATTCCTTGTTTTCTTCTAGAGTGTGTGGCACTTTTAAAAGCCAAAGTCCTGCCAAAAGACAGAAACCCCACCTAACTATAGTGAGAAGTCCCATTTTGTGTCACCAACACACAATAGACAACTGGCCCTGTGCAAGTGTTTTTGTTTTTCTTATAAATTACTTGTCACGATGCACAATGACAGTTATTTCTTTTCCATTACGCTGTGCAATGTTGGGACTGAATCCAACACTCCTGTGTCCTCCACAACAAAGACAAAAAAATAGACTTTTAATCAACGCTTATTTATAAATGAGGCCAAGAATTTCCATTCTCATTTTTTCCTGTTTCCATGTGCTATTGGAGATTCCATAGGTTCGTGATGCTCTTCCTGACTCAGCTTAAAACTGGCTACACCGACATCTCCTACAGTCTGAACTTCTAACAAAGGGAGCCTTCAGTAATGAGTCATAAAACCACTATCCTGTTCCCATGTAGAGAAGATTAGGTGAATAAGGAGGCCAGCCCCCTGCTCCTACCAACAGCAAGGCTTGATCAGCCACCTGCTTGAAGTTAAGTTTCCAGGACATGAGGAGCACCTGCATGGTGAGGACTGCAGAATGCTGTTGACCCAGCATTTGAAAATCACCATAGCCCTCTCCCATAGAACTCACCTGTCAGTAACTTCTAAAATTCAACACATCCCTCAGGCTATTGTGGACACCCAAACCAAGCCAGACACGTGACCACCTGCCTCCAAATCCCCCTTGGGTGGGGTGAGGAGCCCGGCTCAGCAGGAAATACACCCCTGTCATCAATTCTGGTGAAGAAAGGCCTCAAAGACAAACACCCCACGTGCCCTGGACAGCCCCAACAGCAAACTCAGGTTTCCCTGCCGTGGCAGGTGGGAGATTAATTTCCCCCAGTGTACTGAAGGGGAAAGAAAGGGAAAGAAAGAATGACGCACAGGATCTCCTTTCCCCTCATGTTAATCCTCCCCTGACCCGCCCTCGGCTCCTCCCCTCCACACTGTTGGTCCCCCTGCCTGTGGTCACCCTGGTTCAGGACTGCGGTACCTCCTCCCCAGGTGACTGTAAAACATCCCTGGCATCTCCAGCCTCTCATCAAACTCTGAGTGAACACCTGCTAAATGGTAGGCACTTCCTGCCTCGCCTTCACCTGCCAAAGGTAGAAAATGGTTTACCCGGGAGCCTAATCACCAGAAGCTTCCAGATCAGGAATTGTTAGAAAGGAATTTGTTTTTTTGAGACAGGGTCTCGCTCTGTCACCGAGGCTGGAGTGCAGTGGCATGATCTTAGCTCACTACAACCTCCGCCTCCTGGGTTCATGCGATTCTCCTGCCTCGGCCTCCCGAGTAGCTGGGATTATAGGCACCCGCCACCATGCCTGGCTAATCTTTGTATTTTTAATAGAGACAGGGTTTCGTCATGTTGGCCAGGCTGGTCTGGAACTCCTGGACTCAAGTGATCCACCCCCCTCAGCCTCCCAAAGTATTGGGATTACAGGGGTGAGCCACTGCGCCTGACCAAAAGAATTTTTAAAATAATCAGCTGGGCATGGTGACTCACACCTGTAATTCCAGCTACTTGGAGGGCTAAGTAGGGAGAATCGCTTGAAGCCAGGACTTCAAGACCAACCTGAACCACATAGTAAGACCCCATCTCTACAAAAATTTTAAAAAATATCCAGGCATGGTGGCATGCACCTGCAGTCCCAGCTACTAGGGAGGCTGAGATGAGAGGATCGCTTGAGTCTAGGAGTTTGAAGCTGCAGTGAGCTATGATGGCACCACTGCACTCCCAGCCTGGGCGACAGAGTGGTCTCCAAAAAAAGTAAAATAATCATCACTACAAAAAAAAATTACTCCCTCATGTTCCTTAAAGAATGGCACTCCAAGTCTAAATTATAGTGGCAAGGGGTACACACGTGAGTGACAGAACTTTAAAACAAAGCAAGGGTGTGATCACCATAAAAGTCAAGCTAGTGATTCTTTCTGGAAGGAGAAACAGGGATGGGGAACAAGGATAAGCCTTCCGAAGTAGCTTGCAAAGTTCTATTTCTAGACCTGGGAAGTGGTTTCAATGGCGTTCACCTTATAAAAATTCACTAAGTTCTACATTGACTTTGTGGGTTTCTAGATCTGTGTTTCATTTTGCAATAAAACCATATTTTTAAAAAAATAATAAAAGGAAAGCTTGCTGGCTGGGCATGGTGGCTGTGGCTCACGCCTGTAATCCCAGCACCTTGGGAGGCCAAGACGGGCAGATCACGAGGCCAGGAGTTCGAGACCATCTTGGCCAACACGGTGAAACCCCATCTCTACTAAAAATACAAAAAATCAGCTGGGTGTGTTGGTGCACACCTGTAATTCCAGCTACTCGGGAGGCTGGGGCAGGAGAATCGCTTGAACCCGGGAGGCGGAGGTTGCGGTGAGCCAAGATCGAGCCACTGCACTCCAGCCTGGGTGACAGGGCGAGACGCCACCTCAGAAAAAAAAAAAAGGAAAGCTTGCTATCCCCTTGCCTAGGTGCAATGCAACCCAAGAGCCAGCGAATGGCTGCAGGGTGACATCTAGCCAGCCCAGGGTCAACTTACAGATAGGTGCTACAGACCCTAACAGACAACCCTGGCGGGACCACAGCAGCCTCAGGAGCAGCACATACTCATGAAAGTTCTCAGCCAGGAGTGCGCTTTGCAGGGCAATGGCTGTTGAAAAGCATGGAGTTGCACTTCTGCAAATCCAGACACCCTCTGAAACTTCCTGCTTTTAACCCCTGTGACAGCTTAGAGTTAAGATCCCAAAACTCTGGAAGTGTTGTAAGTTTGGAATGTGTTGGGTGCCTAACATTCCAAGTGTAAAGTCCTTTTTTGTGTAATTCCACAACCTCCTTCAGACGTCACAGGAGGTGGCCCTGTCTGTGCAGATGAGACTAGGGTCCCTGCTGCACCTGCCCTTTGGCCCTGGTTCTCTTTAGAGAGATTGCGAGTTGTGGGTGTTCCCCTGGGCTGTAGCTCCAAGGGCCAGGATCACTTTAGACTTGCTTACACTGTAACCCCAGTGCCTAGTGTTTGCTTAGTGAATGGGTGAATGGATGGGTAGATCAATGGGTGGATGGGTGGGTGGGGTGGGTAGATGGATGGATTAATGACTGAATGGACAGATGAGTGGATGAATGGGTGGATGGATTGATGAATGGATGGATGCGTGGGTGGATGAATGGGTGGATGGGTGGGTGGGGTGGGTAGATGGATTAATGAATGGATGGATGGATGGATGAGGGGATGAATGGGTAGATGAGCTGATGAATGGCTGAATGGGTGGGTGGGGTGGGTAGATGGATGGATTAATGAATGGATGGATGAATGGGTGGATGGGTTGATGAATGGATGGATGGGTGGATGGGTGGGTGGGTGGGGTGGGTAGATGTATGGATTAATGAATGGATGGATGGATGAACTAATGAATAAATTTGTCACCCTTTCACAAGAGCTTTCCTCTCCAGCATATCCTCTAGGGGATTAGGAATCATATTTGCCTTACTTGCCACGGACCCATCAGCACCTGAGTCAGGGTTCGGCACACAGTAGGCCTCCAATATATTTTTATAAATGAATGGGTGAAGAAAAACCAACTGTGCTAGGGATAGAGGATACGAAGATGACCAAGACATGGTCCTGCCGCCAAGGACCTCACCATTTAGCCAGGAATGGAGAAACACACATCAGACAATGTGATGAGGGCAAGCAGCACAAGATAGGAGCACAGACAGAACTCGAACTGAGCAGAGAATGAGGGAGGGCTTCCCAGAGGAGGGGACCTGGACCTGACTCTTGATTGAAAAGCCAGAAAGTCTCCCCCTGAGACTCAGGACAGCACCCCTAGGCGGTGGTTGGGGTCCCCTCCACCCCACTGACTTCTCCCCCGACCATCTGCTATATCCATTGCTTCCAAGAGTCATCTCCCCAAATTCCCCCTGCCATGCCGTCACCACCACCTCCCTCCAACACACACACACACACACACACGTACACACACGCATACATGCATGCACATGAACACACATATGCATATACGCACACACGCACACATATATACACATAAACACATGCACACGTACACACACATGCACACACATACATGCACACACACACACATGCACACACACACCCTCTGAGAAGGCCCTTTGCCTCCCAAACACAGTGTGACCTGAGAGAGGTTCAGCCCAGGTTACTTGCCCTCTCTGTGACCTGGGTCTCCCCAGCAATAAAGGGAGACAATGACAATGTCTACCTCATAGGACTGCTGGTGGTTAAATGTGAGAAACCATGAAAGGGTCCTGCACAACACTGGGCACCATAGCTGCCAATAGCTCCATTCTGACTGCCATTGCTACGACTGAGGAGGCCATACTACAGAGGAAAGCAAACCTGGCCTGTGCCAGCCTGCTCCCATGCCACGGCAGGGCCTTCACCCTACACACAGATCCCCAGCGAGCCTGCTCAAATGCAGATTCTGCTTCAGCAGGTCTGGGAAGAAGCCCAAGATTGTGCGTTACTAGAAGCTCCCAGTAAGGAGAACGACGCTGGTCCCAGGACCACGCTCTGAGTAGCAAAGACTCAGCCCAACTGAACTCATTACCTCACCTGCAAAACAGGAGCCATAAAAACCACCTCCCAGGGCTGTTGTAAAGAGTAAATGCAGCAACATGCGTGCGTATGGGAGCCCTCCTGCACCCAGATAGGCACAGAGTGGGTGCTGAGAAAATGGCAACTCCTTCCTCCATTTCCTCCCTCCTCTTCTCCCACTAACCAGCTAATTCTGAATACTATTGACCTCTGCACAAACATCCAAGGTACAGTAACAGTGTTCAAATAAGGCTTAATAAGGGAATGAATACATGAACGAATCCTTTAAAAAGAGAGAGAGACAGGGTCTCATTCTATTGCTCAGGCTGGAATGCAGTGGCACGATCACAGCTCACTGCAGCCTCCAACTCCTGGACTCAAGTGATCCTCCCACCTCAGCCTCCCAACTAGCTAGGACTACAGGAGCATGGCCAGTTAATTTTTTAAAAATAATTGTAGATAAGATGTCTCACTATGTTGCCCAGGATGGTCTCAAACTCCTGGCCTCAAGTGATCCTCCCACCTCAGCATCCCAAAGTGCTGGGATTACAGGCATGAGCCATTACACCCAGCCCAAATCCATATTTAAAAGCTGCTCAGCAAAGGCGTTGAGGCCCAGCAGGCTGAGCCTCCGTGCCCAGACACCTAGAGAAGCATTATGTTCAGAACTGCCAGCCCTTTCGGAAAATGCCTGTGAATCTCAATCCCCACACCAGGTTGTATTAGTCATGGTGCACGTCCCCCAGCGCCCCAGAAGGAAGTGGGCCTCCACTGAGGGCCTAAGCTCAGGCAGTGTCCACCTTTCCCCATGTCTTCCCTCCATCTCTGGCTATAGGAGCCCATGATGCCCAGACAGAATGCCCCACACAGAAGCCTGTGGCCAGCCCTTCGCAGGGCACAAAGACCCCGAGTGAGCTTCCCAACCTCTCTGTGAGGCTGGTGAGCCAGGAATGACCATGTCTGTGTCTAGACAAGAGGACTAATGTTCATGAGGTCAAGCAATTTGATGAGGTCAGGCCAGGAAGAAGAAAAGATAGGCATCCTGCACCTCATTCTAGAACAATTTCCCCAGCATAAGAAGGCCCAAGACTTACTTTACAAGTGCAGAGGGGAGGACTGGAGGGCTGGCAGCTGTCACTCAGGAGGTGCAAGGACACTCCAGACTCTCCCACTACCTTCCGCTCTCGGGAACGGCCTAGGTGGGCCCTTTGACTCTTACCTTCAACACCCCATCTGAAGGCTGACTGAGCCCAGGCAACCAGCCCAACGCTTGGTCTTGGAATATCTTATTCTAATAATTGAGGGGGAAATAAGCCAAGTAAAAAGCCCACAACCTCCACATCACTGAAATGAAAATGTTTAATCTCATCAGTTCTTTTCACGTCCCTTTCATGATCATAGCTCACTGCAGCCTCGGACTCCTGGACTCAAGCAATCCTCTCACCTCAGCCTCCTGAGTAGCTGGGATTACAGGCACACACCACCATGCCTGGCTAATTTCTGTATTTTTAGTAGAGATGGGGTCTTGCTACGTCACCCAGGCTAGTCTCAAACTCCTGGCCTCAAGAGAGCCTCCTTCCTCAGCCTCCCAAAGCACTGGGATTACAGGCGTGAGTCACTGTGCCCAGCATCCCTTTCTTATTCAGGTTTAACTCACAAATCTTAAGCAAACTGGGTGACAGCAGGTATTTTTGTTGTTGTTGTTCTTTGTACTCTGGGTTTTTTGGTTTTTGTTTTTGTTTTGTTTTGTTTTGTTTTTGAGACAGGGTCTCACTCTGTTGCCCAGGCTGGAGTGCAGTGGAACAATCATGGCTCACTGCAGCCTCTACCTCCCAGGCTCACATAATCCACCCACCTCAGCCTCCCGACTGGGACTACAGGTACATGCCACCACACCTGGCTAATTTTTGTATTTTTTCTAGACATGGGGTTTTGCCTTGCTGGACAGCAAGGTTTTACATAAATGAGCACACAAATCAAGGTATGGGACATTCCCTGCACCCCAGTAGGTTCCCACATGTCCCTCCAAAGGCAGTCACTTCTTCGCCTCTATCACAGACATCCACTTTGCCCACTCCCCAGCGTCACAGGAACAGACACGTGCACCCCACTTCTCCGCTGCCTCTGCTTCCTTTGCTCAACATGATGTCTACACGAGTCACCCACACTTGGGGGTGGCAACTGGTTGTTCATCTTTATTGCTGCGTTCATGCCTTCCTGTTAATTTTTGTTTTCCAAAGGGTCAGTTTCCACCCAATCCTTTTGCCCCATCCATGTCACCATGAACAAACAGAAGACCACAGATCAGATCAGCCCGTTCCTTCCTTCCCACCATTTGCTGGGTAGCTCGTTTAAGGTTTAAAGCATTTCCATCACCATGTCTGGCAACCAGACACCACTCAGCGGAGAGCTACCTCTCCTCTGACGGACCTTTGTGCAGAAAGTCTCACGGCTGAGGCAGCCTGCTGGCCCCACGGGCAGGAGGAGACAGGAAAGGGGCTGTGTCTGTGAGTCACCCACTCCCACAGCCAAACTGCAAGAGGGAGGAGGTCGATGTACTTTTCTCAGGCCAAAGAGAGGATGTGTGTGGGGAAGATGGATGTTGGCAAGAGCCCCCAACCCCACAGAGGACCCCTCGCTCCCATGCCCTGCTGCGGGGAACATGAGAGCCACTCCCAGATACGCAGCCTCTCACCACCAGTCCCCTCCAGCATAAGAGAAGACCATGCTGCACTGGGTCCCACTCACCCCACCATTCCTGAACAAATTAAAGCAACCCAGTGTCCATCAACAGAGGAAGGGATAAACAAAAAGTGGGCTAGACACACAATGGACTATGATTCAGCCTTAAAAAAGAAGGCGGGCTGGGACTGAGCTCATGAGGGCCTGCAGAGTGGAGACTTAAATCCAAGGTCAGGGCAAAACATCTGGAGTTCATTGCCAGGACTGTGATGTTACAGAAAAGGACCGTGAAAGGTGCGTGCGGGACCCAACACAGAATCGTGGCCATGAATGGGCTCGCTGAGGACATTCGACATCAGCGGTGCCATGAGAAGCCATGCCACCAGCAACAGGGGAAAGCTACGGAACCTGCTGGCAGATCTACAGCATGGAGATGGCTCCAAGGATCAACCTCTTGGTGGAAAAGAACTGTCTGGATCGGCGGGGCTGCTGAGCCTGTGGATACGACACCCACCTCTTTTTTCTTTTCTTTTTTTTTCTTTTTTGAGATAGAGTCTTACTCTGTCCCCCAGGCTGGAGTGTAGTGGCACGATCTCGGCCCACTACAACCTCCGTCTCCCAGGTTCAAGCAATTCTCCTGCCTCAGCCTCCCCCAGTAGCTGGGATTACAGGTGTGCGCCACCACGCCCAGCTAATTTTTTTTTTTTTTTTGTATTTTTAGTAGAGACGCGGTTTCACCATGTTGGCCAGGCTGGGCTCAAACTCCTGACCTCAAGTGATTTGCCCGCCTCATCTCCCAAAGTGCTGGGATTACAGCCACCACCCCCAGCCAAGTGCCTCCACCTCTTTTCTTCCTGCAACCCCATTCTTGGTTACCTTTCTCTACCTTCACCTCAATCCCATGTATGCAAAAAGGCTGCCACATAGAGAAGTAACCCCATGAGCCAGCAATGAGCCTTCTCTTTTATTAAGTGAAAGAAAAAACTGAGTAGAACAGTGTTTGCCAGGGCCTGGGAAAGGGCAATGGGGAGTTTGTGTTTTAATGGGAACATCGTTTCATTTTGGGAAGATGAAAACTTTCCGAAGGTGGATGGTGGTGGTAGCTGCACTGAAAGGTGAATGTACTGTAACGCCACTGAACTGCACACATAAATGGTTAAAATGATAAATTTCATGTGACATATATTTTACTATAATAAAAACAAATTTTCCTGGGTACAGTGGCTCAGGACTGTAATCCCAGCACTTTGGGAGGCCAAGGCAGGAGGATTTCTTGATCCCAGGAGTTTGAGACGAGCCTGGGCAACATAGTGAGACCTCATCTCCACACACACACACACACAAATATTAATTAGCTGGACATTGTAGCATGCACCTGGAGTCCCAGTTACTTGGGAAGCTGAGGCAGGAGAATCACTTGAGGCCAGGAAGTCGAGGCTGCAGTTTGCCATGATCGCGCCACTGCACTCCAGCCTGGACAACAGAACGAGACCCTACCTTGAAAAATAAAAAAATAAGTCAAAGAAAAGGGAGGAAATTCTAATATATGCTACAAGCTGGATAAACCTTGAGGACATTATGCTAAGGGAAACAAGCCAGGCACAAAAAGAAAAATACTGTATGTCTCCACTCACATGAGGGCCTGGCTGCAGTAGTCAAATTCATACAGATAGACAGTAGAATAGTGGCTGTCAGGGCCTAGGCGACGGGGAATGGGGAGTGAGTGTTTAATGAGAATAGAGTTTCACCTGGGAAAATGAAAAGAACTCTAGAGATGGATGGTGGAGGCAGCTGCACGAGAATGTGAATGTACCTAATGCTGCTGAACTGTGCACTTAAAATGGTTATGATAGTAAATTTTATCTTATGTATTTTACCACAATTTCTAAAAAGAAAATTTTAATGGAGGAAAACAGTAGAATACTGAGAAAATGTATAGCAGGCAGATGCAAGAAAATTCAAAGCAGAAGTCAGGATATTAACATAGGACCAAATGCAATTCAAGGGAAATATCATTAAATAAGACAAGGTTGTTTCATGTTTTTTTAAGTGAAGGTTTGCAGCTCCAGCGAGCCTAAAGGAGGAGCCAGGCACAGCGGATGAGGAAATCTCCTGCCCAAGAAGTGACAGGAAGGCTCCTCTCCCTGCTCACACAGGCTCCCAACATCACTCCCAGGAAAACAAGGTTTGTGGCAGGCAAGAAAACGCAGGTGCTTCCGTCAGCTAGAGGGAGACCTGATGCCACAGCACTGAGAGACCCTCCTTCAGACATCCTCACCCACGCTTTTTCCAAGCCTGTGACCTTCAGAGCAAGTCCCAGGCTCTGGGGGACTCCCAGTCCTTTGGCTTCTTATAAAACAAAGTTTCAGATCCCGGGAGGCCCAGGAAACTCAAAACACTACAGGCCTGAGCCTGAGCCTGAGCCGTGGGGAAGCTGCTAGCCTCTAACTGAGGCCCAGTCTGAAACCAACAGGCAGATTCTCTGCATCTCGGCAATAAAAGCAACAGCTTCAGCAGTGCAGACCGAGCCTCGGTCCCTCAGAGGCCAGGCTCATCACAGCACTATCTCCTTTCTCACTTCCCGGCTGTGCTATAAACTAGGACCTCTGATCCCATTTTACAGATGAGGAAACTGACGCTCACAAGTCAAGTACTAAGGTTAAAGTCCCAAGTAGGAGGTCCTGGGATGCAAACTTATGACCTGGCAAACTCCAGAACCCCAGAACCCAATTCTTTTTTTTTCTTTTCTTTCTTTCTTTTTTTTTTTTAGAGGCAGGGTCTCACTCTGTTGCCCAAGCTGTAGTGCAGTGGTGCAAACACAGCTCACTCACTGCAGTCTTGAACTCCTGGGCTCAAGCAGTCCTCCTACACCACAGGTGTGTGCCACTCGTGCACAGATAATTTTTTTATTTTTTTTGTAGAGATGGGGTCTCGCTATGCTGCCCAGGCTGGTCTCAAACAGCTGCCCTCAAGTTATCCTCCTGCATCGGCCTCCCAAAGTGCGGGGCTTACAGGCCACCGTGCCTGGCCCCAGAACCCAATTCTTAACCATTAGACTGTGATGGTCTTCTGAGACATTCAAACAACATGGGGGACTTCAAAGCCTGGAGACCAGGGAAGGCCGGGGAAAGCAGAACTCGAAGTGGGCCAAGGCACCTCCATCTTTGTTCCCAGCCAAGAGGCTGCATCAGGTACAAAAAGACCAAACTATCCCTTAGCCATCATCACACTGATTCATATGAACCATTCTGAGATTCCACAGCACTGGGATCTAGGAATCAATTTGATCCAACAGCCCATGGAGCGCTGTTCATTGTCACTGACATCTAATTAGATGTCATTCACTGTCATCCACAACTGATAAAAAAGGAAACTAGTGGAATGATCAGAGAGGGGCATGCGCAGTCAGAAGTCACACAGCAAGTTCCCACTGAGTTAGGCCTCATCCTTTAATCCCAGGGAGAGTCAGACCCCACCAGGCACCCCAAGAACATGCCCTCAAACACAGCATCGAGGACAACATTCCAGCAGGCACCAGGACACAGAAGGAATCCTCTGAAGTCCACGCATCCTTCCAGCCAGGCCAATACGCACTGTCTGCCTGCCAGCCTGACACTTGGGCCTTTGTATTTTATTGCTAATTAATTTGGATGGAGATGTCTTTAAAACCAGGCTTACGTCGGGTCCTCCCCACTGTCTGTGAACCAATTTCATTACAACAGAAACCGTGTTGCCAAAATGAGAAATCCCCTCCTTTTCAGGCCTGTGCCCTTGAAGGCATCTTATTAGAAAAGACCATTTCTTAATTAACATTTTTGATCTTTAATCCATTACACATCCCTCTAATCCTGTACGGAGGTGCGGCTGGCCCACTTCCGCAGGCTGGCTCTGGGCTGCACGAGGCTGGCAATTTCAGCGCTGAGGGCTCGCGCACAGCTGGACTCTGCCGTGGACAGTCTGCAGCTCCCAGACACCACCTCTGCTCCAGCCATGGGTACGTCCCTGAGCGGGAGCCGGGAACGGGGGCGCGGCGCGGACACCCCCGGATGGGCCAGTCTGCAGACGAGAGTTCATTTCATTAACCCGTGAGCCCCAACTCTTCTCGGCCCAGAATGGTTTCAAGCAAAGGCTGTTTTAGCAGATCCGGCTCCCGCAAAGCATGAGAGCCGCTAGGCTGGGCTTCCCTTCCACACGTCTCCTGCAACCTGGCCACATCTAAACGAAGAGCCGGTGTCATCAAGGTCACGGCACATGTACTCCCACGCCATCGCCTGCTTTGGAAAGCAGTGGACCTGCCTGGTGACCCTGTCCTTCCTGGAAGATTTTCTTCATAGGGTTCTGGGGACCTGCCCGCTCCCAGTTTTCCTCCTTCCTCCCTGACACCTTTCTCCATCTCCTCAGTCTCTCCTCATCATCCCATCCTTCAACGTCGATGTCCCAACCTTCAATGCCGATGTCCCAACCTGCAATGTCAACGTGGCCCTAGACCTCAGCTCCTCTGTATTCAGTCTATGCTCACCCCCCAGTGGGTGCATCTGTCCCAGCCACACACTCATGGCACCCAAAACACATCTTGGTCCCATCCTCCCCCGATTGCCAGAACACACGTTCAAGTACCCCCTCAACATCTCACGGGCATCTCAAGCTTATCATGGACAAGCCGAACTTTTGAGCCACACCATCCACACCGAGCTGCCCTACGCCCTGACAACTTCTCCTAGCACCCTGCATCTCAGTGAGCACAGCCCCAGCCACCAGCTGCCCAGGCCAAAAACCTTGCAGGCTTCCTCAGCTCCTCTCCTTTTCTCATGCCCAACATCCAATCCAGAGACAAACTCTTTTCAACCTACCTCCAAAAAGAAACTTGGGCACATGCCTGTAATCCCAGCACTTTGGGAGGCCGAGGCGGGTGGATCACCTGAGGTCAGGAGTTCGAGACCTGCCTGGCCCACATGGCAAAACCCCATCTCTACTAAAAATAAAAAATTAGCCGGGCGTGGTGGTGGGCACCTGTAATCCCAGCTACTCGGGAGGCTGAGGCAGGAGAATCACTTGAACCCGGGAGGTGGAGGTTGCAGTGAGCCGAGATCGCGCCAATGCACTCCAGCCTGGGCAACAGAATGAGACTCTGTCTCAAAAAAAAAAAGAAAAAAAGAAAAGAAAAAGAAAGAAAGAAAAGGCAAGAAAAGAAAAAAGAAACTCAGAATCTGACCTCTGCTTACCTCCTGACCTTGCTCCCAACCCCATAAGCTTGCACCTGGATGAGTACTTGGTCAGCCCCGACCATCTCTTCCCCACACACAACTAGAGGGACCTCTTCCAGATATAAACCTGATCACGCCACTGCCCTGTGCAAAGCCCTCCCTGGTTCCCCATCAACTCAGAAGAAAAGCCAAGGCACCCACTAAGGCTCCAGGCCTGAAATGAGACACTTCTGCCTGCTCCCCTCGACAATCTCCCAACCTCACCTCCTTCCTTTCTGCTCCGTCTTTCCCCTCTCTCCCCCTCTCATCTCCCTGACCTCACGCTCCCCCCACCACCTCATTTCACACCCCCGTCTCCCTCCCTCATCTCCAAGCCCACCTCTCCCTCCTCTGCCTGGCACTTGCTCTCCTCCAGGCACAGTGAAGTCCCTTCTGTCCCACAGTGGGGAACGCCTGGGACACTGCTTCCGCTGCTGTGCATGGCTCTAACGCCCCCTCCTTGGTACAGAGGCCTCTCTGACCACCCCAACACAGCCGGCCCTCTCCTCCTCACCTCCCACCACTCTATCTATCTGGTCACCCTGCTGGCCACCCCTAGTGAAAGCATGTGGTGCATTTTTATTCATTGATTCATTTTTTACTTTTCTAGTGCCATCTCCCCACAAGACTGTGAGCTCTGAGCACAGCAGAGACTTTGTCAGTTCTGTTCCTGGATGTTCACCAGCACATGGTAGGTGCTCAATAATATCTGTGACTGAAAGAATGAATAAAAGAATGAACGAATGAATGAATGAATGAATGGGCCCTCATGGATCCTGCCAGTGGTGCAGGCTCATAACCATCACAGCCCTTCAAAGAGAGGTCTTGCAACAACAGCACCGAGGCTCAGCCAGCAGCAATGGAAAAAGTGGTTAGACATTAAGTAGAACTTCCTGGTGCTAGAAGTGCTGAGAAACTGTCCATCCATGAGTAAATGTATAGTGTGAGCCTGGTGCTAGATTACTGGGGTTAGGGGGAGTAGGGGAGGGAGAGAACCTGCTCCACGGTGGGAAGGAGACGAAGCCTATGAATGGCTGAGGAAAAGGAACAAGCCAGCATGTGGTCGTCATAGGCTCTGAAGGGCAGGATAGGGGTTCATGGAAAGGACAGGCCCCCCCAGAAGACTCACGTGCAAAGGGTTTGTGGAAGGCAGGGACAGCGGCTGGGCCTTGGAAGACTGCCACTTTGGAGTAGGTGGGAAAGGGGAGAGAGGGTGCTCTCGGAGGGGCACAAGGCATAGGGGCCAAGATGCAGACGAAGGACAAAGTGCGGGCCTACAAGAGATCATCTCCGGGCCCTACTACATCACCCACCAACGTGGCTCTCCCAGCCAACTGCCCCAGTGAAGCCTCTGTTGCTTCCACCTGGCCCAGGGCACTAAGACTTCCCAAAGTTGTTGGTGGCCTCTGAATCCAGCCAGCCACCCCACAGGAGCCTCCCCACGGCAGCAGGAGGCCATGGCTTCCAGCCCCCACCTTCCCTCCCTCGCACCAGAGCTTGGAGGGGTGCTGGATGCTGGAGGAGTCGGGGCCAAGGGACGGAGGAGCAGAGAAGCCAATCTTCCCCTCTGCCAAGGCCCAAGGCACCTCCAGGTCAGGCCCCGGGAAGTGGGCTGAGAGGTGTTGTTCAGGAGTAAGACTAAGCATAACACCACCGATGGAGACTGGTATCATTTGGCTGTGTCCTGTGTCCCCACCCAAATCTCATCTTGAATTTCTTTTTTTTTTTTCTTTTTTTTTTTTTTTTTTTTGAGAAGGAGTCTCACTCTCTCACTCTGTCACCCAGGCTGGAGTGCAATGGTGTGATCTCAGCTCACTGCAACCTCCACCTCTCAGGTTCAAGTAATTCTCCTGCCTCAGCCTCCTGAGAGTAGCTGGGATTACAGGCATGCACCACCAAACCTGGCTAATTTTTGTATTTTTTGTAGAGACAGGGTTTCACCATGGTGGCCGGGCTGGTCTTGAACTCCTGACCTCAAGTGATCCTCCTGCCTCAGCCTCCCAAAATGCTGGGATTACGGGCATGAGCCACCAAGTACAGCCTCATCTTGAATTGTAGTTCCCAAAATTCCTATGTGTTGTGGGAGGGACCCTGTTGGAGATAATTGAATCATGGGGGCAGTTTCCCCCATACTGTTCTCATGGTAGTGAGTAAATCTCACAAGATCTGATGATTTTATAAGGGGTGTGTCCCCCTTTGCTTGGCTCTCATTCTGTCTTGCCTGACACCATGTAAGACGTGCCTTTGCTCTTCCTTTGCCTTTCACCATGATTATGAGGCCTCCCAGCCATGTGGAACTGTAAGGCCATTAAACCTCTTTTTCTTTATAAATTACCCAGTCTTGGGTATTTCTTCACAGCAGTATGAAAATGGACTCACACAGAGAAAATTCAGCTCCCACATACCCTCACCAGGGTTCTCCCAAGAACTAGAGCCTTAGCCAGGGTTCTCCCAAGAACTAGAGTCAAGAGGATCCACATATGGATATATGGAGAAGTGTTATGAGGGCCTGGATCACACAGATGTGTTATGAGGGCCTGGATCATACAAAAGAGATGTGTTATGAGGGCCTGGATCACACAGGTATAGAAGCTGGAAACATCCCACCCTGTGTCATCTGCAAGCTGGAAGCCCAGGAAAGCCGATGCTGCAGTTCATGTCCAAATCCCAAGGCCTGAAACCCAGGGGAGCTAATGTTGTCAGTCCCAGTCCCAGGCTGAAGGCGCAAGAAACAGGAGTGCCGACGTCCAAGGGCAGGAGAAGACGGATGGCCCAGCTCAAACAAAGAGAACAAATTCACCCTTCTTTTGCCTTTTCATTCTATCCGGACCATCAGTGGACTGGATGATGCCAGCCTGCACCGGTGAGAGCCGTCTGCTTTATTCAGTCCAGCCATCAAAATGCTCATCTCTTCCCGAAATACCTGCACAGTCACACTCTGAAATCATGTTTCACCAGCTGTCTGGGCAGCCCTTAGCCCAGTCATATTGACACAGAATTGGCCATCACACCTGCCCTGACACATTGGTCCAAGCATCCTTGGTGAACCCGTGGGTCAGGCACAGGCTCACCCCTGTTGTCCCAGCTTCGGGGGCAAGGGAGTGCCAGGTTCTAAAGTTAGTCTATGAGGCAAATGTGTCTTAGAGTCAAAGTTATTCCCCAAAACTCTTTCCTCTCCCCTAAGATACAACTGCTGTGGCTTGAGATACATCCATGGAGAATGGTTTGGTCCATACATCAAGCATGTGGGATGAAAATACATCTTAAAACCCCAGAGTCAAATTTACCTGCCCCACAAGGGGCCACAGAGACCAACACCCGAGGGAACAGCAGATTCTCACCCACATCACAGGTTGTATTAGTCCATTCTCACACTGCTATGAAGAAATATTTGAGACTGGGTAGTTTATAAAGAAAGAGGTTTATTGACTCACAGTTCCACATGGCTGGGGAGGCCTCAGAAAATGTATAATCATAGCAGAAGGCAAAGGAGAAGCAGGCACCTTCTTCACAGGGTGGCAGGATGGAGTGAGTGCTGAGCGAAGGGGGAAGCCCCTTATAAAACCATCAGATTGGCTGGGCACTGTGGCTCATGCCTATAATCCCAGCACTTTGGGAGGCCTAGGCGAGTGGATCACCTGAGGTCAGGAGTTCGAGACCAGCCTGGCCAACATGGCAAAACCCCATCTCTATTAAAAGTACAAAAATTAGCCAGACATGGTGGTGGGTGCCTGTAATCCCAGCTACTCGGGAGTCTGAGGCAGGAGAATCGCTTGAACCCAGGAGGCGAAAATTGCAGTGAGCCGAGATGCCACCATTGCACTCCAGCCTGGGTGACAGAGCAAGACTCCATCTCACAAAAAAAAAACAAAAAGCAAACAAAAAAAGCCATCAGATTTTGTGAGAACTCACTCACTGTCACGAGAACAGCACGGGGGAGACTGCCCTCATGATTCAATTATCTCCACCTGTTCCACCTGACACATGGGGATTTGGGGGATTACAATTCAAGAGATTTGGGTGGGGACACAGTGCCTAACCACATCGCAGGTTCCCTGAGTAAGCCAGCTCCTGTTGACTGCAATTGCCAATCCCTTTACACTGTTATTGTCCTCATTTTTTGGCAAATGTGCCTATCTATGTTGAAGGAAGTTAAATGATAAATAATGACCTGTACATAGGCATATGTTGTTGTCAGCAAAGTAAAGGGTGAGTGGAATCTGTGCTATAGTGCAGCTCTGCCACAAACTTGCTGTGTGACATTGGGCAAGATGCCTAGCCTCTCTGAGCCTCAATTTCCACCTATGAAATACAAGAATAATGATAATACCAATGGTCAAAGTGCGCCCGCAAGGACTCAGTGAGGCAATGCCTATGGAAATGCCTGCTTGAGGGAGGCAAGGAGGCAGAGTGACAACCACATGGGCCTTGGGGACAGTGAGCTGAGTCCAAATCCTGGCCCAGCCATTTACCAACTGGCTGGCCCCAAGTCTCTGCAAGAGCATGCAAGGAATGCCAGCACAGACATGCACGAGCTCAAGGGCAGAACCACAGGAGCCTACAACAGTCAGCTCCCAAAGCGAAGCCACACTGTGCAGCTATGGCCCTATCTGAGCTGTGGCCGTCCCTGATGGGTGAGTCCTACGCAGCTCTTTCCCAGGCTCCTTGGGGTCCTCAGGCCCTGTGGCTTTGCAGAAGTCAGGGACTGTGGCTGGAATCCCAGGCTGGCCACCTCTCTTTGCTTCCTCTTTCCACGTTTGGAGAAGGCATTTCCTCCCCTTCCAGCCCTGGGCCAGTGGGTCAGGTTTCCACCCAGATGGAAAGTCCCACCCAGGGCCCCCAGAGGACAGCTCACCATGGAAACTCCACAGGGCACCCGCCAGACACGGAGTAAGTGGCCACTGGCAGGCCTAACTGGGGCAGGCTCCCAGTCCTGCCCACCAGGAGGGGGAGGTGGGCAGGAGAGGGAGAGGGGGCTCCAGCCAGACTTTAGATCTCAGACACAGAACAACGTTCCTACACACGCAGAGCAAAAAGTGGGTGATCGTGCGTGCATGCAGGTGTATGCATGTGTGTGAGCATGCCCTGAGCCCTCTACGCATTCTGAGCCTCAGTTTCCCTAACTGCACCCCTGTTGGAGGCTGGATTGGACTCAGATAAGATGAGTAAATGCAATCATCCAGTAAGAAGTAAGCAACAGGTGGGTGGGCTCTGCCAGATGAAGACCCCCAGGCCTATCGGAATAAACCACAGCCAAATGACAGTCTGGGCAAGGGGAGGAGGGGACACCGTGAGTGAGGTGCCTCCCATGGTGTTCAGTTCAAAGGAGAAGCACATAAACAGAGCTTCCCAAACTGTGTTCCAAGATTCCGGGCTTAGGGATAGGTGGTAGTCAAAAAAAGGGATGAAGGACAGATTCTGAGCCCAAGAGTTTTAAGAACCCTCTCTATGACTCAAAGCATCCACAGGCATGTTGAGGGCCCTTGGAGATCCTGCCTTAAAGAAACCCATTCAATTGCACTTAACCAGGCACTTAGGAAAGTTACCCCAGCAGCTGCCCCACCAGCCCCCAGACGCAGCCCAGCAAAGGCAGCATTGCCTCCGCCCAGCTCCCTCCAGGCTGTACTGCATGGAACTCCAGGGTTGTGTGGTGCACTGAGGCACGGAGCATTTTTCCAGGGTCAATTGAAGAAGGAACTCTAAGAAAGATGTTTCTGCATCGTGTGCCAAATTGTTACTGAGATGGTTCCTGCTGTTTGTCCATTGATTAATGAGGATCCACAGAATAAATTCCTCAGCATTCCAAGCCAGGGGGAAAACACTGGTCTGTCCCAAGCTCTTACATAATACAGAAGCAGCTTTGATTCTATTTCTCTTTGGGCCTTGGCTGCCAGGAGGCTCAAAGGCATCCTGACCCTTCCCTTAGGTTTTGACATAATTAGTCTCTTCAACTATTATTTGAGCTCCCCACTGACCCACAGGCCACCTCGACAGCCTTTCATTAGTAATCATCACAGTTAGCACTTATTGGGGACATGCTGTGTGCCAGGCACCATGCTGGACACATGTCATGTACCCTCTCACTTGTCCTTATAATGGTGCCACAAGGTAGGGGCTTTGTTATTCCCATTCTACAGATCACAAAACTGAGCTCTGGGAAGGTGCAATCACTGAGTCAAGCCCATTCTCACAGTGAATACACTTAATTTGTGCTGTGTGTGTTCACCTGCCCACTGCTGCCTCCTCACTCTAGAATGTGAGTCCTGGAAGTCAGGGACCCAACTGTGCCCTTGTGGCCTAGAAGCACACAGACGCCTGACAATACTATGATGAATAACTGGTGGTGAATCAGGATTGAAATAAGGGCCTATCTGCCTGAAAACCCATGCCCTTAACGCTCGTGTCTTTTTGGTCTGCAGGGTTTGGTAAACCTAACGCTAAACTTAACCTTCAGTGTAACCCTAACCCTGATAACCAAACCTATGCTAACCTCTAGCATAATCCCAAATGAATTAATTAATAAGCCATGAAATGCTCCCTGCCTGACCCTGTCCTTGGCTCTGTGGGGCAAGGGCTCTGAACACAGAGGCTTGGGCCATTTAGGGAGAGGAGATGCAGGAGCTCAGGTGACAGCATAGATGGACTCAATGAAGATGGTGGGAGCACATGGAGTCGGCAGCAGGGAGAGGGCAGCGGAGACGGAAGGCTGAGTTTCCCTCCTGGGAGGCCTGGCCAGACCTGAGTAGGGCAGACCAGGCCAAGCGGAGCTGGAGCAGCGGTCACAGAACAGGAACGCTGAGCCGACCCCCACTCCCAGGAGCGGCTACTCTGGCCTGCGAGGGCCAGCCCAGCGGGTGGGGAGGCGATGCCCTGCCCAGCTTCCTGCCCCATTCCAAGCTGGCCAGGAGCCCCACAGCCAGCACAGGAAATAACAGGGGCCCCCAGAGGCCGCCCAGGCAGGCCCTGCTCCGAGGCCACCCGGGGAGGGAAGGAGGCCATTGTCGGCCTTTGTTTCAGTTTCCCCAGCATTACCCAGGCTCCAAGAGGCCACTGGGAGCTCACAAAGCTTCCCCCCAACCTGCAGCTGTCCAGCCTCCCCCAGCCCCGACCCTGGGGACAGGCCTGCCAGGCCCCTGGTCTCTTAAAGAGGCAGGTGCAGGGTGTAAAATGAAGTCACATGCAAGTTGGGGGTTGCGGGGCGGCCCATGCAGGCCACAGCAGGCCAGGCAGGCGAACAGACAGATGCACCAAGACTGGGGTCTAGGTCCACACCAGGGTCAGCCCAGCACTGGGCCCAAGTGCAGGGGTGCAAATCTTTGGATGGAAAGAATGTCTAGGGCCCTGAGGGTACGACAAAGAAATGGAAGAAAGAAAACAGAGCAAGGAGACAATCTGGACATCTTGAACACCCCGCCTGGGCACTGTTCCTGATCCTTCAAGGGAGACAGCCCAGAAACAGGCTTTTTCTGCTCATTTGCATGCCTGGGTGTGGATGAGTGAATGCTGCATATGTGTGTATGCCTCTGTATGTGCATGCATTTGTAAGTGTGTGCACATGCGCACTATGGGTATGTTGGCAGTGTGAACACACTCCTGTATGCACGTATGGGTGTGCATCTGTGTTATGCATGTGTGTGCATACCTGTGTCTGCAGGCATCTGTGTGGGTGTGCATTATGCATATGCATGCACTTGGCTGTGCGTACATATGTGTGTAGTATGGAGGAACATGTATGTGAAGGCCCATATATGTGAATGTGTGTATTGTGTGGAGTATGCATATGCCAATGTGCACATACGTGTGTGTTTACATGTGCATGGGTGGTACATGTGCATTGTGTGCAAATGTGTACCTACATGTGTGTGAATGTCCATGTGCATTGTGTGGAGTACATTTGCACTGAGTGAGAGTATGAGCATATATATGTATGAATGTGTGCATGCATCCTTGTGTTGGTGTGCATGTAATATGTGTATGTTGTGTGTGCACATGCATGCACACACAATGACTTGTGAATTTACACATCACCACCAAAGAGCACTCACAGGTTTTTGCCCATTAGCAATCACTCATTCCCACACTGACCCTGGTGGCTTCTCACTAGTGGTGTGTCGCTGCAATGACATTAGGGATTACAGCACATTCTAGTGCCCGTCATTCCACCAAGATGCAGTAAGTCTCCACTGAGTCCCAGGCACTGTGAATTAGCAACTACAGAAAGCGTGCCCTAGACTCAGACAAAACCCCAACTAGCTGTGCAGACTGGACTAGTCTCTTTAGCTCTTTGGCCTCAGTTGCTCATCTGTGAGACGGGAATGCTAATACTGTGGTTAACAAGGCTTAAATGAGATAATGCATGTCACAGCCCCCTGTCTGGCACCAAGTGGATGCTCACTAGATGGTTATTATTTTTTAATTGTTATTGTTAAGACAGTGATAATTGCTGAGGATACGACAGGAAGCAAACAGGCACTGTCCCTGCCTCCACAAGCTTGCCAGGTTTGCAAGGCATTTAGCCTTGATAAGTAGAATAGCATAAGTAAAATATATCATATTTGCCAGACTAAGCATGAGTCTGATGTGCTAACTATCACGTATGGCCAGCAGCCATCAGTTAAAGCAATCAACCATGACAAAGGAGAACAAATTATCAGTGGAGGTAAAATAATAATTTTTTGAACCAGAGAGGCATCAGATAGCCAGGTTCAGCATAATCTCATGTGTGTGAGAGTGTGTGTGTGTGTGCGTGTGTGTGCACCTGCCTGCACATTCAAGAATGTTAAGGGAATGTCAGCTGACATGACAGCAGCCTAACCCCTGTGGGCTGCCTGCAGTCTACAGCAGGGCACCATTGACCATATCCAACCCAGGAGCTGGGCCCTGCAGAGTGTCCACCCAGGAAGCCAACACACGCCAGGTGGTGTGGTCAAGCTGATTTTGGCCATTTCCTAATGGGCACTGGCCCATGGCCGCACAGTCCATGTGTCCAGCCCCACCCAAGGAAGGAACCTGATCTCAGGTCAGCCTCAGGCCTCTACCTTTCAGAGCAGACCCAGCCCACCTCCCACCAACCCCCACCCCACCTGGCCTTCCCCACTTGGGAAACAAGCCATGCCTCACCAACCACGGTGAACAAGAATGGTTCCCTACAGACTCAGTTCCACCCCAAATCTGCAGGAAGGTGAAGCGGATTGCCCCAGGCACTGTGGCCATGCCCAGAGATTGCCAGTCACGATGTGGGGAGAAAGGCAGGAAGCTGTGACGATGTGACGAGAAGGAGGGGCCCATCTGAGCCTTCTCTGTCACCCATACAGACGCAAAGCTCAGAGCTAAGCTCCTATGGCACTTCCCTCCACATGGTGTCAATAGCAAAAGTAAAGGTACAGGGTGCCAGGTGGCACCTTAGGGGTTGAGCACTCCATACGGATTTCCCGTGCCATCCTCACAATGGCCTTAGGAAGTAGAATTATTATTCTCCCCATTTCCGATGAGAAAATGAAATGACAGGGAGGTTTAGTAACTTACTCCATATTGAACAGCTAATAAGTATCTAGACCTCAAACCCAGATTTTGCTCTAAACAAAGTGAACAAAACTCAGGCCCTGCACTTCCCAGGACAAATACAGACGAAGAAGTAGAGGTGAGATTCTGCATCTTGGCAGACATTTGCCAGGCACCTGCCAACTGCCAAGCCAGGGCTGGGCTGTGGAGACACAGAGAATCAGACTTGGTCACTGTCCCCTAGGAGTGAGCAGAGCATCAGGGAGCTGGGTATAAGAGAAGGAACATTAGAACCAAGCAGAGGGCAGCGGGAGCACTGAGGGCCAGGATCAGGAGCTCTTTGGCTCAGGGGGCACAAAATTATGTCAGGGCTATCATGGGAAACTTCCTGGAGGAGGTGTCATTTAGGCTGAGCTTCAAAAAATGCCAAGGGGACACACACAGTCTATGGACCAGCAGCATCAACATCACCCTGGAGCCTGTTAGAAATGCAGAATCTCAGGCCCTACCCAGACCTGCTGAGTCAGAATCTGCATCTTGACAATTTGCACACATGTTCAAGTTTGAGGAGCACTGGTGCAAACCACCCCAGGACGCACAAGGCTGGGCAACACTGGAGGGAGCAGGATGGGCAGCAACTCCCCCAAATGCATGAGGAGTTATGCCATTGGCACCCCACCCCACACACCCCAACCCACAGACATGCCTGACTGTTTACAGGCAGGCTTCAAGTCGCCAAAGAACTATTGATTTCCAGTGTCCACCAGCAGGACAGCGGGATCCTTGGGGACCTAGGAAACAGCCAACACCAAAGAGAGGCCTTTCCATCCTCAGGGAGCACCCCAGCTTTGGAGAAAGTAGGACTGGCCCCTCCTTGTCTTTACAATCCTCATTACTGAAGTCCCCCGAAAAGCCCAACAGCACCAGGAGAGGAGGGGCAGGGCCATGGGCTTGCTGGGGCAGATGGTCCCAAATCAACTGAGCAACTGCGCTGCAAAATCTCAATGCCAGGCCAGGGACACGAGACAAATGACAGCATCCCTGCCATCAGGGAAGCCCCAAGTCCATCTCAAGTGGGTGGAAATCAGCAAGACAAGCCTAGCTCCGTGGAAGCGAAGTCATCAGCCAGGGTAGAGGTACAGGAGGAAAACAGGAGTCAGAAGACGCACTGCACACGTGTTCATTTCCACATGTCCTGGGTACCAGCACACTTGAGTCCAGAGCACACATGTGTACATGTATGCACAGGCTCTGCATACACATGTGCACAGCAGGCATGTCGACGAGGAAGCCAAGTACAGTGGAGCCCAATGGGGGCCCCAAGGCTGGTGCAGAGCCAGAGGAAAAGGGTGGGCAGGAAATGCCACCTCCTCCTCAGAGAACTGGTCCAAGGCAGCCCCAGGGAGCCCAGGATGCAGCACAAACCAGCAGGCGGAGCACAGGGGTGCTGGAGCCTCCCCCTGCCAGGGGTCCGAGTCAGGGCTGCAGCTACCTGGGCATACTTACACACAAGCACACACACAAGTGCATGCATCCGTGTGCACACAAGATACAGAATGCCCTACCCCATAGACTGCTCACCATGGTAACAGAGTGGCCACCTCTCAGCTCCAGTCACCACCTGACGATTTCTGAGGCCCCCTGTGCTAGAGGGGGAGCAGCTCTAACAAAGGCGCAGCCCGGGCTGCCTGGCCAGGGGTCCATGGAGCCAACCCGCCAGCGCATGCCTGCCACGCTCCCCCGGTGAGCTCAGGGCCACCGCGTCTTCCTACCCAGCCTGCCTGGCTCCACTTAGCTCAACTCCCCACAGGCTCCCCAGCCGAGCTAATGAGAAACTCCCCAGCTGGCCCCATATAAAAATGCATTTCATAAGTCTTTAAAATGCTGGGAAATTCTACATCTATTTAGTGAGACTTTTTTGCTCCTTTAAAATGTCCCTTGGTCCTCATCAAGAAGATGATTGGGTTGAGGGCTCAAGCACAAAAGGTGGACGCCACCAGCACACCAGCCGGAAGCCAAAGGGCGCCCAGGCAGCATGCACCACGGGCCACAGCCAGGCAGCTCCAGGCAAGTATCGTGGGTGGGTGGGACATCCCACAGGTGACCCAATGCAGGACGGTCACTTGGGGAAATGTGTAAAGTGAGACCCAGCGGGGAGCAATGGACAGAGAAGAGGGGAACAGTCTCTCCAGCCTTGATTTGGGGATTGAAAGAAAAAGTTAGAAGGTGCTGGGAGCCCCTGAGAAAATCTCCAAAGGAGAAAAAAAAAGACCACCCACACGAAGATGTTCATCATGGCATTATTTACAACAGCCATCACCTAAAGCAGTCCAAACGTCCAACAGGGGAGAGGCGGAGAATAACATTCATGCCCATCCACTCAAGGGCTCCAGCACAGACACTAAGGTGAGAGGTACGTGGGTCCCAGGATCACAGGAAGCTCAGGTCCAACAGGGACTACAGGGAAACCCACTGCGAGTTCAGCGTGGACTTCATCTAGAAGCTTATAGACGAATGGAGCTCGAAAGGGGACTGGGAGAAATGCAAACGCAAGTGCAGAAGCGCAGGGGTGTGGGTGGAGTTTCTGTGAAGCTGTTGAAATAATAACTATGCACTCCAGCAAAACACAAGCAGGGCAGGAGGCAGCTCCGCGTGGTTCAGAAGTGCAGGCGGGACTGCACGGAGTGGCCTCGCCTCCCCATGGTGAAAGGCCCGGGCTTCTGGACATTTCTATCCATTTCCCCAGCCAAAACCTCGGGGCAAAGGACTGCAGGGGATGAGGCTGTCGCCTTGGTCAGGAGCAGGGACCCTGACCATTCTCCTCACCCCAACTTTTACCCAGAACCAGGCTAAAAGAAAAATGGGAGGCTTCAATGCATTCTTCCCAAGGAGGTCCCAGGACACCAGCTACCCCATTGCCAGCTCTACCTCCCATCTGAGCAGGTCCCAGAGACTGCAGCCTTATCCCCACCTTCCCCTGCAAACTGGCCCCATGCCCAACACCCAGATGTGGAAGGAGGGCTGGGGATGGGGCTGGAGGTGGTGTGAGTCCCTGCAGAGAGCCTGGCCCAGTGTTTTCCAGGCCTGGCTTTGAACATGGGAGATGTGTGCAAGGTCTTCAAAACATGTACCTCCTCTCCTTCCAGGCAGCAAATCCTGAGAGCTGGCTGCAGTCAGACTCTTCTACCTGACCCAGGAGTGACCGGGGCACAGAGCTGATTCCAGAGAGTCTCCTCTAAAACAAGGCATGGGACCCACTTTCTCACCGGCATGTCTGCCATCTACAGTTGAGGCACTAAATTCATGCATGAGCGGCCTGGGTTCAAACCCTCACTCTGCCACTTCTTGGCTGAGTGACCTAGAACCAAGTTATAGCATCTCTGTTTCTCGGTTTTCTCACATGTATGTGAAAAGCACTGGAAAGGAGCCCTGGCTCCTAGAAGCACCTCGTAAATGGGAGTGACGGTTCCTATTAACCAGAGCAAGAAGACCTGTCCCATGGCAGGAAAGCCTAAAAGTCTGATCACAGTGCGACACCAATAAGGTCTCAGGCTGCGGGTCCATCACGGTCAACTGATAATACTGAGTGTTCCTCTCAAACCACAAGTGTGTCTGTCACCATGCCAGAAATAAACTTACCTAACCTGCCCAGGCATTCACAAGAAGTATGTGTCAGCAAACTGTGTCCTATCTCTGGCCCATCCACAGACCCTTCTCCTACTGCCTCTCCCTGCTGCTGTTCCAGAGCTGCTATGCTGGATGGAAGCCATGGAGCAGACTCTGCCCAACCAGTCCCAGAACCCAGCCTGGAGAGGTGGGAGATTCCAATGAGACTCTGACTAGACAATTACATAAAAATGACCCCCTTACCCACTTCACGCTAAGCATGGTGGTACATGCCTGTAATTCCAGCTGCTTGGGAGGCTGAGACAGGAGGATTGTTTGAGCCCAGGAGTTCGAGACCAACCTGGGCAACATAGCAAGGCCCTGTCTCAATTAAAAAAAAAAAAAAAAAAAAGATGAGCAGCTTCAGCTCCCAGATCAAACTCAGTCACAGGGAAAGAGGAGGTAAATTTCCACATGGTCGTGTTGGTTCCCTGAAACCCCACATCATAGACCTCAGGATCACGCATGATGTTTCTGGTGTCTGCCACTTAGAGACCTCATTCCAAAGGGCTTGTGGGAAGAGGGAGGAAATGCTGAAGGTAAGATGTGTCTCCCTGCCAGGCTGGGATGGGCGGGAGAGACAGGGGTTAGGGGTAGGGTTAGGGTTAGTACCAGGCTGGGATGGGTGGGAGAGGGGGTGATTAGGGTTAGGGTTAGAGTTAGGATTAGTGCCAGGCTGGGATGGGCAGGAAAGAGGGGGATTAGGGTTAGCATTACAGTTAGGGTTAGGGTTAGTAGCAGGCTGGGATGGGCGGGAAAGAGGGGCGTTAGGGTTAGGGTTAGAGTAGGGTTAGGGTTAGTAGCAGGCTGGGATGGGCGGGAAAGAGGGGGGTTAGGGTTAGGGTTAGAGTAGGGTTAGGGTTAGTAGCAGGCTGGGATGGGCGGGAAAGAGGGGGGTTAGAGCTAGCGTTAGGTTTAGTAGCAGGCTGAAATGGGTGGGAAAGAGGGGGGGTTAGGTGTAGGGGTAGGTTTCGTACAAGGCTGGGATTGGCGGGAGAGAGGGGGGGTTAGGGTTAGGGCTAGTGCCAGGCTGTGATGCGCAGAATAAAGGGGATTTGGAGACGTTGGTAGGAGGGAGGTCAAAGGCACTGGGAGCCTTTGGAAGGCTGACGCTTGCAGATCACAAGGTCAGGAGATCGAGATCATCCTGGCCAACATGGTGAAACCCCGTCTCTACTAAAAATATAAAAATTAGCTGGGCGTGATGGCACGTGCCTGTAGTCCCAGCTACTCGGGAGGCTGAGGCAGGAGAATCGTTTGAACCTGGGAGGTGGAGGTTGCAGTGAGCCAAGATGGTGCCACTACACTCCAGCCTGGCAACAGAGCAAGACTCCAACTCAAAAAAAAAAAAAAAGAAAAGAAAAAGAAATCCATGAGTTGTCCAGAATGAGATACCTTCATGCCTACTAGGAAGTTTAGAATTTACAAAAAGGAAAATAACAAGTGTTGACAAGGACCTGGAAAAAGTGGAATCCTCATGAGCAGTGGGAATGTAAAACGCCTGGGAAGGTCTGGTGGCTCCTCCAAAGGTTAAACATAAAGTTGCCCTATAACCCAGCAATTCCACGCCTACAAACACACCCAAAAGAAATAAAAACAAGCGTTCAAGCAAAAACTTGTACATTGCCAGGTGCGGTGACACACACCTGTAGTCCCCACTACAAGGGGAGGCTGAGGCAGGAGGATCCCTTGAGGTAGGAGTTCAAATCCAGCCTGGGCAGCATAGCTAGACTCCACCTCTAAAAACAAAACAAAACTTCTACATGGATATTCACAGCAGCTCTATTCACAATAGCCAGAGATGAAAACAACCAAAATGTCAATCAACAATACCCAAACAAAATGTGGTCCTCCCATACAATAGAATATTATACAGCCCTAAAAAGGGGTGAAGGACAGACACCTCCTATAATAACATGGATGAACCTTGAAAATATTAGGCTAAGTGAAAGAAGCTAGTCAATGGAGATTATGTATTATATGACTCCACTGACAGGATGTCCAGAATAGGCAAGTCTACAGAGACAGAAAGTGGATCAGCCAGGTGTGGTGGCTCATGCCTGTAATCCCAGTACTTTGGGAGGCTAAGGTGGGTGGATCACCTGAGGTCAGGAGTTCAAGACCAGCCTGGCCAACATGGTGAAACCCTGTCTCTACTAAAAATACAAAAATTAGTCAGGTGTGGTGGCACACGTCTGTAATCCCAGCTACTCGGAAGGCTGAGGCAGGAGAATCGCTTGAACCCGGGCGGTGGAGATTGCAGTTAGCTGAGATCATGCCACCCCACTCCAGCCTAGGTGACAGAATGAGACTCTGTCTCAAAAAAAAAAAAAAAAAGAAAGTGGATCAATGGTTGCCTGGGGCTGGGAGGGGTAGGAGGGCAGGGGTGATAGCTAAGGATACAGTGTTTCTTTTTTATTATTTTTTTCTTTTTCTTTTATTTAGTTAGTTATTTCAGAGGCAGGCAGGCAAGTTATCACTCTGTCACCCAGGCTGGAGTGCAGTGTCATGATCATAACTCACCGTAACCTCAAACTCTTGGGCTCAAGTGATCCTCTTGCCTCAGCCTCCCAAGTAGCTGGGATTACAGGTGCATGCCACCATGCCCAGGGCTATTTTGTTTTTATTCTTTGTAGAGACAGGCTCTCACTATATTACCCAGGCTGGTCTCAAACTCCTGGGCTCAAGCAATCCTCCTGCCTTGACCTCACAAAGTGCTGGGATTACAGGCATGAGCTACCGCGCCTGGTCCAGAGTTTCCTTTTAAGGACATGAAAATGTTCTAAGTTGACTGTAGTAATGGTCACACATATCTCTAAATATACCAAAATTCACTTTAAATGGGTGAATTGTATGATATGTGAATTATATCTCAATAAAGCTGTTTTTAAAAAGATATAAGCTGGGTTTGTTTGTTTTTATTTTTTTAAGAATCTAAAGATTTCTTATGAAAATCCAGCTTTCTGGCTTTTCTTTTAAAACCTCTGAAGATCTGGCAACTCTGGACCCAGCCAGAATTCTGGCAATTCATGGCCCAGCCAGCAGGAGCTGAGGGCCAGCCATCCCCTTTGCAAGGTCTGTGTCACCATCCACCACGGCCCCCTCACGTATCAGCCCACCTGGGCCACTAGCCTGCCTTGGGTGGGCCTTTGAGTTTGTGACCCTGGCAAGGTTTTCCCATTTGCAAAGGACTTTCACATTTGTAAGGAGTTCACACCTATGGCCTGGCAAGGCAGGAGAAGTTGGGGTTGGCAGGAGAAGAAGAATGACCCACGAACTCCCCTGAAGTCACACATGAAACCCTGTGTGTGTCCGAAAGAGAATCCACACAGTTCCACTGGATGCCCAAAGGCACCTGTGACTCAAAACAGGTTAAGAACTCCTCCAGCTCCACACCTCCAAGGCACCCCCACATCTTGACTCCAGATGAAGTGCTCCTTCCCCTGGGCTCACCATTAGCAGCCCCATTCACCAGCAAGTGGCATGAGTGGGCCTGCGCACTCCGCTCCCCACGCCCCCGCCTCCGGACTGCAGGATATTGCCATGAGCTGATCATTTCGCTCCTTTCCCTGCCAGGCAAGGCCAGGCTCTCCATCACTGTCAGGGCCCCCGCTCGAGGGCACGGAAGGAGCAAGCCTGGTTGTTTCTGGGGGCGGAGGGCCACAGGGTCCCCACTGGCAGGGTGGCCAGGGGAGGCCAGGGGTGAGTGAAGACACAAACTGCGCATTCTGCTTCTTTATTGCAGTTCTCCATCACACACCCAAGGCTGGGAAAAGCAGGGGAGAGGAAGGCGCATGAAAAGCTTGCGCTCTGGGCCAAGAGGGCCCCCCAAGAAGAGGGGCTGCTCCATGCCTTACAGCTCTCCCTTCCTCCTGGTAAACTGCCCTCAGCCCAGGGACATTGGGGGCCTGTGAGCAGGACCACCTATGCCCTGCAGCCACCAGGCCTGTCTTGCCAGGGACCTTCCAGAAGTCCCCATAATGCCCTGCCTTCAGGTCCTGCTCAGCTCTCCACCTCCCGATGCCAAGTGGTGCAGAGGTGAAACCACAGGCTCTGGCTTCTGGAGGACTTGGGTTCGAGTCCCTGATCCACAGCTTGCCGACTGGGGACCGTGGATTCACTACTGTACAGCTCCAAGCTCTTTCCCTCATCTGTCAAATGAGGATGGGGATTCTCAGTAGCAGTGCCAAGGATGGCCTGGGAGGTTTTGCTCCCCCATAATCTTCTTTGGCATCTGCTGCCATTCTCTGATGTGGCCAAGTGACATTTTCTCAGTTTAATGAAAAGTATTAGACAAAAGCAGCTTTCACCAGGCCTTTGGCCCTGGTGTCAACCAGATGGCTGTCCCTAAACCAAGCCCACAGAGAAATTATGGAGCTGCTGCTGGAAGTGGCACCCACCTCACAGAGCTGTCACGATGGCTCAGCGAGATGCTGCAGGTAGAGTCTTCACTCAGTGCCTGGCATGCACTAAGTAAGTGCTCAATAAATGTGACATCGCCCACGTCCAGGGCTACCTCCCACACTGACTTCCGCCTGCCACCCAGGCTTGGAGCCGTCTCACACGCCCAGTGCTCAGGGAATAAAAGCTGACTTTAATAGCCCAATTCCAATAGAACTGGGAAGGAAAATTTACACATGCACAGCACAAACTATTAAAAAAAAGAAAAAAAAAGAAAAAACACCAGCAAAAATGAGCCAAAGAAAACAAAACAATTCCTGGCCTGGCTGTCTGGCTGTGGATTATCCACTGCCAGGGATGCTCTGCCCTCCCTCTCCCCATAGCTGAGCAGAGAATCCGAAACTGGCACCGTGGCGAGCCACGGCCATGGAGTCACAAGGAGTGTGCATCCTCCTACATGCACGAGGCATGCTCAGCTCTTGCCTGGAAACTGGCAAATCCCACAGCTCCCACTACTCCCAGGCACCCCAGAGAGGCCCTAAGACTGGCTGCCCAACTATGGAATTACAGAACTACAGAACCCAGTTCCCTAGCACCAACACCACCCTTGCCTTCTGCAAGCTGGGAGACACCTCACTGCCTAGGGGATGCAGCTGGGGTGCTTGACACCCCCCCTGCCCAGGGCTGTCTGTCTATAGCAATCACTGCCAGCACCCTCCTTGCACGCCACTGCTGTTCCCATCTGTCTGCATCACCTCCAGCCCCACCGGGAAAGCAGCTGGGAAGGAGGACCTTCTGTAGACAACACTGGGCTGAGTGCTTTCCTAGTTCAGGGGTTCCTACAGTGGGATCCTCTCTAGAGCGGGCAGCAAGCCTGAGCCCCTGCACCCCTCGTCTCTCAGGAGGACTACATGTCTGAGACACGGCGCCTTATGGCCTTGCTGTTTCCGCCAACCATGGGGAACGCACTCCCCGCACAGAAGGAGACACACGGGGGGCTACACAGCCCCTTCCCCCAGCCTCCTATCTGCCCAGTGCTGACCCCAAGGCCTGTCCTAGTCCTGGACCCTCCTCCCTAGAATTTGAGCACCACTTACCACGTTGGCTTCAGACAAGGCCCCTCTCTATGGAGGAAGCCCCTGTCACCAAGGGCCAGGGCACCTGCAGCCACAACAGTGCCCAAGCCTGGGTCAACCAGGACCCTGGAGACTCTGCAGGCAGCATTAGCTCCTGCTGGAAAGGACACGGAACCAGGGGCCACAGGCTTGGGTTCAAGGGCTTAGTCTCCTTTCCCAAATTTCATTGAACCATCTTCAAGCTTCCCGCTGAGTCTCCGTATTCTGTACTATTAACACTTTCTTGTCAACTCAGTTTTTTCACTTAAATGAATTTAGCATCATCGTAAGTCACAAATGTCTATAATACCACACATTAGACACATAACCATGAAAACATTAAATGTTTATATACCTGATGCCTAACCGCGTTTCTGAAATACTGACCCAGAGCAAATCTCTCTTCCTGCTTCAGTTTCCACAACTAAAAGAGGAGAAGCTTGGACTGAATGTTCCCTCATAGGCCTCCTCAGGCCTTAGGATTCTGCAAGACTGAAGCAGCTCCAGCTCCCCCACAAATCCAGAAAAAGCTGGTCAGGATCCCAGGGCAGGCCTGGCCCAAGGCAGGGGAGGAGGACAAGGAAGGGGATCCCGGCGCCTGCCGGACAGGGAGCCAGGGGCATCACTGCCAAGAGAGGCCCTGGCTGCATGAGGAGCAAACAGGAGAGCCTGGGCCCTCATTCAGGAGCTCCCAAAGACCTCTCAAAGCCAGTTCTAATCTCAGTACTCATGGGAAGGCTCCAAGCTACAAAACTTCACAGTCAGAAAAACTTTACTCATCCACCTCTTTTTACAGCTAAGAAACAGAGGTACAGGAAAGAGCTTATGCGGGGATCCTGACTGTCACGTCACCCCCGACACCCCACGAGTCTGAGCTCCCTCTATTACCTCTCCCTGGAGGCATGAGCTCAGCTCTGCCAGCCCTGAGAATGCAGAGCAGCCCCTTCCAGGGAGGGAAAGAGGAATTCTGATGTAGACTGGAGTTTAAAAGTCCTATTAAAGTGGCTTTTATGCAATTAGATTGGAATGAATGTGCAGTGACGCCCATAGCAGGGAGCTTCAAGGCTTGTGCAGTGGGAAAATCACTGCCCATCTGAACTGTAGCCACAAGAAGGAAATGTGGCCCTCGGGAGAATAAGGGAATATTAGTCTCCGTATGTAATAGATTTTATTGACCATATGGAACTGATATAAAAATCGTGTTGCATGGGGTAGTCTGGATTGGAGGCAGGAATGTGACACGAAGAATATCATTTCCATAACCAGCTGGGTGGCTTTCTGAGTTCCTGGGCCAGCCCCCAGGACCCCCTGCAACTCTTCCACCAGCCCCCGGGCATTTACCTGCTGCTGTCACGGAGGAATCCCAGGCCAGCGAGAAGTCTGAGGCCTCCCCCTCTTCAACTGAAAGAGAGAACAGAGATGGGCCTGTGAGTTTGAAGGCTGTACAAATAGATCAGGTAAGGCACAGGGCGAGGAAGAAGGAACATTTGTGGGGGTCCTTATTATAATACCCATCACCAGGGGAGAGGGGGCAAAGCCTACAAAGAGGCCTTTATTGGTTTCACAGAGATGTAAAATGATCGGAATAAAACAGGAATAGCAAGCAAGTTAAGTGCTGGATCAGTTATGGTTTCCCCAGCCCTGTGCCCCTGGCAGACATCACTAATCAATCTCAGCACTGCCTCAAGAAACCAATAAGGTTGCTCTCAGAGATCAGCAAAGTGGTGAGTGCTCATGACCCTGCTGAGACCTGACCCACAGATAGACCTCAGGACACGCTGAGGTCAACTCTCCCAATGACAGCACGTCTGAGCACTGCAACTCATGAGCTGACAACATCAGAAGGCAACCAGCCTCCCCCCCATTCCACCCAGGACCCCACAGAACCAAGCTGGGCAGAGATAGGGTGTCCCCACCATCCCACACCCCAGGACATAAGCCCAGGCTGGTAGAGGCCATGCACTAGGAGAATATGGGAGAAACACTACACAGCATAACAACACTCTTGTCCTGGAATTAATCCCAGTCTGGGGCATGTAATAATATTAAAGCTGGGTTATGGACTTTGTAAATGGAACTTTGTTTAAGCCAAAAATGTGCATACACAGTATTTTTCAGATTTAATGGCCTTTCTAGCTCTGCATATGTGCAGGCTGAAGCCACCATGAACCACCCAGTTCTCTCTGCACTGTCGATGTTCTTGCTGGCACCACGTGGGTGCACACTGAGCCAGGCACTGTGCTGGGGCTTTGCAGCCATCACTGGGTTTCGTCTTCCTCAACGGACTCTCAGAGGGGTGTCTGAGGTCTTACAGGTAGTGAGAGCCACGAAGAGTTTGGGCTCAAACCCAGGGTTGTCTGTCTCCAAGGTTGCTTTGAAAACCACTGTTGACCGGGGTACAAAGGATGCTATCCAGAACCCTAGCAACTCAGGCTGGAGGGCAGTGACCCCAACCCACCACATGGAAGGCATGTACAACACGCAGGCAGCCACCTTGCGAGTGGAGCAAGCAGGCTGGCTTGTGGTCAGAACCTGAGTTCTAGCGCAAGGCACAGCCCACCTTCAAATCTCAGCTCTGCCTCTTACTAGCTGTATATGACCTGAGCAAATGATCTAACCTCTGGGTTTCTGTTTTCCCACTTCAAAAATGGAGAAAATAACGGTACCTAAGCCATAGGGCTGCTGGGAGGATTAAATGGGATAACGTCTGTGCAGCATTGGGCACTGTGCCGGCACAGGGTAACTGCCCCCATAATAATGTCAGGGCTGTCATCTGCTAGAACAGTGGCCCAACCAACCGAGTGGGGGTCGATGCCACAACTCAAACAGTCCTGCTCTACGTGGTGCTCTACATGGTGCAATCTACCCCCTTGACTATGTAACCATGGTCTTCCTCCTCCCCAAAGCCTCACAGAATGGGTTTCTCTGAACCCTGAGAAACAGCACATGCAAGAGGGAACATCCACGAGCAACTAGCCAAGGAATGCTAATGAAGTGTGCTCTCTTTTCCAAGCCCGCATCCTGAGAGTGGACAGGCAGGATCAAGACAATGAAATGCACAGATAATTTGAGCTGGGACCCAAGCTATTGTTTTACTTAGCTAGTTACAGCTGGGGTGGGTTTTCAAATGTGCAGCTTTATAAATAGCAATCAAGACCTCGTGTCAGACAAAATTGATATTATTCACTAAAATGATTCCAACCAGACAGCCTCCAAAACATGGGTGGCTAATGCCTAAAGCCATCAGAAGCGGGCCATGCACGGAAGGAGCTGTTGTTAACAGCATTCAATGCTATGCCAAAAAATCAGTTTCCCTTACATTTCATCTTTTACTTACACGCACACATGTAAATATATGGTGCTTCTATTAAGAGACTGCTGCCAGTGTGCAAGGTTACCATGCTGCCATTTTGTTAGACACCTTCCACAAGGTCTCCATGGGTCCCTAAACCTTAAGAATGACGTAAAGGTATATGAGCTGATAAAGAGGTCAGATATGTTAAATTTGAAAGAAAAAGCACAAAAAATATGTTCAGCAGAATCCCTTTTGAGTGCATTAAAAAGACATGTCCAGGGCCGAACACAGTGGTTTATGCCTGTAATCTCAGCACTTTGGGAGGCCAAGGCAAGCAGATCACTTGAGGTCAGGAGTTCGAGGCCAGCTTGGCCAACATGGTGAAACCCCATCTCTACTAAAAATACAAAACTTAGCCAGGCATGGTGGTGCATGCCTGTAGTCTCAGCTACTCGGGAGGCTAAGGCAAGAGAATTGCCTGAACCTGGGAGCTGGAGACTGCAGTGAGCTGATACTGCACCACTGCTCTCAGCCTGGGCACAACAGAACGAGACTCCATCTCAAAAAAAAAAAAAAAAAAAGAAAGAAAGTGGATCGGTGGTTGCCTGGGGCTGGGAGGGGTAGGAAGGTAGGGGTGATAGCTAAGGATACAGAGTTTCTTTTTGATTTTTTTTTCTTTTTCTTTTATTGATTTAGTCATCTGCAGGTATCAGGGCATTAATACATGACCCCAGTTCTCCTCTGACCTCTGTGCACCCAGGTATCAGGACAAATAGTCTGCACACTTACACCCACTCAAGGTGGTTTAGTTAAGAAGTGTGACCACCCAAGTCACTGAACTTGAGGATGCCCCAAAGATGTCAAGTCATCCTCTTAGGAAGATCTGGCCTCGGCCATAATGGGAAAGAGAACAGGGAAACACCCAACATTTTGGAGCTCTGGGGGAAATCAAAGCTCTGTGCTGGGTCCCAGAAGTCCAGACAGGCCTGCAGGGGTGGAAAGAGGAGGAAAGTGGCCCAGTGCTAACTGGCTGGGGAGGTCCAGAGTGGCAGATCTCACTACAGGCTTCCTGGTCCCTCACTGCAAGCAGCCGCATGACACAATGCAGTCCCTGGAACCACATCCCTGTGTGGTGAGGGATCTGTGGGTCACCTTACTTACGACTTGGGTGTTAATGCGTTTTCCTACAACTGCAGGCACCACCCCACTCACATGCCCTCCTCTAGCCCATATTCTGTTTTTTGAAGGTAGAAGCACACCTTCAAAGGTGAATATGGGCTAGAGGATTCAAAAAACAGAAAAACAAAAACAGAATATGGGCTAGAGGATTGTTTTATGAGACAGGCTCATGCTCTGTTGTACAGGCTGGAGTGCAGTGGTGCGATCATAGCTCACTTCTCAGTCTTGACTTCCTGGGCTCAAGTGATCCTCCCACCGAAGCCTCCTGCATAGCTAAGACTATAAGCGTGTGCCACTTCATCTGGCTAATTTTTTTATTTTTATACTTTTTATAGAGACAAGGTCTTGCTATGTTGCTCAGGCTGGTCTCAAACTCCTGGGCTCAAGTGATCTCCACCTCAGCCTCCCAAAGCACTGGGGTTACAGGCATGAGCCACCACGCCTGGTTTTTATACATTCTTGATGAGAAAGAGTCAACACCCAACCCCCCACCACCCCCATAAGGCCCTGTGCTACCCAGCAATGAGTGTGAGGTTTTTTTCTCCCCACAGCTGCACTCTTCTGTCCAGACTGGATCTCCAGCAATGGCATCACTAAGCAGGGGCAGCAGGCACAGAGGAAGGAGGGCCCGTCTGCAACTGGAGCTGGGGACAGGTGGCCCCAACCCACACTGGCAGCAGGCACTCTCTGGGGGCCCAAGCAGCGAGCCCCCAACATCCCTAAGAGGGAGTTCTGCTGCCGAGCCCCACTGCACACTGAAGACTCGCAGCTCAGAGAAACCCCAATCCGCACAGGGGCCGATAGGGACAACACACCAAAGGGGCTACTTGGCCGGCCCGCGGCGCCTCCTCCAGACGTCCCTAGCTCCATGTCTAGTTGTTTAATGTATACAATAATTGGCCCCACTGAAGCCAAGAGATACACACCCCACCCTACCCCACTTCAAGGGGAACACAGTACTCCTGTGGATGATGGGCATTTGTAAGGTAGGTGGGTGGCCAGGGTGTGCCCACACTGGAGGGTGCACAGGGTATACCGGCATAGGGACAGCACGTGAAGCAAGTGTGTGCACACAGAGAGGAGGCATGGGGGCAAGTGTGTGACACAGAGCAGAGGCATAGGGGCAAGTGTGTGACACAGAGCGGAGGCATGAGGGCAGGTGTATGCACACAAGGAGGGCATGCAGGGTGGATGTGAATACACAGGGAGGGGGCACATGGCAGAGCCCGATTCACCACGATGCTAATGAAGCCCCAGCTCCAGAGCCCTTTGCAAACTCAAGCCCCTCTGCACACTGGGAGGGGTCCCAGCAGTGGGGTTCTGTAGCCCTACATGTTTTGTAACCTTTGCAAAGGAAAGATCTGTTACCTACTTAAGACCTCTCTGTCTCTGTCTGTCTCTGTCTCTCTCTCTCTCTCTCTCTCTCTCGCTCTCTGAGATGGGGTCTTTCTCTGTTGTCTAGGCTGGAGTGCAGTGGTGTGATCACAGCTCACTGCAGGCACAACCTCCTGGCTAAGGTGATTCTCCTGCCTCAGCCTCCCGAGCAGCTGGAGCCACAGGCACATGCCACCACGCCCGGTGGATTTTTGTAGTTTTTTTTGTTTGTTTTTGTTTTTGTTTTTTTTTTTTTGTGGAGACAGGTTTTTGCCATGTTGCCCAGGCTGGTCTTGAACTCCTGACCTCAAGCAACCCTCCCACCTTGGCCTCCTAAAGTGCTGGGGTTACAGGTGTGAGCCACTGCACCTAGCCCACTTTTTCTATCTACTCCAAACTCTCTTCCATCCCATTTCCTCTCCTGTCGGTCACCTTGAGAATGGCCACAGGCATTTTGCACTCTTTGTCTCAAAGGACTCCCCCAGTTGTTTCAGCCATACGGCCCCCCACACAAGCTCTGTGCTGGGGCCAGGCAGTGGACTTCGAGTACCCTCTGTTCAAGCACACGTGCAGGCATGCACACGCTCATGTGTGAGATGCAGAAAGGCTCTGGAGTGGCCCAGGTCACATGGCCAGGCTGCAGCTGCCCACTCCTGCCCCATGGTCTACCAGCTCCTGCTCGTGATTCCCAGACCTGACCTTGCAGGGCAGCTTCCGGCTTAGCCCCTGCTAACCCGAACACCTCTCATTATTCCTTCCACCTATTGGTTTCCTAGGCTTTTATCTGCCTCCCTCACTAGGGCATGGACAATGCCTGTCTTGTTCATTGTTGTATCCCAGTGCCTAGCTCAGTGCAAACATAGTAGCAGGTGCTCAACAAAAAACAAAAATTTTATTTTTGGAAACAGAGTCTCACTCTTGTCACCCAGGCTGGGGTACAATAGTGTGATCTCAGCTCACTGCAACCTCTGCCTCCCAAGCAATTCTCCTGCCTCAGCCTCCCGAGTAGCTGGGATTACAGGCGCTTATCACCATGCCCGGCTAAATTTTGTATTTGTAGTAGAAACGGGGCTTCACCATGTTAGCCAGGCTGGTCTTGAACTCCTGACCTCAGGTTATCCACCTGCCTCAGCCTCCCAAAGTGCTGGGATTACAGGCATGAGTCACTGCACCCGGCCCAAATTTTTAATCAATAAGCACACAGGATGTGTGGTGACATCCCAGAGGGCCTGCAGCAGGGATGGGCTTTGTTCAGAACCAGGCAGTGGGCAAGGCAGCCACAGACACACCTGTCCCCTCCACGCCACCACTGTCCCCACCCCATCACACTAGAGTCACACCAGCTCTGGGAGCAGAAGGTCACACATGCCAATCCAGCTCCCTCATGGCGCTCACACTTGCCCCGGCCTTGAGCACAAACCACTCCTGCCTGGGGTCAGGCAGGCACTGAACAGAAAACTCTGGCCACAGAATCCAGTTACAGAGTGGATGGAGCAGGGAGTTCTTCCTGCCCATGCAATGGGAATCATCATCGCTCATCAGAGATGGGATCCTTCCCAGGGCTGAGTGTGACCTCAACAATCAGGTGGCCCTGGAAGGGCCCAAGGGCACCACAGTAGCCCTGCGAGGAGCTCCTGCTAAAACACTTCACCGGACAGGGCCTTGGAGGCCCCGCCCCCACAGGGATGGAGGGGGCTACACAGGGAGGTAGGAACGGGCTCAATCTTAAGACTCCCAGCTGTCCTGGGATAATCCCCCCAAGCTGTGGAGACTGATGGGCAACGTCCAGCAGCCTCTGGACAAGGGCTGCTGCAGAAAGCCCTTCAAAGGAGCACCCGAACACATCCTGTTAAGAGAAAGGGTGTTTGCGGCCATCTCTGAAGTCCTGGGGGGCTTCCAGTTCCCTGTGTGAGTCAAGATCCTCAACAATGGACAAGAAGGGGCTCAAAGAGGCCAGAGGGCCCTTAGAGGGCGCCTGCTTGGTGGCAGCAGGTCTAAGACCAGCTCTCACTATTAACCATGGTTCCTGGGGTGCATTAAGAAGGATTCTGGGGCTCTGCCAGGGCTTCAGGCAGATCAGGACTCCACGTTGACTCTCAGCTCTGGGGTCAGAAGTTGTGGGAGGCTGATTGACGAATGGGAGTATAGAGCTCCCCCTAATGCTGTCGCCCCAACTCCACAGCAGGTGCATAAGTAGCTACAACTCTCCTGCTCTGGGATTGGCCACAGCTCGTCCCCTGTGCACTAGCACAGGCCTTGCCACCACCGAGATCCCTTGTGTGCCAGGCCTCTGGATTTCAGATATCCAGTGGCACAGAGCAAGTGGCACTAGGCAGACACCTGCATGCACCACCTCCTCCAGGTCACTTGCTCCTGGCCTGGAGAGTAATGCCCTCCACCCAGAGGGCTCCCCAACACCTCACAGAGGCAGAAGAGATGGAGCTGGAGAGGGAAACAGAAAGGGAAGGTGAAAGCTGGGCATGGGGTCTGGAAAAAGGGCCCAGAACACAGCAGTGGGGCCCAGACAGGGCTGGGGCCCTGCTCAGGAGTTTGTCAAAGTCAGGCAAGATGTGTTTTGGCAGAGAAGGTTCAGGTCAAAGGCAGGAAAGCTCGGGGGACAGATTCTGAGGCAGACAGTGGCAGGAGGTGAATGAGAGACAAACAGAGGCTAGTGCTGGTCCAAGGGTCAGAGGAGGCCTCTAGTAGGGCCAGGGAAGAACCCAGAATGCTCCTTTCTGAACTCCAAAATCCATGCTGGGGCCACTTGCTCAGCCTGGCTTGAAGGCTGGAAGAAGGCTCTGGGTGTGAGCTGCTGTGCACAGGCACAAAAGGGCACTGTTCTGGGGAAAGGATCCATAGATTTCATCAGAAGATCTAGAACCACCTCCACCCCCAAAATAACTTTAAGCACCCATAGACCAATGGCTCTCATTTGCAAAGTGTTCTCAGCTACTTTCCCCAAGGCCTTGGGAAACCTCCCCATGCTTTGCTGGCCCGTCCCACCCTTACAACATCCCATGCCTCCCCAGAGACATCCCTGTCCCAGCAGAGGTGGTGGCCAGGCAAGGGGCACGTGACTGCCCCTCCTTAGCTCAACCTTAGGGAAACCCTCTCACACACTGCAGGCCAAGGCCACAACAGGTAAAGGGGACAGCGAGAGACCCAAGTCTCATTGTCAAGCATGAAACAGAGCATCACTGCTTCTGACTTACTACTGAGCAACCTCCAGGAATGGAAAAGCATAGACCAGGCAGGGAGGCCAAGCAGGTAGAGCGGTATAGGCCAAGCACTGCACAGAAGGCCAAGCAAAGGTGGCGAGAAAGAGCTGAAATGTGACCCACACTCTGTCTACCCAGCACTGTGTCCTGGTGCAGGGCTGTGAATGCCCAGAGAAAGGGGTGCCCATTCCTTTGCACAAAAGCATAGCCAATCACTTTTCTACAGCCCAAGATCATCTTTGGCATCACGCTCCTAGGTCAAATGACCAGGGTCAAGTGCAGACAAACCCAACGAGGAAGCCCACATCCTCCAGGCTCCTTTCAGGTGGCGATGTGTTCAGGCAGTGGGTGGGGTGGGGGTGATTGCATGCAAAAGCCAAGGCTCCCTGCAGCTAAAGCTAAAACCACCCAACACCTCCACTGACAGGCCCCTTGGCACCAAGCTCAGACCATCAGAAAAGCCACAATATGACAGTCACATCACAATCACCTTTGTTTAACTCCCGTGATTCACCCTGACCACTTGCTGAAAAGAGAACAAGCTGTTTCAACAGCACAGGTAAGATCGCCTGCCATTATGCCCTGAAGTGAGAGTGAAAGGGACAGGACCCTCTGGCTCTGTCTCATGGGTCTCTCTGTCCACACCCTGCCCCCCAATATATGGGCATCTCACCAAAAGGAGGCTGGGTCTAGTATTTAAAGAAACCGATTTTTTAGGCCAGGCACAGTCACTCACACCTATGATACCAGCACTTTGGGAGGCCAAGGCAGGACGATTGCTTGAGCCAAGGAGTTCCAGGCCAGCCAGGGCAACATAGCAAGATACTATCTCCATAAAAAATTTAAAAAGTAACCAGACATGGTGGTATGTGCCTGTCATCCCAGCAACTCGGGAGGCTGAGATGGGAGGATCACTTGAGCCCAGGAGTTCGAGGCTGCAGTGAGCTATGATCACATCACTGCACTTCAGCCTGGGTGATACAGCAAGACCCTATCTGTTAAAAGAAGAAAGAAGGCCAGGTGCAGAGGCTCATGCCTGTAATCCCAACACTTATGGAGGCTGAGGTGGGCAGATGGCTTGAGCTCAGGAGTTTGAGACCAACCTGGCCAACATAATGAAACCCCATCTCTGCTAGAAATACAAAAATTAGCTGGGTGTGATGATGCACACCTATAATCCCAGCTACTCAGAAGGCTGAGGCACAAGAATTGCCTGAACCCAGGAGGCAGAGGTTGCAGTGAGCCAAGATCACACCACTGCACTCCAGTCTGGGTGACAGAGCAAGACTCTGTCTCAGAAACAAAACAAAATAAAAAAGAAGCCTGTTTTCAGACAACACAACTCCTAACCAGAAATCTTCTAACCAATCTAGTACTTTTTAAAAATAAATACATACAATTTTTTTTAAAAAAATTAAAGCAGAATATTCCAATGTGTGAAGAAAAACCATTGTTAAGAATTACTGATAGATGGTCAGTGGGTCTCCACGTCGGCGCTTGTATAACAGGCAATTTTGGCAATGCTTGACTTTCTCCTTAAACTGACTTTAGAACCAGCACCTCTGGAAGCTGCCACGCTACTACAGACTCCTCATAAACTGTTGCCCTGGAGAATTGTAGGCAGAGGGGCTAAAAGCCTAAACCTTGCTTAGCCACTGTGCCCCTTCCTCTCCTTGCCTTGCTATATATAAAATAGAACAGAAAGACACCAGGGAATAATCCAAGAATTCCAAAAAGTAAATTCATCTGTCCTTACAGGAAAAGTGACCCTTGCAGAAGTCACGCAGCAGAGCTCATCTAGCTATGGCTGTGAGGTAGAGGAGGGAACCTGGAGAGACACTATAAAATGTAGGGGTGTGGGAAGTGGGCTCTGGAATAGGCTGCTGTCCCCCAAGTGATCACTTGCAGGCCATCAGATCTCAGGCCAGAGACTCGATCCACCCTGATCTTCTGTCTCTGTAAAATGGGGATAATCAGAATACCAACCTCGCAGGAGGTTGGAGAGGACCAAATGAGATGATACCCCAAAGCACTTAGCTCCAGGGAAACATGCAATCAATGTGAGCTCATGTTACTGGGATAATTCAAGCTCCCCTTCTCCCGCCAGGTTCCTGGCTGGCTGCTGAGGTTTCACTCTCCCTGGAAAGACAGGAGAGCTGAGTTTTGAGCAGTGAGATCAAATTTCCCACTGCGATTTAGCCCACCCCGCCCCACCCACAGGAATGCCCAGCTAGAGCCACAGATGCCTCAGCATCACTGCTTTCCTGTTCCCACTACAGTGCAGGGATGGTGTCCCTAAATGTGGGACTATTTGGAGGTGACAGCCAAGGGGCTCAGCTTCTGTGCCAGCTCATCTCCCTCTCACCCTCCTATTCCCCATGATCACCCCAAAAGAGAAAGGCTAGGAGATCTCTGCAGAAGAAGCAGACACTAACCCCAGTAAAATCTATATCTTCGGCAACTCTGCAGAAAGGTGACTCCTCTCCTCCATCTTTCCCTAATAAAAACATGATGATGATGATGATGTGTAAAATAGGACAATGAGTGTGAAACACTTGAAGTTTTCTTTGTTTTGTTTTGGTTTATTTTATTTTTTAAGACAGGTTCTCACTGTGTCATTCAGGCTGGAGTGCAATGGTAACATCTTGGCTCACTGCGGCCTCAAACTCCTGGGCTCAAGGGATCCTCCTGCCTCAGCCTCCTGCGTAGCTAGGACCACAAGCACGCACCATTACTCCTGGTTAATTGTTATATTTTTCTGGCCAAGCGTGGGAGCTCACACCTATAATCCCAGCACTTTGGGAAGCAGATCACTTGAGGCTAGGAGTTCGAGACCAGCCTGGCCAACATGGCAAAACCCTGTCTCTACAAAAAATGCAAAAATTAGCTGGGCATATGGATGCACACTTGTAATCCCAGCTACTTGAAAGGCTGAGATATGAGATGCACTTGACCCTGGGAGGCAGGGGTTGCAGTGAGCAGAGATTGTGCCACTGCACTCCAACCTGGGTGACAGAATGAGGCTCTGTCTCAAAAAAAAAAAAAAAGATATTTTTCTGTAGAGATGGGGTCTCACTATGTTGCCCAGACTGGTCTCAAACTCCTGGCCTCACATGATCCTCCCTCCTTGGGAGTTTTCTCTAAGTACTAGGAAAAGGGTTTTTCCACTAGACCCAGGACAGCACACATGTGGAACACCTGCCCCAGCTCCTCTATCTTGCACCCACCATAGATATTGCCAACTGATCGGGGTTCTTTCTCTAAATTGGCACAGATGCAGCTTCAAAAGTCTCAACAGCGAGGGTTAAAATCTTGGGTTTCTCTGTTCTGGTCCATAGAACTTCCCTGCAAGCACCTGGACATGACACACACACACACACACACACACTCCTGCGCACACACTTGAGGATGTGCCCAATGTGAGCAGGAAAGGCCACCCTTCACTGAGCCCAAGTGGCATCTGGCACAGTGCCGGGTATCCCACATACTGGCTCCCCTTCCATCCTCCCAGGCCCCCTCAGAGGGAGCCCTTAAAATCCTCACTTTTCTGGTGAGGAAACAAAGCCCCAGGGAGCCACAGCATTTGTCCAGATGCCAGCCACGGAATCCCAGGCCAGGGCAGATGTTTCCAAGCATGGCTTCAGCTCAAAGGCAAAACAGGGAAGGGAAGGAAAAAGGGGAGCCGTGAACACCCAGCCATTCACCCCTCGTTCTGTCCTGGTCCAGCCCAGCCATGGGGTAGGAAAAGAAAAGGAAACTGAATATCACAAAGCCACCTGATGTGGCAATGTTAGTGGAAAGCCAGAATCAGGAACTGAGAAGAACTGAAGACAACATCGCAAAGGCAGGAACCCACGTGAATTAAAACAATGTCTTTTTTCTTCTTCTAAAACAGTCCCTCGCAGCTCTGTCAGAAGAGGAGCCAAGCCTGGGTACGTTGGCAGCCCCGGGGGACTGAGGAGAGCGTGCCCTGCCACAGCCTGCCTCTCTGTGCTGGTCCCACGTGGGTGAGGAGACAGACGCCAGCCTGGCCCAGGTCCCTCACGTCCTTCCCCACCACCCTGCACCAGAACTGTCTGGCACTGGAGGCTTTTACAGATGTTTCCTCAGCTCCTGCCTGAAAGTCAGGGCTTTACTGACCCATTTCAAAGAAGGAAGAATAGAGTCCCAAATAAGAGAAATAGCTCACCTGGGGGCCCAGACGAGGCGGCAAAAGCAGACTCAGAACCCGGCATTCTAGCTTTCAGGCCCTGGAATACTCCTGGACAATGCTGCCCACCTCTGAATAAGCAGTGAAGTGCAACTGAGCCCTCACCTGTGCCACACACTGTGATGTGCACTTCGGTTGCACAAAGTAATTCTCAGAATATAGTTTCCAGACCAGCAATAGCAGCATTACCTAGGAGCTTGTTGGAAATGCAGAATCCCAGACCCCATCCCAGACCTACAAAATCAGAATATCTGAGGGTGGGACTCAGGAATCTGTGTTTTTGCAAAACCAACAAATGACTTTGATGCGTGCTTAAGTTTGAGAACCTATGAGTAAGTACATTTATTAACCCCATTTTACAGATGAGAAAACTAAGGTTAAGCAATTTGTCAAAAGTCATGGAGCTAGGATGGGGTATAGCCAGGACTGGATTTTTATTTTTTTAGAGATACAGCCTTGTTCTGTTACCCAGGCTGGAGTGCGGTGGTGTGATCAGAGCTCACTGCAGCCTCAAACTCCTGGGCTCAAGTGATCCTCCCACTTCAGCCCCCCAAGTAGCTGAGACTAGAGGAACATGCCATTATACCCAGTCAGTTAATTTTTAATTTTTTTCAGATGCGTCTCACTGTGTGGCCAGGCTGGTCTTGAACTCCTGGCCTCAAGCAATCCTCCCGCCTCAGCCTCCCAAAGTGCTGGGATTACAGGAGTGAGCCACCATGCCCAGCTGGGAGTAGAATTCTTAACCCCTTGATTTTACTTCGGCCTCCAACAGGCAGCAGGTCTGGTTCCAGATTGAGTAGGATCAGTCAACATAGGACTGGACTCTCACTCTCTCTCACTCTGCCCCGCTCCCATGATCCTTAAGATCCTTAGGTCCCTCCCTGTGCCAGCCCCAGGAGACCCTAAGAAGAGGAGAGTTCATCTCTTGGGTCTCCCTAAGCACTCAAGGTCCTTGGGGTGAAACCATGAGAGACAATGGTGTGCTGGTCAATGTCTAACAGGGGGCTATCCAGGAGAACAAGAGGCTCTGGTTTGTAGGGTTTGCCACTTTCTGCAGTGTAAATGCCCCCACTGCAGCCAACATCAAGCTACCAAACAGGACACTGCTGAGCAGAATAAATGTGCACGATCAGCGCACCATGGGACAAAGGCACAGTGTCACAGGAGGAGGAGGAAGGAGAGAAGGGGCTTTGGCAGCCTAGGACGCTGCAGAGACCCCAGCTCTCCCACCCACCCCACCTGCCCTGCCTAGGCTTTGCCCCTATGTTCCAAATATGTCAGAAACACAGAATTCACTCCAAGTGGCCCTTTGCTTATTGTTTCCTAGAACAAACGTCTCTTTCTTTCTGTAAAAGTTTCTGACATAAGTAATCCATGTACAACGTAGAAAACTAGGGAATACATGTGAGTTAAAATGAAGAAAGTAAAAGCACAACTTTCCAGTATGTAAATACATTGTTACAACATTAAAAACAGGTAGTGCTCTGTATTCCGCTTTTCTAACTCAGCAGTACCCAGTGAACATCCTTTCACATCAAAAACAGAGACCAAGGACCAGCCCGATGGCTCACACTTGCAATTCCAGGGTTTTGGGAGGCCAAGGTGGGAGGATCACTTGAGGCCAGGAGTTCGAGACCAGCCTAGGCAACATATCGAGATTCCGTCTCTACAGAAAAATAAAAAAAAAATTAGCTGGGCATGGTGGCATGCATGTGTAGTCGCAGCTACTCAGGAGGCTGAGGCAGGAGGATCACTTGAGCCCAGGAAGTCAAGGCTGCAGTGAGTTATGATGGCACCACTGCACTCTAGCCTGAGTGACACAGCCAGACCTTGTCTCAAAAAAATAAAAAATAAAAATAAACGGAGACCAACACTATTATCAATGATGGCCTGAGTCCCATCACAGGAGGCTCCAAATAACCAATATCCTGTTGCTGGATAGCCAGGCTATTTCCAGCTGTCTCCTCCTGTAAGAGAATCCACGCTGCAACACATGTATGGTCACAAGCCTGTTCGATAATATTCCTTAGGTCAGAAGCTTGATTGCTAGGACAAAGAGTGTACCCATTTTTAGGCTTTTGGGATACACTACCAGGAGGCATTTGGCTATTTCCTCCTTTAACAAGCACTGAGCACCTCTAGACTACCTAGAAGTCTGCGCTAGGTAGCATGAGAGAGATGAGAAAAGGAAGCTGGGTTTTGACCTTCAACCACTAGATGGTGAATCCACAGTGACAAGTGTTACCCATCACTGTGCCCCTTCAAGGGCTGGCACACAGGAGCTGAGTGAGTGAATGAATGAACAAACTACGGTATGCTGGAGGTTGCTAAATGCATCCCAAACTCAGAACAAGACAAAACCAAGTAGAGGACCTGGAGTGCAGACACAAGGGAGGGGCAGGGAGCTAGGGAAGGGGAAAGGCAGAGCTCAAGGTGGGGTCTCTGTCTCCATAGCCATAGCCCCAGAGCAGACTCAGGGGTGGGGAACCGGCCCAGGGCTAGGATGAGTTTCTTTTTTTTTTTTTTTTTTTTTTGACAGAGTCTCCCTCTGTCACCCAGGCTGGAGTGCAGTGGTGAGATCTCGACTCACTGCATCCTCCACCTCCCGGATTCAAGTGATTCTCCTGCCTCAGCCTCCCCAGTAACTGAGATTACAGATGCCCGCCACTACGCCCAGCTAATTTTGTATTTTTAGTAGAGATGGGGTTTCACCATGTTGGCTAGGCTGGTCTTGAACTCCTGACCTCAGGTGATCTGCCCATCTCGGCCTCCCAAAGTGCTGGGATTACAGGCCTGAGGCACTGCGCCCCGCCTTCAGATGAGTTTCTACTTCAATCAGAGTTAAAATTCTGATTTTTTTACACTAATATGCAAATCCCATTTTCAGGAAGAATGATAATTGTGGACAAAATCTTAAAAGTCCATGGGTCTCTTTTTTAATGTAAGCAAGTTTTCCTGCTCAAAAGTAAAGTTCAGAAAAAAATCTAATCAAATTGAATTTAACTAAGCAAAGAAATCAATACTAGAGGAAATCTAGGTAGCCTCGCCCCACCCAGTCTAGCATCACCTGGGATCCGGCTTATGAGGAGACCTGGGAACAGGCCCAGGGCTTCCAGCTTCTCATCCATGTCCCCAGAGTCAGCCTGACCACAGGCTACAAGGCCACCTCCTCTCCTGGTCAGAAACACTGACCAGAGCTCAAGGTCACCTCCTCCAAGAAGTCTTCTCCAGCCATGGACTGAAGTTAGTTCTCACCTGCAGCAGGGTGTAATTGAAGCAAGATGCCTTAGGATCAAATCCCAATCCACCATATTTTGCTGTGTGACTTGGGCAAATCAGGTAACACACCAACCCTGTGCACACCAACCCTGCAAGGTAGCTCTGAAGATCAAACAAGATGGTGTGTATAAAGTGCATGGTTCAGGACCCAATACCCAGTGCCTGGCAAATGGAAACCCTGATCCCACAGCTTTTTTTTTTTTTTTTTTTTTTGAGACAGAGTCTTACTTACTCTGTCCCCCAGGCTGGAGTGCAGTGGCCTGGTCTCGACTCATTGCAACCTCCACCTCCTGGGTTCAAGCAATTCTCCTGCCTCAGCCTCCCAAGTAGCTGGGATTACAGGTGCCCACCACCGCACCCAGCTAATTTTTGTATATTTAGTAGAGATGGGGTTTCACTATGCTGGCCAGAACTGGTCTCGAACTCCTGACCTCAGGTGATCCACCTGCCTCAGCCTCCCAAGATCCCACAGCATTATATGTTGCCCACAACCATACTCTCAGCCCCTTTAGGGAAAGTCTCTCCATCTCCTCTTTCTCCCACCTTCCAGTTCACTTGGCAGCAGACTGTGCACATCAGAGACACTAGAGACAACCATCACATACCTGTAGTGAGAACACACTGAGCCACCTCTTCACACGTTACCACGTTCATGCTGATACTCCCAATGGCCCTACAAAAGCAGGTACTCATCTTACAGGTGGAAAAACCAGGGGCTAAACTAATTTTTTTAAGTGGACCAAATTATGGAAGCAGAGGGAGATGGAGCCCAGATTTGAAGCTGGGTCTACATGGCTCTGAAGTTCACCAGGCCATCCTGCCTCTCTCGGCCCCTTCAAAACAAACAGTAATTAACTGGCCAAACTTCCCAGATTGCCTGTACCTTCTCAAAATAAGGCAAAGCTCGCCAGGCAGGTAAGGGTTGAAATGACTCCTTTTTTCTGAACCCTCCAGTGACCAGTCTGCAGAGGTCAGTATTGGGTGTGCCAGCCCACGTTGATCATAAACTCCACCTGTTGCTTGCTGTGTAACCTTGGGTAATGGACTCTTCGAGTCTTTATTTCCACATCTATAAAATGGGGATTTAAAAAATTCCATTTATTTTAAAGACAAAGTGAAATAACACAGGTAAAGATCTCAGCTTAGTGCCTGGCGTCCAACGAGCAACACGAAATAGGATGATTGCTTCTGTGCCCCCAGCCAGTCCATCCAGGGTTGCAATGTGTGCGGAAAATTCCCTTTCTGGGGAACCGCCTGCCTGGACCTTAACAGGGAGGGCCCCCGGCCTCCCGGGCTGCCCTCTCGTTTAATCCCATCTCTCCCTGAGGTTAATCTCCTCGTTCATACATGTATTTCATTTCATACAGTCATCTCTGCATGGTCTCGTTAACCAGAAACGTGCAGCATATAAACGTGGATTTACAATGGGGTCTGGCTCCTGCATCCTGTTTCGGGGGCAACACTGGGCTCTCGCCCACCAGCTGGGAAATGCTGATGGAAGGTGGTGGAGCGGGGGGCACCCCAGCCCCCCAGGGAGGGGCCACACAACAGCCCACACAACCGCCAGATGAAAGTGGCAGCCTGTACTTCAGGAACCTGACAGTGGGCACATCAGCCTGGGGCCCAGCCCCTCACTCAGGGTATGGTACAGAGGACCCACATCTGCCCAGGTCTGTTTGCTGTTTCGGGTGGAAAGGAAGAAGCAGGTAAGATCGGCACCCCACTCTCTTTCCTTCTTTCCACTTTCATTTGAAGAAAAAGCACTATAAAGTAGAAACTAATGTTTTTTTACAACCCCTTAACAGCTTGTCCTCTGTGCTAACATACTGTAAATAAATGTCAGTTCCTGGTTATACATGTGGTTTATTTTAAACACGAGCAGAGGAAACTGAGTCTGTCATTGAAAACTGATTTGTGTATGTATGACGTGTGTGTGTGTGCTTCCATCTGGTTCTGAACACACAGATCACCCATCCATCTCTCTTTTTACACATTGCTCTTCTTCCTCATACTTTTTTTGTGGTTAAAAAAAAAAAATGCACAGCAGGCCAGGCGCTGTGACTCACGCCTGTAATCCCAGCACTTTGGGAGGCCAAGGCAGGCAGATCACAAGGTCAGGAGTTCAAGACCAGCCTGGACAACATGGTGAAACCCCGTCTCTACTAAAAATACAAAAATCAGCTGGGTATGGTAGCGCACGTCTGTAATCCCAGCTACTGGGGAGGCTGAGGCAGGAGAATCGCTTGAACCCGGGAGGTAGAGGTTGCAGCGAGCCGAGATCGTGCCATTGCACTCCAGCCTGGAGGACAGAGCAAGACTCTGACTCCAAAAAAAAAAAAAAAGTGCACAGCATAAAATGTACCATTTTAGCAATGTTAAACATACACTACAGCAGTACTAACTCCACACACATTATCTTCCTTCTCTTTCATATTAAAAGCCCAAGCCAGGCCGGGGGCGGTGGCTCACGCCTGTAATTCCAGCACTTTGGGAGGCTGAGGCAGGCGGATCATGAGGTCAGGAGATCGAGACCATCCTGGCTAATGCGGTGAAACCCCATCTCTACTAAAAATACAAAAAATTAGCCGGGCGTGGTGGCGGGCACCTGTAGTCCTAGCTACTCGGGAGGCTGAGGCAGGAGAATGGCGTGAACCCGGGAGGCAGAGCTTGCAGTGAGTGGAGATAGCCCACTGCACTCCAGCCTAGGCGACAGAGCAATATTCCGTCTCAAAAAAAAAACAAAAAATACAAAATAAAAGCCCAAACCTTCCACAGAAACGAACTGTAATGTCTGGTTCCAAACACTTTTTCATTCCACAAAGACACCCCGGGGTAGGGGCAAGCACAATACTTCACGGCTTAAGGAGTTTGTATTTTTAATGTCTGATTTGGGAGGGGGACATTTCACTGGCACAGATGTGCTCCCGACTTGGCCCCATTGCCCACCCACCGTGGGGAGCTTGCATGTGGAAAAGGCCTTTGGGGGACCCCAGGCAGCTCCACCTGGCAGCTGGTCCCACCAAGGCAGGCCCTCCCTAATCCAAACCTGCCTGCCATCCCAAGACAACCCCAAAACCTTCACTAAGCATGCCAACCATCCCAGGGGCCGTGACAGGGTCTGCCTGGGCACAGGCTCCAGAGCAGCAACTCAGCCTCTCCACTGTCCCTGCCCCGGGGCTGGCAGGGACCTCCCCAGACAACTCCTGCCAGGAGGACACACCTCTGGCACTCAGAGTCACGGGATGCTTTTCTTCCCATCAACTCCCTGCTTTTTCTTACATTCCTTTTTTTCTAGCTTCTCCCTAAGCAGCGTTACTCAAGAAATCACACATTTGGTGTGCTAGTAACAATTTTTCTTTCTTTTTTTTTTTCTTTTATAGGGACAAAATCTTGCTCTGTCACCAAGGCTGGAGTGCAGTGGCTGCATCATAGCTAAGTGCAGCTTCGAGCTCCTGGGCTCAAACCATCCTCCCACCATAGCCTCCTGAGTAGCTGGGACTACAGATGTGCACTACCACACCTACCTAATTTTTTAATTTTTTGTAGAGACAGGGTTTTACCATGTTGTCTAGGCTGGTCTTGAACTCCTGGCCTCAAGCAATTCTCCTGCCTTGGCCCCTGGAAGCACTGGGATTACAGATGTGAGCCATTATGCCAGGCCCAATTTTTCTAATAGACAATAAAATAAACATAAGAAGTAACATGTTCCTAACAGATGAAGGAATAAATATATATAAGTATGAAGAAAAGAGAACCATTCACCTATCAGCCACCTGAATCCCACAAGCCTCCGGTGCAATGTCCCATTTTGGGGACAGTGGGCATGAGAAGTGCTGGGCACCTCTGATAAAGAGGTGCATGTCAGTTGTCCTAAATGGATCTCCGGGAACCCACTCAGCCCACTGGAGTTCAGCAAGGGCTGAGTGTTGCATGCCAAGGGCAGTGCTGGGCAGAGGACAGTGGGAGGGGCGGGGGACATGCTGGCTACACACTCTGGCAAGCAGTGAAGTACTCCCAAAACCTGTGGCTCATCCACCCCCCAGGGCCGTTAGCAGAGGGGTGGAGAGGGGTGGAAATCACGACAAGTGTGACTATTTCCCAAGTGCACCTGACCACCTGCCCCCATGGCCCAGGGACTCCAGCTGTGCATTCCCTACGCACACCAGACAGGGCCAGAGAGACCCACCAGGCTGCGGCAAGGCTCAGGGGAAGCCAAGCCAGAAGACACGGCCTCAGAAAGGTTCAGCAATGGGAAAGGATACCACTGAGGGCCAGAGCCCCTGGCAGGAGGCACGTCCCCGAGCAGGGGGCACACTGAGCCCTTCCTGCCCCAACCACATCTGTCTCATCCCATAGCCCTGCACGGCCCCACACTTGCCAGATGTGGCCACCCGTAGGGACCAAGTTCATTTTCCGCGTGTCCTGCGATAATACTTGGTTGTGTTTATTTAACTTTCTGCTTCGAATGGCGGAGAGATGGGCCAGGAAAATCAGTTTGGCTCCCTTCGATCAAAACATAGCGGCCCACACATAATGCGAGGACACCCACACAGAGAAGCTCTCCCACACCATCAGAAAAAGCACATCTGGTCCACGGCTGGCAGGGGCCGGCCCGGCCCTGGGGGCCCTTGGAAAAGCTGCCTCGTGCAAAGCGGCATAGGCTGCAGTGGTCCCATGCTCTGTGTGTCACCCACACTGCTATGCTCCAGCGGGCGGCAGCAGGTTCAATCTCCCCACCCAGGCAGAGAGGTCTCAGAGAAGCCTTGTGTTCCACTACACACAAGCCAGTGCAGCCTGTGTGTAGTGGAACTCACACCCAGGTCCTGCTGGTCCTGGAACCCCCAAGAAGGCGAGAGGGGGACTTTGGGGAAAAGGAGAATCCGAGAGAAAGGTCCCAGAGGCTCCGCTCTGCACCTGCGAGAACAGATGTGGCTGCCTCATCCTCCCATAGCAGACCACATGCTGGCTCCCAGAGGGGAGAGGTGGGGACCCCCGGGTGGGTTAGCACAGCTGGTAAAAGCATTCCTGCTCCCACTTCTGATGGCCTCCAAAGTGCCTCCACCAAGCCCTGAGGCATCTGAAGCCTGCTCCTGAGACTGGAAACAAAGACACCAGGGGGTCTGGGGCTGGAGGGTCCACCCGGGAGCTCTTAGCAGGACACCAGGGGAAGCCTTATGAACCGCATGAGAGTGAGAGCTCGCCCAGCTGTCAGGACCCAGGCCCCCAGCCTGCGCCCACCCATTTTTTCCTCCCACCCCCAGCTCCTTCCCTCGAGGACAGGGGCAACCATGTGTCAAAGGTCTGCCCAGGCCCCATTTCCTGCTGACAGCACCCCTTCCCCACTCTTTGGCCTGGGGATATGCACACTGAAGGCTTGGTCCACCCTTGGGAAGACAAACACAGGGAGAGGCCCCAGAGGTCCAGGGTGGTCTGGGGTCGGGGAGGCTGGGGGAGTCCTGGCACCTGGAGATAATCTAGAAGAAAGAACACGTTCCCAGACTCACAGACTCCTCACCCCAAAGAGGACAGCCAGAGAGGGGCCTCTGCCAGCCCCTTGCCCCCAGCCCTGCCACACACCCTTCTTACCTCCTGATGCTCCAAGCCATGCACCCACCTGCTCCCTTCCAGGCAACCACCTTCCTGTCTCAGGACCTCTGCCACTGCTGCTCTCATTACCCAAAACACCCCTGCCATGTTGGAGGCCCCCACCAGACCTCTGCTATCCAAGAGGCCTTCCCAGATCCCTGGATAAACAGACGCCTCCTTCTCTGGTCCCCATAATCCTCTCTGAGGGCCCGACTCAGCTGAGACCCCTGGGCGCATCAGGGTCCCCTATGCTGTGAGCTCCCTGAGGGACAGCCCCACCCTGTTCCTCCTCCTTGCCCCTCACTCCCAGCTCAGGGCCTCGTCTCCACAGACAACTGCCATGAGTTGATTAAAATGAATTCATCGCAAGCCCTTTGCTTTGTTACTTTTTTAATCTTCCAGATTATAGGAAAAATAAATAAATACAGGTGAGTACTCAGGGAAAAATAAAACCACCTATAATGCCCCTCTCGGAAATGCCATGGGTATTTGAGGGCAGTCGGCCCTACCGGACACTTTCTGTGCATTTACACTTTCTCTCCTTCAACACAAATGGGACCTGGGGCATGTCTGAGTGGTCTTGAGGCCCTCGGGGTGTGCAGGGCAGCGCTGAGAGTCCGGCCACAAGAAGTTCACGGGCCCACGAGGATGTGGCTAAGGAGGGGCATCAGGGTAATGGGGGGTCTTGAAACCACATCTTGGGAGGGGAAGTGAAGGAACTGATGCTGTTCAGCCCAGAGGGGCAGGCTCAGGGGGCCCTCAGAGCTGTCTTCAGGCATCTGAAGGGCTGTCACAGAGAAGACAGACTGCGCTGGCTGTGTGGCCTCAAGGGGTCAAACCGGGACCAACCAGTGGAAGGCACTACAGAAAGATTTCAAGAAGAAACAGATGGGACGATTTCAAGAAGAAACAGATGGGACGCTATCAGCAGAGGCAATGAGGGGAGGTCTGCTTGGGGGTAGTGAGGCTCCCGGCATGGGAGGGGACCAAGCAGCGGTAGAGAGACCCCCAAGAAAGTCAAGGCTCAGCTAGGAGAGGAGTTAGAGTTGGCCTTGATGGGATCTCAAATGATCGCAGGGGAAATAGGTAGGTACCAGAAATAAACACTGGGGGTGGAGGAGACAATGGCACCACTCTACCCCCAACCCAGCCCACGCTGCCACCCAGAGTGTGCTTAGCAGGGTCCCATTTTCTGGTTTCTCCAGGGAGGCCAGAGATCTGAATATTTATAGGAACCATTCCAATTTTAAGACAGGCTGACCAAACTTCTAGCAGTCCAAATACAGTCCTTGCACTGCAGGCTGCCGACCCCCTGGTCAGACAAGGAGCTCACAGGGCAAACGAGGCTACTGAAAGAAAAGGGAGCCATTTCCGGGCCCAGAAGAGCAGCCATCCCCGCAGGACTGGAATGGGTTAAAGTCTGAGTTGGCTCTCTGCTGCTCCAGGACTACAGCTGGCCTCCTACCCCCACCCCCGCCCCCAGAGGCCCTGTCAGCTGCCCAGGCCCCGCCTGACCGCCCGCCTCAGCCACCCAGCCTGGAACCCCAGATCTGGGAACAGGGCAGCTGCCCTGAGGCTGGCCAGCCACCGCCAGCCAGAAAGAGATTCCGTTCCCCATGCCCTGCTGAGAGCCATTTGCTCATCTGGGATGGATGCCACAGGGGCAGAGAAGCAGGCTCTGTCCCGCTCTCCTCTCCCCTTCCTCCTGCCCCTAGGCCTGTGACAGGGAGCAGACCTCTGGTGCCACCACAATCAAAACTCCGCTGAGCACCGGTGACTAGGCGGGGTGCTCCACACACAGAGCACTTGTGTCACCTTCCTAGGGATCCTGCAGGGAGTCCTCAACCATCCTCATTGCACAGGCAAGAAAACCTATACTCAGAGAGGTTAAGACACTTGCTCACGGTCACACAGCCAGCAAGTGGCAGAGCTGGGATTCAAATCCAGACCTATGCAATTTAAAATCCCACACCAAGCCACTGGGCTAGAGGGTCCTGGCTCTCCCACATCCACATTCCCCATCTACCTGGTTGTTTTCTAGAAGCTACAGGCACCTGCTGCCTGGCTGGCTATGAGAGGGGAGAGAGGGCATAGTCAACGCTACTGATAAAGGCTGGGATAAGGGGGCTGGGCATGGTGGCTCACGCCTGTAATCCCAGCACTCTAGGAGGCCAAAGTGGGTGGATCTTTGGAGGCCCAGGAGTTCAAGACCAGCCCAGGCAACATGATGAGCACATCTCTACAAAAAATACAAAAATTAGCCAGGTGTGGTGGCATGCGCTACTCAGGAGGCTAAGGTGGGAGGATCTCCTGAGCCTGTGAGTTCTAGGTTGTAGTGAGCTGTGATTGTGCCACTGCACTCCAGCCTGGGCAACAGCGTGAGATCCCATCTCAGAAAACCTAAATAAATGAATAAATAAAGTCCTGAAGCAGTACTGAAGTAGCTGATTTGGAATCATTTCTCACAGTCTGGAAAGTGAGAAAGGGTGAGGGGCTGTATGGTGTACTTCCATTTGTGTTGGGGAGGGGAGATAAATACACGAATTTTCATGTGTCTGAACACACGTAAATTGCCCTGGAACCAGACACAAGAAACTAGGACCAGCAGTGGCCTCCAGGGAGGACAGTGGGTGGCTGGGGGAGTTTCTAATTTTGCTCCTTGTGCATTCATTAGCAATTCGTGTGTTTAAAAGTGTGTGTGTGTTCTACTTAAACCCCCTGCCACACCACCAGGGGCACCCACACTTGCCTTGGGGTGCTGCATTTTTGCCTTCCCACCTTGGTCCACTCCCCTAGTTGTAGCCCTACTAGGCGGTGGGGCTTTGGGGAAGTTCTTGCTGCTCTCTCTCAACTCCCATTTCCCTGTGCGTATGAATGACATTAGACTGGACTTCCCCCAAATCCCCACCCACCCTGGTGCCCTACAGGTCTACCTTGGTGACTCCAACCCCACAGCCCAGAGCTGGCCTAACAGGCAACGGCGCACTTCACCCCCAGCCCACCCTGTGCCCCGACTCCAGGCAGCCAGAGCCTTCTGAGGTGGCAGGACAGGCCACCAGGAGAGCAGTGACAGCCAAGCAGACATGTTCATCCTCCAGGTATCCACTGCCCCAGCCTCGGATAACAGCAGCACCCCAATCGTGCCCTGAGGAACCGCCCCTAACCCTAACCTCAATGTGCCACCAGTCAAAATGCCCTGCCCTCCCCTGGGCCATGGCCCAGGCTCATGCTTGATCTGCCCAGGGATTGATCCTCAAGCAGAGCCACGCAGGAGACACGGGAGGTGACAAACTCCCGCCCCATGGCAGTTCCCGGAAGAGAACATCCATTCCCTCTCGCTCCCGCATCTCCAGAGCTGCCCCAAGGCCTCCATCTCTCTGTGCATTCACACTGTTGGCTCCCCCTTGGCCTCCTGTTAAAGTCTCTTTTGGCTTAAGTTGTCCAGAGTTGGCTTCTGTCACCTGCACCACTGAACCCTGCTGGACAGGAAACCAGCACAGTGGCCGAGACAGCAGCTGAGACCATGGAGATGGTCCTGCCATTGCAGCTGACTCAGAAGCCACCCAGGAAAGGCCAAAAGCTCTTTGGACAGGGGCCAGGGGTCCACATCCGCCCCCCAACTCCTATAAATGCCTTGGAGAACCGGGAGGCCCCAGGTGGGCTCCTGCAGAAGAAGCTGGAAAAAGAAAACAAGCAGCTCCTTCCTCAAGGACGTTAGCAGGATTTGCCGAACTCCCACTTTTTACTCCTGGAAAGCCCAGAGGACGCAGGAAGTGACAGTTCCAGGGAAGGCGTGAGGTCGAAGGCTGTGGGCTGCCAGGGTCCAAGAGCCAGGCCCTGAGGAGCCGGGGCTTCGGAGACAGAAGGCCCTGGGTCAAGGCCACAAGCCCAGCCCTCAGCAGCAGTGGGACTCCAGACGGGGCCTGTAATACTGAACCTTTTCAGGCATCACCTGTAAAATGGACATGATTCATCTGCCTTCCCGTGGGCTCTGGGGGGTGGGGGGATGACATCCCCGACATGTCCTGTGCCCAGGATAGACTGCACCTACCCTTTCCAACAATGGGGCAGGATCGGAGGGCAAGCAGGACAGGGGTGGGCTGTGCCAGGATAGACTGCACCTGCCCTTTCCAACAATGGGACAGGATCGGAGGGCAAGCGGGACAGGGGTGGGCTGTGCCAGGATAAACTGCACCTGCCTTTTCCAACAATGGGACAGGATCGGAGGGCAAGCAGGACAGGCATGGGCTGTGCTTTCTCAGGTGGGCAACTGAGGCTCAGACAGGAAACACGCTTGTTCCTGAGAAGTACAAAATTACTCCAATCCTCCAAGGTCCTCCTGAACAACCTAATCAATTGGCTTGCTATAAGATTTGTTCCAGAAAAGTTTTGCAAGCCACTATTGTAAAAAAAAAAAAAATTAATCCGCAATGAGTTTACAGCTCGACAGGCCTAGCACCCCATTTATCTACCTCATTCAAACCCAGGAGCATGACCCAAAACAGGGCTCTGATAGGGGTGAGCCTGGCATGTGAGCAGGGAGCCAGGAGGAGGTGGCATCCCCCACCCCAGGAGTGTGGATGGCCAGCAAGACGGAGGCGACAGGAGGCGGTCAGGTCTCTTCTGAAGCAGCCCCAGAGCACTGGCCATCTCAACTCTGCAGCGGGCATCTCTCCTGACCTCCTCTTTCCCACACGTGTGTCCTAGAATGCCACCTCCCAAGCCACGTCGGGGAGGGCAGCCTGCTGGTTAGGGCCTCAGGGTCTGGGATGAAACCAACCAGGCTCACAGCGGGGCTCGGCCGCTCATCAGCTGTGTGAACTTCGGCAAGTTACTCAGACTCTCAGAACTTGAGTTTCTTATCAGTAAAATGGGTCAAAGAGGGCCTACCTTAGTGGGAGAATAGGCTGCTCAGTAAATTTGGCCATTCTTATTAATAACACTATTATTTTCCCTTTCCTGCCCTGATACCCCCAGCTGCTCCACCAAAACGAACCAAAAAAAGCAGCCCCCTAAGCAGCAGCTGCACAAAGATCTCGATACGGGGTCAGGACAGGAAGTTATCTGGGAGTTCCCTAACTTTCCATGAGAAATCTAAGGCACAGACCTCATTCACAAGGGAAGTAGGGGGCCTGGCACCTGCTTCTGCTTCATCAGGCACAGTGGGAAACTGCCAACTCAGTCTAGTGCCCCACTGGACAGATGGGAAAGCTGAGGCACAGGGAAGTGGTATGACGGGTGCCAAGTCACACAGCAAACAGGAGGCAGGGCTGGTCCAGGAGCTCCAGGCAGACTCTGGCAGGGCAGCACTGCCCAGCTCTTTCAATCCTCGGAGTACTGGCAACCTTGAGGCCTTCAGGGCCAGCCAGGTAACATTAAAGGGTAAGGAAGGCTTGATGCACACAACAGGGAGTCATAGGTACGAGGAACAGAGCACGCAGGCTTGGGTATAAGCAGGCAGCACCAGCCCATCCTCACTGTACAGGAACTTGATCTCCTGATTGCTTTGAAGAACAGCTAGAAATCTGGATTTTTGTGCATACTTTCCTGAATTTTAAGTGTTACATTCTAATTCCAAACAAACAAAAAAAAAAAATATATATATATATATATATATATATATATATATTTTTTTTTTTTTTTTTTTTTTGAGACAAAGTCTCACTCTGTTGCCCAGGCTGGAGTGCAGTGGTACAATCTCAGCTCACCGCAAACTTCACCTCCCAGGCTCAGGCGATTCTCCTGCCTCAGCCTCCTGGGTAGCTGGAATTACAAGCGCCCGCCACTACGCCGGGCTAATTTTTGTATTTTTAGTGGAGGCAGGATTTCACCATGTTGGCCAGGCTGGTCTTGAACTCCTGGGCTCCCACGATCCACCTGCTTTGGCTTCCCAAAGTGCTGGGATTGCAGGCGTGAGCCACTGTGCCTAGCCAAAAACAAATTTTAATCCTGAGCAGCCAAGAAAACAAAATGATCCTGACACTGGATGCGCTCCTCGGGTTCCCAGACTGCAACCTTCCCCCAGGATTTCAAAGCAGGTCCTGAGTATTTTTGTTTGTTTGTTTTGTCATTGAGCTAAAATGACATGAGAGGTGCTTGGAAAGTACTTTTCCCTATAAAGCAATGTCTTGCCCAGGTGACTAAAATTCCACCATTAGCTACTAATTCCTTTTAGTCAAACAGTGCTCTCCCTGGATATTCTTTTAAAAAGAAGATTCAGGCAGGATGCAGTGGTTCATGCCTGTAATCCCAACATTTTGGAAGACTGAGGAAGGAGGATTGCCTGAGCCCAGGAGTTGCCAGCCTAAGCAACATAGTGAGGCCCCATCTCTACTAAAAATTTAAAAATTAGCCAGGCATGGTGGCACGCACCTGTAGTCCCAGCTACTGGGGAGGCTGAGGTGGGAGGATTGCTTGAGCCTGGGAGGTTGAGGCTGCAGTGAGCTATAATCATGCCACTGCACTCCAGCCTGGGTGACAGAGCGAGACCCTGTCTCAAAAAAAAGGAAGATTCCAAAGCGTTTATTGTAAATGTCTTAGTCTAGAGGAGAGGCCTAAGCAATGCTTCAGTCCTGGAAAAACAAAGTAATAATAATAACAATAACGGTAGCAATAACTAACCTATACTGAGCAATCAGTATGCTCAAGGCACCATCCCAAGTACTGAGGACACAGTTGACTGCAAAGGCTTTTGAGAGGGTGAAGAAAAGCATGTGTCTATTTTAGATAAGAAGCTGCTAATATCTCCCCAAAATACCACTCCCAAGGCTGAGATCAGACACTTGGTGTCTTTCCAGCAGAGAAGCATCGCCACATTTGCCATCTCGAAATAAGTCTGGCATCTTCCATGGACAAAACTTTTGGCTGCCAAGTAGCTGGGGCACGCCTGAGGCTCTGGCCACCTGACGTCCTAGAGGGAGGGCCTTGCACGGAGTCCTAGCAGCGGAGAGGGGAGAGCAGGGGGAGGCAGGGGAAAGTTTACCTCGACACTTTTCCCTAAAATGCTGATCTTAGGTCTAGACAACAGAAAAGATGCTGCTAAAATTACTATGAAGTCTTTCCCCAAAAGGCATTTGGTTACATCTGATTTTAACGTGCACTTGCAGAAGTCCACTCTCTGGGCCCATCCTGGGCTTCCAGATGAGGGTCTGGAAAGGGCCCCTGAGATTATAAACCCAATAAAAGAGACGCAGAGGCCTGGGGAGGACTTTCCAGGAAGGAAATGCAGAGCAGCAACAGGAACACAGGTCCCATCAGACCAGGGTGCGGGTCCAGAGCCACACAGAACGCCTGATACCGCCTTAGCCTGATTGAGGACAGCTGGGGAGAGTGGTGCTGGGCAGGAGGTGCTCAGGCAGAGCTGAGACCCTGAAGGTAGGAGAAATGGGGACAGTGCAGTTAGAGAACAAAGAAAACTCAGTAAGAAACAAGACCACCATGTCACTTATCCCAGGGTTTCTGTTGTGCACATGCATGCTTTGTCCATGCAGTTTGAGTCTATCCATCTTTTGACCCTACTAGATGAGTGTGTCGCAAGGTGTGGTTAGCTCCATTTTATCAATGAAGAGAATACGAGGCCCAGAGAGGTTAAGACACCATTTCAGGATCACACAGCTGCAGTACCAGGCCTCCAACCCGCCAGTTCACAAATGCTCCATCTCTTCGCTCCAACATTCTGACCTTTTTTGAGTTCGTCAACTGTGCCAAGCCCTCCCCACTGCTGGGCATGGTGAGCTGTATTCCATCACCACCAAAGGCCCATCCAGTGCCAGGCCTGCCATGGTCACCTCGCTACTCATGTCTCAGTCACAGCTCATCAGTCCTTTTTCTCAGAAGGCTTCTGTGCAGTTGAAATCTAATTCCCCTACTCCTTGATGCACCGCCCCCCAGAATGGATCGCATGATAGCATCACACCCACACCTACCTTTCCTAGAGCAAAGCCATATAAAAATACCTGGAGGGATTGCTGAAACTCAGATGCCCGGGCGCCCACAGAGATTCTGACTCAGCAGAACCTGGATAGGGCCCGGGGATCTGCATTGCTACCAAGTTCCCAGGTGAGGCTGACCCCATGCTGTCCAATACAGTCGCTACTACCCTCATGTGAGTATTTAAATAAAAATTAACCAAAAGTAAATCAAACTGGGCATGGTGGTGCATGCATATAGTCCCAGCTACTCGGGAGGCTGAGGCAGCAGGATCACTGGAGCCCAGGAGTTCAAGTCTATAGTGCGCTGTGACTGCACCTGTGTATAGACACTGCACTCCAGCCTGGGCAACACAGAGATACCCCATGTCTAAAAATAAATAAAAAAGAACTGGGTGCAGTGGCTCTCACCTGTAATCCCAGCTACTCTGGAGGCTGATGTGGGAGGATCCCTTGAGGCTAAGAGTTCAAGACCTACCTGGGCAAAATAGAGAGATCTCATCTCTTAAAATATAAAAATAAATTAGCTGAGTGTGATGGTGAACGCCTGTAGTCCCAGCTACTCCAGAGGCTGAGATGAGAGGATCACTTGAGCCCAGGAGTTCAAAACTACAATGAGCTGTAACCATGCCAGTGTACTCCAGCTTGGGCAACAGGGCAAGACCCTGTCTCTAAAAAAATAATAATAATAAATACATATTGTTAAAATAAATATTTTTAATTTTTTTAACTAAATCAAATTTAAAATGGCAGCTCTGGCCGGGTGCAGTGGCTCATGCCTGTAATCCCAGCTCTTTGGGAGGCTGAGGCCGGTGGATTACGAGGTCAAGAGATAGAGACCATCCTGGCCAAATGGTGAAACCCCGTCTCTACTAAAAATACAAAAAAATTAGCCGGGCGTGGTAGTGGGTGCCTGTAGTCCTAGCTACTCGGGAGGCTGAGGCAGAATGGCGTGAACCCGGGAGGCGGAGCTTGCAGTGAGCAGAGATCGTGCCACTGCACTCCAGCCTGGGTGACAGAGTGAGATTCCGTCTCAAAAAAAAAAAAAAAAAAAATGGCAGTTCCTCAGTCCCACTAGCCAGGTTTCAAATGCTCAAAACCCATATGTGGCTAGTGGCTACCATATTGGACAGTACAGATATAGAATATTTCCATCTTCACCAAAAGGTCTATTGGACAGCACTGGTCTAGACTCTAGAGCACATGTTACTGTTAGTAATCATAGGCTCATCCACGAGTATCTTTTTTTTTGAGACAGAATCTCACTCTGTCACCCAGGCTGGAGTGCAGTGATGTGATCTCAGCTCACTGCAACCTCCGCCTCCTAGGTTCAAGCGATTCTCCCTGCCTCAGCCTCCCAAGTAGCTGGGATTACAGGCACCCACCACTTTGCCTGGCTAATTTTTGTATTTTTAGTAGAGACAGTGTTTCACCATGTTGGCCGGGCTGGTCTCAAACTCCTGACCTCAGGTGATCCACCCGCCTTGGCCTCCCAAAGTGCTAGATTACAGGAATGAGCCCATCCATGAGTATCTGATTACAGATGGTCCCTGACTTAAAGTGTTTAGACGTGCAATGGTTCAACCTCACAATGGTATGAAAGCAACACACATTTAGTAGAAACTGTACTTCAGTACAGTACTCAATAAATTACATGAGATATTCTTCCCTTTATTATAAAATAGGCTTTGTGTTAGATTAGTTTGCCCAACTGTAGGCTAATGTAGGTGTTCCAAGTATGTTAAGATAAGCTCGCTAAGCCCTGATGTTTGTAGGTTAGGAGTATTATTAAAGGTATATTTGTTGAATAGGTGGATGGATGGATGGATGGATGGATGGATGGATGGATGGATGGATGCATGGATGGATGGGTGGATGGATGAATGGATGGACAGATGGATGGACAGACGGACGGACGGACAGACAGATGAATGGAAGGATGGACAGTGAGCTGAATGGCAAGAACTCCGAAAGGGGCAGAGACTCCCAGTGGCCTAACTCCTCTTGAAGGCAGACCCCCTACCTCCCTTGATTGACCTGCTAGAGCATGAACCCTCTGCTTAATCCCATAGCCCCTGCCCCAAGATATGAGCAGCAGAGGAATATCCGCTAGGCCTTGGATAACCATGTCCTGCTTAACCAAGAGGAAGCTCTGTTGGAAAAGAAAGTCAATGCTAAAATGCCTTTACTATTTTCAGTTCTTGGATACCTAGCAAACAAGAGCTGACAATCTGACTTTAATAGCTCCAGTTCTGAGTGTCTTAAAGACATTTCTTTCCAACTAAGTAACCCAAATAAATTTAGCTACATTTTTTTAATAAGGAGAAATAATTAAAGAACAGATGGTGTTGCTTACTTTGAAATTTTTGCTCTAAAATAGATTTTGTGTGCACCTTGGTTGGAGTTCAACTCTCCCCCTCCCCCTTGCATTCGTGTGTCAGGAAAGGAGATCAGTTCACTAATTACCTGGCTGTCTTTTCCCTACAAGATCCCAATTTAAGAATCTCGTTTCATTCTAAGAAAATTAATTCAAAATGCCAAATAATTTAAAAATGTATTAAGATTCCCCTTAGACTAGAAAGCAAAAAGGAGCTTTCATTTGTCTGTTAAAAATCACCTTGGGTAGTAGATTGAAGTTTAGCTCTTAAGACTTGATCCCCACAATTGGGCTTTTGGCAAAAGCTATGGGTTCCATATGTCCACAAAATGTTTCATTTAAAATATATGTGCTTTTAAATTGGTCTCTGACCATTTCTATGCCACAGTCTCTAACTGCTCCACGCATTTTCCCAACCCTTGGAGCCTTGTTCGCCTCGGAAGCTAGACTCTTTTATTTGCATTGGAGGTAACCTATTTCCAGCATGCCAAAACCTGTTCACTTTCAAAGCCACTTTTGGAGATTTTATAGCCTGAAATGGAATAAAATTTAAATTTAATAAAATTTGAGACCTGAACAAGAAAAAAAAGAAAAACTGAACGGGTTTAAAAGCCAGCTACCCAGACGCGGAGGAAAATATTCTAAGAAAACCCCACAGGGTGGTGGGGCGGGGGCAGGGGCGGGGGGCGATGGGGAGCCAGACCATGGATAGCCTGCCAAATGTCATCTGGGGCTGGCTTTAGAAGAGAACCAGAGCTGGGGAGGCAATGCAATTATTTAAATCCAGAAAGAAAAATGTTTGCTCCCAAATTTGGCAGCAGATGATTGCCTCTGATTCTTCCCATTTCCAACTGATTCCATGCAAGCTTAAGTGGAGGAAGCTTCAGGCCCAGAAGAACGCACAGGATGAGGGTCCCACACCTGGGCTCGAGGCGTGGTCTGCAAAGTGAAAAGTCCTGCTCTGTGACCAGATGAACGGAGGGTCTCACTCTAAGGCCTTCAGGGGTGGCAAAGCACATTTTTCTTTAAACCACAGGTTGTAACAAGAAGAGATTTCTCTCTTCCTTTGTTTCTCCCTGTCTCTGCCTTTGTCCCTGCCTGGCAGCCCCCTCCTCTGCCCCTGCTGCTCTCTTTTTCCCTCCCCCGGTGTGTGCGAAGGCCGAGCCTGGCTGTCACTCAGGCCCTTCTGTGGGCCCAGGGAAGGAGGCCACACGGGGCTCCCCAGGCCTCAGGGTATTTATTACCACCCCCGACAGCCCAGACCCTCTGCAGCCTCCAAGGCTGTGCTCAAAGGCGGTGAGGTCTGCTGTGCACAACCATGAAAGGGCCTCTGGGGGATGCATTCAATGCCTCCAGTTGGGTCTTCCTCTCTCTCCCGGAGAAGGTTCAATCACTTCCACATCCCTATCCTGCTAGAGGAAAGAGCTGGGAAAGCCGAAGATGAGTAAGAAGAAACACTCCAGCAGTCCCTGGTTGGCTGGTGAATTCCAACAGCACGTGGGCAGGATCTCCTGATACAGGAGACTGTGGGAGTATTTGGGCTGAAATGACAACCCGTTTGCCTAAGTCACCCCCGCAGGAATTTTTTTTTTTTTTTTCTGAAATGGAGTCTCTCTCTGTTGCCCAGGCTGGAGTGCAGTGGCGTGATTTCAGCTTGCTGTGACCTCCGCCTCCCAGGTTCAAGTGATTCTCACGCCTCAGCCTCCCAAGTAGCTGGGATTACAGGTGCCCACCACCACGCCTGGCTAATTTTTGTGTTTTTAGTAGAGACAGGGAGTCATCATGTTGGCCAAGTTGGTCTCGAACTCCTGACCTCAGGCGATCCACCTGCCTCAACCTCCCAAAATGTTGGGATTACAGGCATGAGCCACCACATCCGGCCCCCTGCAGGAATTTTTAAATCCAAGTTAGATGGGGTCAAGATGATGTTGCTCCTTCATCCTCCCCAGGCAAGGCCCCTAGCTGAGTCAGAAGGGATGAGACCCACATTGTCCAAGAGAACTAAGCTCTAGTTCGAGCTCCTTCTGTCTGCCTACTTCCCTTGCCCCACCCCTCAGCCCAAGGCCTCCCCTGCTCACCCCTCTTCTTATGCATCCATGTCTTTCTTCTTTTACAGGGTAAAATCCATCCTTCTCCAGGAAGTTTTCCTGGGGGAATAAATACAAAATTTCTTATTGCAGGCTAGTAAGCATGTGCAATCTCCTGGTGAAATAACACTTGTATACCCATTTGACAGATGAGCAAACTGAGGCTCAGACTACTTAACGACTTGCCCAGGTAGTCATCTACGCAGCCAGGATTTAACTGCTTTTCCAGATACACAAGTGAATTTTCAAAGCCTCTGGATGGCTGATCCCCTGTCTTGAGCAAGGTCCTTCCCTGGGGTATGGCCCAGAGGTCAGGATAGGAGGCCCTAAGGCATCCTCACCTTCTCTTCAGACCACCCTGGTGACTAATGACTCTGGGCAAAGCAGAGAGGCCCGAGTCGGGGACAAGGCCTGTGATCGACCTTGAACTTAAGAAGCTCCAAGCTCTCACCAGCGATGCTAATGGGCCAGGAGTAACCTGAGCCAGCCCTTGGATGGAAACTCAAGCCATTATGCCTGGCTGGCCTGCTGGTCGGCTGGCATCACTACCTGGACAGAAGCCTCACTTCTCCATTTCACGGGGCTTCTGTTCAGAGCAACCTTTTCTCTTGCAACAACAAAACAGCTCCCATTTATCAATCACTGACTAAGTGCCAGACACTCTGCTAAGCACTTTACACACATTATCTTGTTTAATCTTCACAGCTGTGCAGAAAAAAACGAGTGTTAATGCTGCATCACAGGCAAGGAAACTGAGGCTCAGAGAGGATAAGGAAGTTGCTCGAGGGTGCACAGCTAGCTGGTAAGCTCAAAGCTGGTGTCTGAACAGGCCTGTGTTCCTAACCAGAGTCCTATGCTGCCCTTGGAAGGAGATTCTTGCTTGAGATTATGGATAATTTGTTTTAATATTTTTTCAAAATGCTCTGCAACATTCCGAAAGGGAAAGAAAAAAGTTATAACTTGTTGGGGGAAAAAAAAAGGAGAAGAAGGAGGCAGAGGAGACAGTAAGAGGAAGGTTGGGTAATCTGCGAAGTTACCGTGATATGTGGAGGGAAAATACACACACACACATACACACTTGCACATGTACACACACCAACAGGCTTCATCTGTCATGTATCTGGGATTTTGTGTTAAAGGGGCCGGGCACAGTGACTGACACCTGTAATCCCATGGGAAGACAGAGGTAGGAGGATCACTTGAGCTCAGGAGTCCGAGACCAGCCTGGGCAATATAGTGAGACCTCTCTACAAAAAAAAATAAAAATTTGGTACACACCTGTAGTCCCAAGCTGCTCAGGAGGCTGTGGGAAGATCGCTTGAGCCCAGAAAGTGGAGATTACAGTGAGCCATATAATGCCACGGCACTCCAGCCTCGATGACAGAGTGATAACATCTCAAAAAAAATTTTTTTTTAATCCAAAAGGGTAGTTTTTCTCATCTAGGGTTTAGATTATTAGTGTCAAAACTGGGGGGGAATGTCCCAAAATAAATTATTCCCTATCATGCTTCTAAGCTACCCAAGAGACTTCTAAGCCCACAGCCAGGCATTGCGTCTCCAGCCAGACACTGCACACGCTTCCTCAGAGTCCTCCCAGCAGTCCCAAAGGTAGAGATTAGAGCCCCCCTGTCACAGGTAGGGACCCTGAGCCTCACAGAGAGTAAGGTACAGGCCCATGGTTCCTCAGGTGACAAGAGACAGAGCCAGGTTTTGAACCCAGGTCAGCCTGCTTCCAAAGCACTTCCACCCTGCTTGCAACTTCCAATCATGCCAATACCAAGTTGGGGGTGGGGGAGGTGTGCTGTTGCTAAGTGGTCTCAGGCCAGGAGAGAGAGCTACAGAGATGCTACACAGAGCCTGAGTGGCAGGAGAGTGGCACTCAAATCCTCAGCTCTGGCCAGATTTCAGGAAGGCAGGAGCACTGGGTGGGGAGCCAGGAGACCTGGGCACCACCAGAGCTCCAAGATAAACTTGGGCGAGTCACTTCCCATCTCCAAGCCTTTCTAAGCCTCAAATGCCATTTTCCTGCAGAACAGGAGCTTTTCTGGGTCTCACTCCAGAAGGAAACCTGACCCCTTGCTTTCCCTTCCTGGACCCCGCCTCTCCACCAAATGCCACGCTGCCCAGAAAAGGACGAGATTCCAGGGTGCCCCGTAAGCAGAGGCCCTGAGAATCCAATGGGCGGGCACCTCCACCCACCAGCAGCTGCCCTCCTCTCTGATGCAAAAGAAACTCGTGGGCTGGTTTTTAAGACTCGAAATAAAGTTTAAATATTACGTGGAAATTACTAAACAAATCAAATCACTGTTAAGTAGATGTCACAGGCTTCCTCTAGACAATACATTTAATGAAGATTATTGTCCTCCTGGTTATAGTTTTAGATTTGCATTTTATTATCAGAGAACCACTTATGCATTACTCCAGGATTTTCATTAGGTAAATAAATTTTTATGTGGATTTCATTATATTCCCTTGGCTGAAATCCTGATCACTTAACAGCAAGAATGCTGCTCCGACATCCTGTGTGTCAATCAGGATGTAACTGTTTCCTTTGGTTGTTGAAAATTACTTTTTAAAAAATCTGGTGTTGATGGCAAAAGGAAGAGAGATAGGGTCAGAACTCTGGGTAGGTTTTGTGTCCAGTTCTTTCACTGAAACATACACACACCCTAAAAAGAAATTTTCTATTTAAAAATAACACATGTAATTTTACATACATGGGATATATAAGCTCCCATTCTCTCTTTCTCTCCATACATATATATAATATATACTTTTTTTTTTCCTGGTGTCACTTTGGCCTCTCAGATGTAAACTGACACAATGGCACCGGGTCTAACAGGACTGAGGTGCAGGTCAGTACCAGAGAAATAAAGTTGAAAGAAACAAGCTTGGAAGAAGCAGGAAGGAAGGCAGTGGGGGAGACATTCCTGGAAAGGCAGCCATCAGCAAGAAAAAAAAAATCTTTTCTAAGAAGTCTAATATGAAGCAATTAAGCTAATTGGAATCTAGATTGTAGTGGGTGCCTCCGGAAACTTGAGACCAGGGGACTCTCTTGCTGGAAAAATCACACCTCAATATCAATGAGCGAGGGCGTGAATGAACGAAGTGGTCAGAAACAGACCATAACATCCAGACCTAATCCATCCAGCCCCCTAAGACACAGGCGGTTCCAGGCCCTTTCCGAGGGACCAACAAGGTTTCAGAAGAATGTACTAATAATAAAATCTCTTGCTTATTGAAAAGGGCTGGCCAGGTGTGGTGGCTCACGCCTATAATCCCATTACTTTCGGAGGCCAAGACAGGTGGATCTCTTGACCCCAGGAGTTCGAGACCAGCCTAGGCAACATAGTGAAACCTCCATCTGTACAAAAAATACAAAAATTAGCCAGGTGTGGTGGCATGCACCTGTAGTCCCAGCTCCTCAAGAGGCTGAGGCCAGAGGACTGCTTGAGCCCGGGAGGTCGAGGCTTCAGTGAGCGGAGATTGTACCACTGCACTCCAGCCTGAGTGAAAGAGCAAGACCCTGTCTCAAAAAATAAAAAAGAAAGGGCTGTCACATGCCAGGGATGGGCTTTGATGTGCATTATTACATCTGTCTCTGGTCAATCCAGCCCAGAGGACTCAAAGAGAACCTTCCAAGATGCCTTTCTTAAGAGCAAATGAGAGAGGCAAAGCTCTCAACATGGCCAGGGCACGCAGCAGCAGGGGCTACCCAAAATGCAGTTAAGGGGAAGGGGAACAAGTCAGGCTGGATTGATTCATGGCATCTTCAACCTTAACTCCTGCCCAGAGCCAGGACTCTGATGTTGAGGTCCCAGTCCCTAACCACCTGTGTGATTGGGGAAGGTCATTACCCTCCCTAACCCTGTTCCTTGCCTGTGATAATAAGAATAACAGCACCAACCTCATAGAGTTGCTGTGAGAATCGAAAGAACTGAATAGGGACTGCTTATGTCTAGTGCCTGGGACGCAGGAAGGAATCAATACATGTTCACCATTACAGGGAATGTTTTCTACACAGAACTATCAGCCTGAAAGTGAGTCACTTTCCGACAGTTCTTTCCAGCTGTTGATGACTTACCAAAACTACCTGGACTCCAATTCCAAGTTCTTTAAGGACGCAACAAAACCTCCTTAATCTTCGATCCCAAAATTAGTCACCTGTGATACTCAAGTAGGGGTTTGACTAAGCATTTCTCTCTGACCTTTGAAAAGGCCACTGGGGAAGAAAGCAAAGGGACATGATAAAATGAGGATGCCTGAAAGGAGGGTCCCCGCTGCAACAGTGGTCCTCTTCAGGGGGACATTCCGGAGGGTTTGATTTTCTTCTCTATAGTTTTGTGTAGTATTCTTATCTGCTGCAATTGAGCAAGTATTGCAACATTTTAAGGACTTTACCATTCTGTGAAGGAAAAGATATTAAAAAATATAATTGCCAAGCAGCTCAGAAACATCTTCCGCATAAAATAAAAGAGATACATCTCCCGGCCCAGGTCAGCCATCTGACCTCATCACCCACTTCTCCCGATCACCTGCTCGCTCCAGCCTCCAGCCACAGAGCAGGCCCCCGCCTCATCCCTCCTCAAACACACCAGACAGTCTTCACCAGTTCCCCCACCCCTCATCCTTCCTTGTCTTCCTGAGCCCTCGTCTCTGACAAACTGTATACATTTCACTTCCTTGTCTGGTTACCAACAACAACAAGCAGAACATCAGCTCCAGGAGGGCAGGGGTTTGGATGTTTCTCACTGCAGCAGCAAGAACCCTACCTAGTCTGGGACACGACAGACGCTCAGTAATACTTGATTGGATGGAAGAATGAATGAATGAACAGCTAACTTTTTTTTTTTTTGAGTTGGGGTCTCATTCTATCTCCCAGGCTGGAGTGTAGCGGCTCAATCATAGTTTACTGAAGCCTTGAGCTCCTGGGCTCCGGCAATTCTCTCACCTCAGCCTCTCGAGTAGCTGGGACTACAGGCATGTGCCACCACGCCAGGCTAATTTTTGCATTTTTATGTTTTGTAGCAATAGGGTCTATGTTGCCTGGGCTGGTCTCACACTTCAGGCTTCAAACAATCCTACTGCCTCGGCCTCCGGAAAAATTGTTATGTTGCCTTTTTTTTTCAGTGGGGGTAGAGAAAGAGCTATTCCATTCTTTTTCTGGGGGTAGAATATCCCCTAACCCTGGGATTATAGGCGTGAGCCACCATGCCCAGTCTGAATGATTAACTTGAAATCACTCTTACACATTTATTAAAGCAGCCCCAAGAATCTCTTTTTACACACTTTCTTAGTGACCCTAGTATGAACTGCTAAAAGAACTTCCTGGAAGTACAAGTGCAAGCCATTTCGTTGACTCTTCTCCGATTCAGACTTTTCACGAAATTCACAGTGGCCTCCTGCCCAAAGAGCACCACCAGATGGCCCATCTCCAGGGTCCTGACCCCACATTCCAAATTCAGGCATTTTTCTTGAAGAGCATTTATCACTCAATCAAGCCACCCACCCTGCCAACCCTGAATAACACCACTTACGGGAGGCTCAGCCATCGCTGCTTAGAATCTCACTTGTCCTCAAATATCTCCTGTTTATCTTGGTAACAGTCTACATGAATAGTCCGTTTGTTGGAAGAACATAATATTTTCCTTGGCTTTTAGGCAACAGTCTGGCAAATGAGCATTTCCCCATGTAACTTGTGATGGCTTTATGCGAGCAGTTAATTAGAATTACACAGACATGTTTATAGAAGTTTAAATGAAGCATAGTTCGAGTTTGTGAAAATATATATAATTACTCACACCGACACTTCCCACTGAAAAAGAAAAGGCAACATAACATAAGCAAGTTCCCTAAAAGCAACAGCAGGGGCCTAGAAAAGACTCCGCCAGCTTAAACAGCTCCACTTTGAGGGACTTGGGGAGACCAAACCCTGTTGGGGAACCCACAGACCCACCACCAAATGCTTTGCTCATTAGACTCACACTGCAGCCAACAAATTCCCCAAAGAGCCCCTGGGCGGGCGCCATGCTCCAGGCGAGTCCTGTGTGGATCCTTGTACATACACTACAGTCCCGCCCACGCACACGCAGAAAGGCCATCATCTGTCCCACAACCGGCTATGGAGGAGAGGTCTGGAGACCCAGGGAGGCTCTTTCTCTACCCCCAGGGAGAATGAACCGTATTTTTGGCAGGCTGAGGACTCAAATTAGGGAGGCTTCATGGCAGGCTGGCCTGTGGCCTTCAAGACCCTTTCTAGCCTGGTTCCACTCGCCTCCTGGTCTGATCCCTGCTCCCGCTGGGCCCTCATTCACCCTCCAATGTTGCCAACCCAGCCAGAGCAAGCCGTTTTCTCCTCTATCCCCAGTCCCACACCAACAATGCAGCAGCACCCATATCATGTGGCTGTCCCCAGACCCACGTCATCTGAGCCCTGGGGATGGTCAAGCCGGCTATTCCAGGCAGTTACTCAGATTGCTTGTTAAACTTGAAGGAATCACAGCCAACTCTTTCCACCTCTGTGTTGTGTAGAATGACCAACTGGCTCCCAGATCAGCCTTACAATCTGGCATTGGCAATCCTCACAACGGAACTGCTTTCCCAGGAGTGGGCTGGGCTAGATACCCCTGAAATGGAAGGATCCCACTATCTCATGGACAGAGGGAGTCCCCAGCAGTGTAAACGAGCCCTCCTTCTTTGAGCCCGAGAGTTGGAGGTGGCAGTGAGCTATGATCACACCACTGCATTCCAGCATGAGTGACAAAGTGACACCCTGTCTCTAAATAAAAATGCAAAAATAAAAACTGTCCTGGAGCAAAGTGACCAAACCTGTGCAGAAAGGGTCAGATCCAGATGTCCAGACCAGCATCCATGTTGCCCCCTGGCTTCAGCGGGCACCTACCAGCCAGGAAGGCGGCTGAACTGTGTCCAGACTCCCTTCCTCAGCCCACTCCGCTGCACAGGTTCACCACTGCATGCCCTACCTCCAGATTGGATTTTTTCACAGAAGTGGCCCTTGGAGAAGCCCTGCCAGCAATCCCAACACTGTCAAGAGAAGTCAGCTCCATGGGCTCATGGAGAAGTTCTTGTTCTTCCTCAAAGAACAAGAAGAAATGTGGGGGCTCCAGTGGAGAGGAGGACAGAAACAGGAAAAAAGAGACAGGAATTCAGGTAAGATGGGGGACAAGCGGCTCCTTCATTCAGTCAATATCTCCTAAATGCCAACTACATGCCAGGCACTGTGAATCCCTTCTCCATCCCACTAACCCTTTCTCCTGAAGCCTAGGGACACAAGAGTGGGCAAGTCAAACCTGGCCCCTGTCCGGGGACAGTCGAGCGGCCACTGAGGAAGGAACTGTAAACAAGTGAATACATCAATAAATTCCTACTGAGAACAACTCACATGACATTAAAAAGAGCAAGAGAGAGACAGTAACAGCAGTGGGCCCACTTTGGGAGAAGGGTCAGGGAAGGCCGCGCAGAAGAGGTGACATTGAACCTGAGTCCAGAAGAAGGAGAAGGAGCCAGGCAGGCTAGTACAGAGGAAGAGTCTCAGTCACGGGGAAAGCCATGCAGAGGAAAGAACGGCACAGTCCTAGGACATGAGTTGAGGCCGGGGGACTGATGAGATGTGAGGGAGAGCTCCCATGACATGAGGGAGATGCTCCGGAACCTTGCATGGGAAGAGACAGCCGCTCACACAAGCTCCCCCAGACAGTGCTGGGTGCTCCCCAGCAGCCTTTCCCCCTCCTTCTTTCTTGCTGGCCTAATTCAAATTTTGCTTGAACATCCCCAGATTCACTAACTCCAAAGGGAGCTCCGTATGTTGGCCTGAGATTGGTGCAGGATGTTCAAGGGATGCCGTTGTCAACACAGTGAGATACAAGGGAGGGAACATGGGGACATTTAGGAGAGGTATCTTTCCCCTAAAGACAGGCCTGTGTCAGGGAGCTTCTCTCTCCTGGTCTTTGGACACTGATGTGTCGGGGGGTGATGTCTGGCACCACAGCAGCCATTTCTTCATCATGAGGAGACAAATCCGAGGGCACCAGCCAATGAGTTGAGCAGGACAGAGCATAAAGACAGAAGGCAGCTCGATCTCTGCTGACAGTACTGAGCTGCTCAGCTAAGTTCTCTGCAGCCACACTCCTCCACACTTCTCATCCTAGGAGATCTCACAGCCCCTCATGCTTGAGCTTTTCCGAACTTGGATTGCACATCTTGCAGCTCGAAGCATCCCAGGTGATACAATCCTGTGTCAGCCAGCCAGTTCCACCAAAATTGAATTTCTGACCTGACTGCTTGCTCTTCCTCTTTCCAGAAGACCCTGCAGGTTTCTCTGCACCGCTCCCTGCCAAGAGGAGCTCCAACTATCAGAGATGCAACCCTCTCCCCAGGGGAATTTCACAACCTCAGGGTGTGAGGGGGAACACCTGGCCAGAGCCAGAGCAGTGACATGGTCAAAGTACAGCTCATGAAGACTGAGGCAGGGGGAGAAGAGAACAAAGCGTTATGCTTAATGACACCACCCAGAAATAAAGAGTTAAAGAAACCTCAAAGCGCCTGAGTCCATGTTCTACAGTGAAATCTTTCTTTATTCATTTTATCTTTGTAAATCTCTCTTTACTTATTTTATCTTTGTCTTCAAGAACCCTAGGAAATGGGTTCATTTTCCCTATTTTATAATTGGAGAAACAAATCATATAGGGTCAGGGTTAAGAGGGCAGATCAAATCCCAGTATCTCCAATTATTTACCAGGTTTGTGACCTCGGGCAGCTGTATGACCTTGGGCCGCAGAGCCTCAGTTTCCTCACCTATAAAGCGGAACTAATATAACTATTAGCTGGAGCTGCTGTGAGAACAGCATGAGACCACCATACAGGGCATGAAACTCCCAGTGACTTCCCAAGGCAGTCCATGATGAAGGCCTGGAAGCACAAAGGGATCAACAGGAGCTGTTCTCCCAGGGGACACTTGGGACACCCAGACTACAGGGAAGAGCGCTGCACAGTGAAGAAATTATTGATAAAGTCTGAGCACGGTGGCTCACGCCTGTAATCCCAGCACTTTGGTAGGCCAGGGTGGGCAGATCATCTGAAGTCAGGAGTTCCAGACCAGCCTGGCCAACATGGCGAAACCCCATCTCTACTAAAAAAAAAAAGTACAAAAAAAATTAGCCAGGCATGGTGGGGCGTGCCTCTAGTCCCAGCTACTGGGGAGGCGGAGGCAGGAGAATCACTTGAACCAAGGAGGCAGAGGTTGCAGTAAGCACTCCAGCCTGGGTGACAGAACAAGACTATCTCAAAAAAAAAAAAAAAAGGAAGATGCCAGTATTCATCAGTTTCACCTGCTTTCTTTGTTGCTTCTGACTTTTCCTCCTCTAAAGTGGAGGCTCCATAAAGGCACCAAATATCCGAGGGCCCTGGCCACCAAGGCTGGGTCATCTGGGGTGTGGGGCAGGCATCATTCCTTAGCTAGAAATCCAACTCCAGCCCTGAAGCTTTGTCAAACCATTCCCTTAATGGACAGGTATTATTCTGGGCCCACTTAACTCCAGTAGATTCCAAAATCGGGCCAAGCCAGCTGACCGAGCTGGGCGGCGATGCTGCCTGAGTCTGAAAAACAGATTCTGAGCTCATGAAATGCCTGTCTTCTGGGGTAGCAGGCCCCAGAGAGATCTGCTGAGGAAAAGGCCAGGAATGTTCTGAGCAAAGACAAGCTCCTGGGAATGAGGGTGTGACCTCGCAAAGCGACTCCCTGTCCATATCTCCACCCCCAGCCAATATGGACATCAGGAGAGCTTGAACTCACAGCCACTGGGGCAAAGCCAGAAGGCCCAGGAAGAGCTCCTCAAATAGGCGCTCCTCAAATAGGCAGGTCCTGAGTGGGGCAAGAGGGGGAAGGGTACAGCCAAAAGATGCAGGAGCAGTTATGACAGGTCAGAACAGAGCACCCGAGGGGCCAGGTGAATCGCTGACTTCAAGCCTACAGGGCACATGGTGAACTGAGAGGACCCACTGCAAGCAGGACCCTAAATTCCCCAGGGGCCAGGCAGGGACATCAATGAGTGACTTCAGCCAAGGTCTGGACTGTGATGGACAGAAGAGACATGCCCACCTACAGAAGCAGTCACCACCCCCAGCCCCAGGATGGTAGCCAAGCCTGAAACGGGGACCTTGAAGTCCCAGATCTACCCATTGCTTAGGAGACAGAAGCAAGAACTCCGATTTTTTTCTGTGACATCTCCAATCTCTCAATGTTGATTTCTTTCTTTCAAACACAGCGCAAGCCAATCAAAACACATCTGTGAGCAACACTCAGCCTCCAGCCTCCAGTTCGCAGCCTTCATCTAAAAGGTTGGAAGGGCAACATAAAGGAGTGGGCGCTCAGGTGAGCAACCCTCCTCCTCGCCCAGCCTTACCAGGCCTGGCCCCTCATGGGACCCTGATTGGAACTGGGGTCCACGCACAAGCTTGGGGAGGTTTATCCGCTTTCACAAGCTCCGCCCAGCAGGCAACACCCAGAGCCCAGGACTCCAGCCAGGGGAACACCACTCCGCAGAGAAAACCCTCAGCACTTGGCTCTTCCTGGAGCCTGAATTTCCTCCCCAAACAGGATGGATTTACGTGCGAGAGCAAAGGCCTACGCATGCGCCCAGCTCCAGACCCCGGTATTTATACAGTTTCATAAACTGCAAGCGATTATTTTGTTTCCTAAGAACAATCACTATGCAAATGAAACCTCCAGCTAATACAAACAGGGCTGTTAAATTCACTTGCCAATGTTTATGAAAAGAAACTCAGCCTGGCCCTAACCAAGCTCGCTAAGAAAATGTTTAATCACAAGACACATTCGAGTGAGGAAATTAGGCAAATAAGAAAAGATGTCCTGACTTCGCTCCCAGAGCCCCCTCCCACCTCCCACCCCCTCCTTTATTCGGCAAGACAATGATGGTGAAATGAAAAGGTTCCCAGAAGACGGACAGATGTCAAGGCTTAAGAAGGAAAAGACAGAAAATGCAGAGATTAGGGAAGCACTGGTTCCCAAATTTCAACAGCCCCCTCAGGACCTTCCCACTGTATATGTTATACTTGTTTTTCAGGGATTTCGTGGGAAGGGAGGAGGGGAGCATGTGCAGGGGGGCAGCAGGGCTGGGTGGGCAGGGAGGGCAGGGAGGGCAGGTGGAAACTCCAGGCCGCTCCTGGATCCTGGCTCTTGCACTTGGCTCCTGTACTCGGTCAGGCCACTGGACCACAGAACTGGAACTCAGGATGGAGCGAGTTCCCAGCTGGGGCGGGCAGTGGCCTTGGCTTCGCACAGCCTGTCACAGGGCAGGCGGCAGGCTTGGGGACCCAGCCAACACCCGAGCAGGACAGAGTGAAGATCCCAAGTCCTCAGTGGGCTGGGCGGTTGTCCCTGAAGAGTTAACAGCCCCAGGGTCAGGATCAATTGGAGGATGTTAGGGCGAAGAAAAATCATCTCATCAGGCTTGCCTGGGCTTAAGGCCCTGCAGTTCCACTACATACAGCCTATATAACCTCAAACAAGTGACTTCCTCTCTCGGTGCCTCAGTTGCCTCATCATGAAAATACAGATTGAGACAGCATGAACACAGTGCTGTGACAATACAAAGAGACCCTAAACGTAGTCAGCAGTCCTGGGAACACAGGCGTGTTTGATGGAGGTTAGCTATCTGCTCCAAGTCCCTCAATGCACAGATGAGGCCCAGAGAGGGTTGGTGGAGTTCCCCAAGTCACACAGATAAACAGCAGACAAAGGATTTGACCCCGGCTCCAGCCTCTCCAGCAGAGATTTAGGGGAAGAATGGGTGGAGGCCAGGGCTGGGCCCTGCCCTGCGTCCCCTCTGGGAAGCACGCTCGCCAAGGAGGCGGTGGTAGGAGGGACCTCTGGAGCCACTGCTCCCTGGGGTTGGGGGAAACCGGAGCCTGGTCCTGGCAGGGCTTCCCAGGGGCCCGGGCAGGGGCAGCTGTCCAGAACTGTCTGTCCACGGAGGGGGCAGGGTGGCTGCCACTCGGAGCACGCTGTGTGCCAGTCCCTGGGGCCGGGCCGGCTCAGCCTGCAGGCTCCATCCAGAGCCCGCCCCAGGGGATGCTGGGGGAGAGCGCCAGGATCAGAGCCGCCGGCTGTGCGCTCCCCTCCCCCAGCAACAGGGGACTAAAGTGGGTCAAGGAGGAAGGAGGGGGCCCAGGAGGGCTGGGGGAGGGGCCAAGGAGCTTGAGAAGGCACCCAGGGGGAGGGGACCAGGGGAAGATGCCTGGAAAAGCAAAACCATGTGTGCAGTGCGCCTTGGGGGGCCAGGGCTGAGCGGCAGAGGGGCTGCTGAGGCCTTGGGGGGAGTCTCAGAATCACCTCCGGATTAACACCAGGGTGGCTGAGCCTTGGCTCTTGCCCCAGAAAGTCAGTCCTTCACTTTCTCCCACCCCCTGGCCTTGGGGGGCTCCCTCTTCTCTGAGGCCCTCAGCCTCTTCCAGAGCCCCCACACCCCATGGGCCCCCAGCCAAGGGGTCTGTGAGGAGCACTTTCAATCAGTGCTGGCCCCCTGGCTCAGCCCTGGCCTTGAGCCCAGCTGTCCAGCCGGGAGGTGGGGTCTGAGGAGGGTGGAGAGAAGAATACAGACAACCCCATCCTGGGCCCAGACTCAGCAGGACTGTGGCGGTGCCAGGCCAAGTCAGGCCTCATCACCGGGAAGAAGGGTGAGCATGGGCCCCACATCCCCGCAGAGGCGTTCCTGGGGGACCTGGTGCAAAATAAAAGGGAGGAAGGCAGGAAATGGCAAACAGCGACGCCCCCTAGCCAGGAAGGGAAGCCAGGCCACAGACCCCTCAGAGACAGGGCTGGGGGCCCACAGTCTGCTCCGGGGAGATGCGGGCCAGTGGGCAGCCTCCACCCCTGGCTGGGCCTGACCCAATCATCAGCTTCTCTCCCAGCTCCCCCACCCGGCATGGCCCAAAAAAAAGGGACGCAACCACCCAAGCAACTCGATATGGTCCAGAAACCTCCAGGGTCCCCAGGTTCCAGGAAGCCTGCATAGGAGGTGGTGGGGGGGCAGAGGATGCAGAGGGTCCGGTGCCTGGGAGTAAGGTTTCAGCAGGGAGGGGAAGAGGAGCTGCTGCTCCCGGGTGTTGGTGCCAGTTGACAGGCAGCCGGGAAAACGGGGCCCAGGAGGGGCACACACCCACAGGTTCCAACTTAAGCCCCGGGGAAAATGCTGATGGGAAGAAGAGGCAGGCTTCCAGGCCAGGTCCTGGGCCCAAGGAGCAGTTTGGGTGGAGACAGAGAGAGGCCCAGAGGACAGGGCCCTGTTTTGAATCCCTCAGCAAGGCCACCTACCCCGACAACCACAGCTAAGATTCCTAGCTGAGCCAACTGGACTCCTGGGGCCTTGTGGGGAAAACACAGTAGAAAGGAGGACCCCCCCAGCCTAAATACCTTAAATGCAGCAAACACCTCCAACTTCGCACCTAGCAGAACAGAGGTGCTGGCCTAGTTGTGCCAGGCCTTGAACCTTGCTGGGTGTGCAGTTCCCAAAAAATCAGGAAGCAAGTACAGCCCTGCCCACCACCTGTCTCAAATGTCCCAGGACTTGGCCTGGGACATCCTCCACCTCCAACCTGTCCAAGCTGCTTCTCTCCCAAGTGAGCCTCAGGAGCAGGCCCAGTGGGGGAGGGGGTTGGCATGGAGGGAAGGGGGACTTAGTCACCAGCTGGGTCTCGGGGGATCAAGGTGTTGTCAGCCTCAGAGTTTACAGTCTGCCTCCAGGAGCTCTGGGAGAAGATTCCGGCATGGTGCTGGCTCACCAGGTGTGTAGACAGTGACCCTGGCAGTTACTCAGGCAGGCACCAGGCATGGGGCAGCCTCACTGTGACATGTGACCTTGGACCTCAGGCTGACCTTCAAAGCTGCCTCACCCACAGGATGGCGAACATAATGGTACCAACCTCACAGGGCTGCAGAGGGGATTCATGAGAACACGTGCAGGAAGCCCTCAGAGAGCCCTGGACGCACAATAACCTCAGTAAATACTCCCCATGAATGCCCTTATCCCCTCCTGATGCTCCTTCTCCCCCACTGAACCTCTCTCCACAAGAGCAGGCTTGGAACTCTCCTACTAGTAAGAAGGCAGGACAGGATACAAAGAGAGGTCTGGGACCAGGCCCAACCTTGTCCAACACGTCCCAGTAGGAAAATGAGCTCAGACCCTGGGAACCCAGGACAGGCCTCTACATTCCCCTGGGAGAGCCTGAGCAATAGGTATTTTGAGCCAACAGATACAGGAAATTCAGAATAAAGCCCACTCAGATTCCCAATTCAAAGTGGACTGTGGACGCCGGGACACATTGGAGCAACTGTTTCCTCACTGGCCTGGTTTGATGTCTGGGGGATGGGGGCAGCTCAGTGTGCAAAGCCAGGCTGAGGGACGTGGGTGACAGTGATGGAGCATCTCCCTCCACCTCCCACCCCAGTAATGTACAGAGGGGGCCCTGGCGAGCTGAGGCCTGGGGGTCAGGGTCCCTGTCCATGGGATATGGAGACCTTGGAAAGGAGCAGCCTGCCTGCCAGCTGGACACAGGCCCTGCTACACGTGGCTGTGTGAGCCAGGGCAAGGCTGTGTGCGTCTCTGAAACTCCTTTCCTCAACTGGCAAATGAAGAGGGACAACCCCTCCCCAGACCCCCACAACCTACTCCCTGGAAACTTGGAGGTGCCTGTGAGAGCCTCTGGAACCACACAGTGCACAGAGGTTGTGCAAACCTTAGGGGTCATTTAAGCACAAGGCCCCGGTGGCTTTCCCTGGGGACTCCCCAGAAAGAACCATGCACCATGCTGTGTGCACGCATCAACAGGCCACCTGCAATGCCACCCCAACCCAGCCATCTCTCCCAGTACCCGACCCTGCCTCTTCCTTCATCCCTGCTCCAGCCCTTCCAGGAGAGCCTGCCAGCACTTGCCCCTGCCCCTCCAGACAGTCACACTCAAAACTCCCCCAGATTTTGTCCCATCATGTCCTCGTGGACAGAGACTATGGCCTCTTCTTCTCCCTCCTTCCCCACATGGGGCGGGCCCAAGGCAGGCAGAGGCAGCCCTAGTGAATGAGTTCAGAGCCAGAGGAGACTAGCCACTGTCCTCTGCAGTTCCCTCTCATCTTCCTACACCAGCGGTCACGTCACTTCCTCTGCAGTGCCCTCCCGGGAGGACCTTGTCGAAGTCAGATAAGCCAGAGCGGTCTCTCAATGAACAATTACAATCCGGGGAGCTGCTCACTCTTTATTGTCTGTCTTGCTACTAAGCCGTAAGCTCCCTGAAGGCAAGGACCCAGCACTAGCATTTGGCCCATCACAAACTCAGAACTATCCATCCAGTGAATGAATGAAGTCAAGAAGGATCCATCCAGAGAAGGAATTTTAAGCGGCAAACCCAGAATCATGACTCAAATCTGTGTGCCAATCTTCATCTGTAATTTACTGGATACGTGCTGATGCACTGGAAGCTGCACCCCCGGGGCCAGGCCTCCAGCCCACCACGCAGGCCTGGGCACCTTGCAGGGGCTGAGCACAGTTCTGGGGCTGGAGTGCCTCCGTTCAAATCTTGCCCTAGCTGTGGGGCACTGGGCCATTTATTTTACTTCCCCGTGCCTCGGTTTCCTCCTCTGTAAAATGGGGATACACATCACGTACCTATTTCACAGGGGTGCTGTGAACCTTGAATGAATCAACGAGTGTTAAGTGCTCAGAACAGTCCTCAGTACCTGGGAAGTGCGCTCAGCGGCATTACGTGTATGAGGATGTACCAGGGAATGGCCCTGCGGCTGTCACTCGCCTTCCCCCAGCCCCACCCCAAAGCGGAGGCCCGATCGGGGTTCCGGTGCCCCAGGGCTCCCGAGGCGCACATCTGGCTGGCGGGCCCGCAGCCCACCCAAGGGCGGCACCAGCTGTGGGCTCGACGCCGCCGTCCCCAGCGCTGGGCCTGGGACCAGGAGTCCTGAGGGCGCCAGACTCCGAGGGGCGGGCGGCCGGGGGGCGGCCCGCGGCGCAGAACAAGCCAGGCCCCACCCGGGCCGCGTGAGCGAGCTGCGCAGCCTGCGCCTTCCCAGCCGGCCCCCCGCCGCGGCCGCTTTGTGCCCGAACCTGGCCCTGAGTGACTGCGCCGCAGCCATGGAGCCCTCCCGCGCGGGGGGCGGCCCAGCGCGTTCCCAATGCCGCCGCCTCAAAGGGGTCCCGGGGCCGCCCCCGCGGGCCGGGCAGACAAGGGCCCGGGAGGGGCTGCGTTCCCAAGCGTCGGCCGGGCTCCCCTCGGGTAGCTGGGCGGGAAGAGCCCCGAGGCCCCCTCCCCTGATTTTCCCCGCCTCTTCCCAGCCATCCCCCCTCTTCCCCGCCTCCTCCCCAACTGCCACCCCACCCTGGATTTCTTCCTCCTCTCCGACCCTTGACCCCTTCCCCTCCCCCGCGGTTTCTCCGTCCCCTCCCCTCATCCCAGGACCCAGATCCTACAAGGCAACTGCGCAATCGGACTCCAGGGGGACCGTGGAGGGTTCAGATCCCACCTCCCGTCCTGGAAATCTCGGCCCCCACACCCAGACACTTCCTCCCACCCCACAAGCCTCAGGCCACAGCCCTGGCTTGGAGAAGGGCTAGATGCCTTGGAGAGGGGCCGGCCTCTGAGGTAACGGGCTGTGGGAGCCTCCTGGCCCCATGTGCCCATCTGTCAGATGGGGGTGGGAACGTGGTCCAGTGCCAGGCACAGGGAGCAGTGCAGTGGCCCGCACAGGCAGGAGTTCTGCCGGGTGGCGCTCACAGCAGGCAGGCCCAGGGAGGCCCATCCTCTGAGCCCTCCCAGTTACCTGTGCATTGAGAGGCCTGCATGTCTGCAGCGGAGGAGCGGGACATGACACTGAGGTCCCCAGGGCAAGACTGGGACCCTGAAGCGGCTTCTGCCCAGAAACAGCCCCAAGGAACTGACTCGCGGCCCCAGGAAAGCCTCCAGAGAGAACAGAGCCGGGCCCCACCCAGCCTGCTGGCTGAAGCTGCAGCCTGCACCTTCCCAGCCGGCTCGCCGCCCTCCCAGGGTGAAGAGACAGAGGCTCAGAGAAGGACCCCCACCTGCCACAACCTCCCAGCCTCCCAAAGCATCAACCACAAAGACCTCCAGGCCCCCAGCTCCCCTCATGAAGCAGCCCCCTTCACCATCTGGGATCCAGCATCACCTCCAGGATGGCCTTCTCTGCACAGCCTCCCTGCCTGCCCCAGAACCTAATTTGCTTAACAGAAATATGCTTGCAGATGGCTCCTCACTCAACTAGAATAAACCTGTCCACGTGGTGGCCACAGCACCTTGAATACTGCCTGGTACATAGTAGGTTCTCAGTAAACATGTGCGAGGAATGAATGAACAAATGAGCAGCAGCTAATGATAGCAGCTCCTAAAAGCCTTGAAACCTAAACCGTGCCCCAGATAAGAGGATTCCATGACAAGTGATCAAATAAGTTTGGAAATCACAAATTATTAACATCTCTCAGAGTCCCACGCTGGCATTTTAAGGGCTCCGAGAAGCCGTGAAGTTTTTTTAAAAAAAATTTTAACTCTGTTTAATCCAGTGTTTGCCAAATGCATTTGGCGACAGAAAACTTTTCTCTTTTTGGGGGGGTGGAACATCAACAAAATCCTGGAATACATTTTGGGAAATGCCAATATAAATTTATTTCCCATCCTCACAACCACAACTTTACACATGGCCAGCTGAATCTTAGAAAGGAAGAACTTGCTTCTTTCTCGTTACAGGGTCAGGTTAAACACAATGCTCCGAAAATATCTCAATGAATGGATATAAAGTAAATTCATAAGCAAAGTCTACCACCCACTAGTATGTTCTCTGTCCCTGTACTGAGAGTCTGAATCACGCAAGCAATTTGAAGAGTCTCTTTGCCCTGGAAGCTGGCACATATGACCACTCACACAGGCACACACATGCACACACACATATGCATTCATGCACACGTGTACACACTCTCGCATGCATCCACATGCACACACTAGTACACACAGACTCACACACATGCACACACATACCCAACAGGTACCCACACAGACTCAGACACACGCACAGTCATGCATGCACACTTATGTGCACATACAGGCACACAGACTCACACACATGCACAACTATTATAGGGCATATGCCCTCCCACACAGCCGCTTCCCTGAGCCTGGCCAGGAAGCCCCTTGAGAAGGGCAACTGTTTTCTGGTGGGGTGGGGAGGACGGATTCGAGGAGAGATCCAAAAGCCCCCTTCAAACCTGGTGTCTCTAAAAAGGGCAGGGTTGCCCCAGCAAATGACAGGCTAAAGCCTGAACAACAAGCTCTTCCTTACCTGAGATTTCCTCCTCACCTCTCTCCTGGGAGTAGAGCCCATTTCAAAGGAAAAGAAACTGAGGCTTACCAATAACATGGCAAGGACGTGGGGAAAGAGGGGTAGGAGCCCAAATCTGTCTGCTCAGAATCCTCCCCCCACTCCAGAAGCTTGGGGATCCTAGGTTGTTCCGAAGGCAGGACAGTGGCAGCAGCAAGATCCTCCAGCTCCCCCTTCTCCTATCCCCAGGCACAATTCTGCCACAAGGTCACTGTATGACCTTGGACACCTAGCTTGCCCTCTCTGGGCAAGTTTAATCATCTTTATGAAAAGGAACCTCAGCTGAGGGTTCTCCAAGCTCCAGGACTGCTGGTAAAAAAGAAAGCCTAAGGTCCCCACCTCAGCAGTCAAAAGCAAGTGTCAGGATTCCATGAGGTACTGCCCGTAACGTGCATAGCCCAGTGCCTGTATACAAGGGGTGCCCATTAGAGGCTAGCTACTCTTGGTGTTGTGATTCCATCCCTCAGGGACCAAATAAAAAATGCTACCCGCTCTTCCAGGCTTTACCTGATTCCCCTACCAAAGGGAATCCCCCGAAACTCTCTCACCCCTCCCACAGCCCTCAGCCCACACTTCTGTCCTAGGCTGCCTTGTCTGGTCCAGTGGTTAGGGTCTACTCCCCTCTCTGGCCTCCAGGCTTCCTGAGGACGTGGCCTCCTCTGCGTTCTCTCTGCATCTTCCTTGGAGCCTAGGCTAAGCCTCACCTGAGTCAGATGCTCAGGATTTACATGGAAGGATGGATGTGAAAGGGAAAGAAGGAGGGCAGACAACCAAAGGACTCACCAAGGGAAAGAAATGCCCATATCTCCAAGCTCTATAGTGCAGTGACCCTTCAGAAGAAGAAAGAAAAATGGCCAGGTGCTGTGGCTCACGCCTGCAATCCCAGCACTTTGGGAGGCCCATGCGGGCGGATCACCTGAGGTCAGTAGCTCGAGACCAGCCTGGCCAACATAGCGAAACCCTGTCTCTACTAAAAATACATAAATTAGCCAGGCATGGGGGGCAGGCGCCTGTAATCCCAGCTACTCGGGAGGCTGAGGCAGGAGAATCACTTGAACCTGGGAGGCAGAGGTCACAGTGAACCGAGATCGTGGCACTGCACTCCAGCCTGTGCGACAGAGGAAGAGAAGGGAAGGGAAGGGAGGGGAAAGGAGGGGAGGGGAAGGGAGGGGAGGGGAGGGGAGGGGAGGGGAGGGGAGGGGAGGCGAGGGAAGGGAAGGGAAGGGAAGGGAAGGGAAGGGAAGGGAAGGGAAGGGAGAGAGACAGGAAGGAAGGAAGGAAGGAAGGAAGGAAGGAAGGAAGGAAGGAAGGCAGGCAGGCAGGCAGGCAGGCAGGCAGGCAGGCAGGCCCATAAACATAAAAGGCCAGGTGTGGTGGCTCGTACCTATAATCCCAACATTTTAGGAGGCCAAGGTGGAAGGATCACTTGAGCCCAAGAGTTTGAGACCAGCCTAGGCAACATAGCAAGGCCTCATATCTTGGGGGGGAAAAAATAAAAGGCAACATCACTAATAATTAGGGAAGTGCAAATTTAAACAATGTGCCATTTTTTGCCTGCCAGATTGCCAAAAAGAAAACGGAAAGAGAAAAAGGCTGGGCGCCGTAGCTCACGCCTGTAATTCCAGCACTTTGGGAGCCCAAGGCAGGTGGATCACAAGGTCAAGAGATTGAGACCATCCTGGCCAACATGGTGAAACCCTATCTCCACTAAAAATAAAAATAAAAAATTAGCCGGGCGTACTGGCATGTGCCTCTAGTCCCAGCTACTCGGGAGGCTGAGGCAGGAGAATCACTTGAACCCGGGAGGCGGAGGTTGCAGTGAGGCAAGATCACGCCATTGCACTCCAGCCTGGCAACAGAGCAAGACTCCGTCTCAAAAAAAAAAAAAAAAGGAAAAAGAAAAAACAAAACATCATCACATACGGGCAAGGATTAGGAGAAATGTGCATTCATGCCCTATTATTGAAGGGTAAATTGGTACAGACTTTGTGGAAGGCAATTTGGAAATATTTATCAGATTTTTCGAGTGAATACCCTTTGACCCAACAATTTCACTTCTAGGAATCCAGCCAAAGAAACACTCAAACAAGAACACAAAGGTTATAAATGAGGATACTCCCTGCATCATCATTTAAAACAGCAAAAAACTGGAAGCAACTAAATGTTCACCAATGGAAGACTGTAAATAAAGTCTGGTGCAACGATTCTGTAGACCTCCTTATGGCTATTAACATGGAACAGATTTATATACTCTAGGTGCTATCTCCTAGACTAATGGTTCCTAACCCTGGCTGCACATTCCAATTACCCCCATCCTCAGAGATTCTGGATTATTTCATCTATGGTGGAGCCCAGGTAATGTTATTTTTTAAGTGCCTAGGATGATACTGATGTGCAACTAACCAAGATTGGAAACTTAACTCATGTAGCTAACCCTACTAGTTCTATCCTATTTCATAGAAAACTGAGAAACTAGGAAAACATAGAAAACTAGGAAACTGAGGCCCATAGAAGGAACTGTCTTGCCCAAAGTCAGAGTATGTTTCCTCCAACCCCCTCCCCTCCCCAAGGAGAGAAATGAAGGAATCTTGACTCAGACCTTCAGGGAGAATGGGGTCTTTCTTTTCTATTCTGAGTGATTGGCAGGTTCCCTACCAACACATCCCATTTCCCCCTCCCGCCCACTTAGCTGGCCCCACCCCTCACTCCTAGTGCTGTTCCTAGGGCAGACCACCCCCCCTCCAAAGATGAAGAGGGTCCCAAGGCCACTTAATGGTGGCTGATCCCTGGCCAGGATCGAGCTGGTCAAATGTGTTTATTCTGAGCCATGGCAATGATGTAGCAGGATGAGCGTCACAGGCAGGATGGCAAGGTTATTGAGTTGAACATTCTGTTTTATTTAAAATTAAGTCCAGGCACAGAGGCGTATGCCTGTAATCTCAACATTCTGAAAGCCCGAGGTGGGAGAATCGTTTGAGACCAGGCTAAACAACACATGAAGAACTCCATCTGTTAAAAAAAAAAAAAAAAAGAGGCGGACATGGTGACTCGCACCTATAGTCCCAGCAACTCAGGAGGCTAAGGAAGGAGGATAGCTTGAGCCCAGGAGTTTGAGGTGGCAGTGAGCTATGATAACATCAATGTACTCCAGCCTGGGTAGCAGAGCAAGATCCAAACTTTAAGAAAATAAATAATTAAAATTAAATTAGTACAAAAATCTCACATTGCTTTTATCATTTTAAAAGCAATGTTTTACAAGCCTAACACAATCCATGACACAAAGCCCTCGATAAACAGCAGCTGCAATCTCACAGCACAATGTACCCTGAGTATGAAGGAGAACCGGCATCAGCCTCTCCCAGCCGGGTGTCCTGCAGCTCCCACCTCCTCATCAGGAACAGAGGCTGGGGCAGCGGGAGGGGCCCACAAAGACTGACTCTCACGGTGAACCCAAGTCCTGCAAAGGCCTGTGCTCCCTCTCAGTTCACCCACTCACTTATCCACTCATCACTTATGAATCCATTTACTCATCGAGTCATTTACTCACTAGTCACTCATTCATTCATTCACTTGTTCACCCATTCATATTTATTCCCCATTCATATTTATTCCTTCAACAATTCACACATTCACTCATTCATTTAATAAATATTGGCGAGGCCCTGTGGCTCACGCCTGTAATCCCAGCACTCTGGGAGGCTGAGAAGGGTGTACACCTGAGGTCGGGAGATCAAGTCCAGCCTGGCCAAATGGAGAAACTCTGTCTCTACTAAAAATACAAAATTAGCCACGTGTGGTGGCACATGCCTGTAATCCCAGCTACTCATGAGGCTGAGGCAGGAGAATCATTTGAACCCAGGAGGCAGAGGTTGCAGTGAGCAGAGTTCGCGCCATTGCACTCAAGCCTGGGCATCAAGAGCGAAACTCCATCTCAAAAAAAAAAAAAAAAAAAAAAAAAAAACAAATCTTTTAGACATAATGACCCAGAAGATTGAGGCCAGATTTTTTTGTTTGTTTGTGTTTTTTGGGGTTTTTTGTTTGTTTGTTTTTGTTTTAAGATGGAGTCTTGCTCTGTCACCCAGGCTGGAGTGCAGTGGGTTCCAGCGATTCTCCTGCCTCAGCCTCCTGGGTAGCTGAGATTACAGGCGCATGCCACCACGCCTGGCTATTTTTTTTATTTTTAGTGGAGACAGGGTTTCACCATGTTGGCCAGGCTGGTCTCAAACTCCTGATCTCAGGTGATCTGCCCCCCTCAGCCTCCCAAAATGCTGGAATTACAGGTGTGAGCCACTGCGCCCAGCAATTTTTTTTTTTTAATGGATGAGAGGTTTTTTGTTTTAATGTTGCCCAGGTTGAACTCGAACACGTAGCCTCGCCTTCTTATGCACCGGGACAACAGTTCTGAGCCACCACGGCTCCCATTTTTGTTTTGTTTTGTTTTGGTTTGTTTTGTTTTGAGAAAGGGTCTCACTCTGTCACCCAGGCTGGAACACAGTGGCATGATCATGGCTCACCACAGCCTCAACCTTCCGGGCTCAGGTGATTCTCCCACCTTAGCCTCCTAAGTAGCTGGGACTACAGGCTCCTGCCACCACACCCTCCTAATTTTTTTTTTATTTTTTGTAGAGAGGTGGTTTCGCCATGTTGCCCAGGCTGGTCTCGAACTCCTGAGCTCAAGCAATTCACCTGCCTCGGTTTCTCAAAGTGTTGGGATTACAGGCATAAGCCACCACTGCACCCAGCCAAGGCCATTTCTGAATGAGCATGGAGCCCTGGAAGCCCAGCAGGCTGCTGGCATCCCATACATGAGACCCTTCCCCTGAGAAAGGCAGGACATGGGGCTGCTGGAGGGACTGGGGATTTGAGCTATTCACTGTGGCCCCAGGAGGTGGAACCAGGACCAACACAGAGAGGAGACTGCAGCTTCATGTGTGAAATTCAAGCTAAAAAGCCACGGATGAGGCCGAGGCAGGCGGATTACCTGAGGTTAGGAGTTCGAGACCAGCCTGGCCAACATGGTGAAACTCCATCTCTAATAAAAACACAAAAATTAGCCAGGCCTGGTGGCACATGCCTGTAATCCCAGCTACTCGGGAGGCTGAGGCAGGAATTGCTTGAGCCTGGGAGGTGGGGGCTGCAATGAGCCAAGATCGTGCCACTGCACTCCAGCCTGGCTGACAGAGCAAGACTCTGTCTCAAAAAAAAAAAAAAAAAAAAAAGGCATAGATATGCCACAGAGGTAGTGAGCGCCCTGCGAGTGAAAGTGTGTACGTCCAGGCTGGATGAAACCAAGGTTGCCAGAAACACACCCAAAGAAGTGTAAATGAAGTGAGCTCCAAGGTTCCTTTTCAACCTGTGTTTTTCAGGATTAGGAGAGGCTCAAAGGCAAAAACAGTGAATCTTCCCAAAATGTGTGTCTGGCCCCTGGCTGGCCAGCGTCTCCCTAAGGGGCACAAGGCATCTGCAGGGGCTGTCCTGGGCACTGAGAACCCGTGCACTGCTTGCTGCTCCCCAGAGACCCCAGCACTCTCTGTGGCCTCCACCCCAGAGACAGAAGCCTGCCTCCTCTTTCCATCTCCCCACTTCAGGGCACCTGCTTCTCCTCCCTCTCCCTCTCCCTGGGGACCCTCAGGAGCTGATGATTGTCTCTCCTCTCTCCAAGTTCAAAACTGCAGCCACAGGGGGTGAGGGACAAAGCCATATCTCTTGTTCAGGAACCAAAAATATACTCTATGTTGCTGGTGGCTCCAAGGTTCTGCAGCCTCCAGGCCAAGGAGGTCCCCCTGCCCAGTCTTCCAGCCTGAATGTGTAGTCATACCAACCCAGCTGCCCTCTCCAGCCATGCCCACCTCCCTAACTAAGCCCAGATGGTCATCACTCTGCCTTCAGGCAGGTAAAATTCAGTGCAACAGGAGTTAGGTGAACAGTATGTTTTATTTAATTAGGATCAACAGAAGAGATAAACCTCACAGCAGGATAGGGAATGACAACACTGCAAAAAATAATTCATGCCCAGGTAACGAAAGGGCAAATTTCAATTACAGAGAAAACAGGGGGAGAAAAAGTTTCCAAGCACCTCCAAGGAGCGAGGCAGTGAAGAGTTTGCAAAGCCTAGACCTTTGGGCCCAAGATGGTCTAGAAAGCAAGGCAATCAAGTGGACAAAACAGCCATTCTTCTCTCTCCTTGTCATAGACAAACTGGCCTAAGTGTGCAGGACTGGGTAGGCCGAGGGAGCTGAGTCCTGGCAGGCAGGCATAGGGGCCACAAGGGATCTGCCAGGGCCACTGGGCAAGCTCGCAACCCACCAGGCACAGTCTCAAAAGAATGCTGTCCCCACAAGGAGACAAAACAAATATTCTAATCCTAATAATGGTCATCAGATCACTCAGCAAGTCCTTATTAGCACCCCACCTGCCCTTTCCCCCAGCCCTGATGGAACCCTAGTCTTATGCCCTGCCCTAGCCTTGGACAATCCAATCTCACCTCTTACACTAGAACAAGGCAAAGAACATACCCCCCCGCCCCCCGCCGAGAGAATGGCCTCATCTTCTAAGCCTCTGTTTCTCATTCTTACCCTGGAAATGGGAGGCTGGCCTGGATGACCTCCTCTGGGGTAGTGGGCTGCAGATCCCTAATCCACCATCATTTGGGTGCCAACTATAAATGAAAAATTCATGGTGGTGACAGCCCGACAACAATGTGTATGTACTTAATGCCTCTGAAAAATGGTTAAGATGGGCCATGCAAGGTGCCTCATGCCTGTAATCCCAGCATTTTGGGAGGTCGAGGCAGGAGGATTCCCTGAAGCCTGGCATTCAAGACCAGCCTGGGCAGCATAGACCCATCTCTACAAATAATAAAATTAAGAAATTAGCCTGTAGTTCTAGCTACTCGGGAGACTGAGGTGAGAGGACTGCTTGAGCCCAGGAGTTCAAGGCTGCAGTGAACTACGATCACGTCACTGCACTCCAGCCTGGGGGACAGAGCAAGATCCTGTCTGTAAAAAAAGGAAAAAAAAATGGTTAAGATGGTAAATTTTAAGTTACGTATATTTTATCAAAATTGCTTAAAAGCAGGAGTTGGGGGATGAAGAGATCTAAGCCCCTCCTCAGACCAGCCAGGTGAGCATCTGCAGGACCTGGGCCCAGGAATATGCAATTTAACCAGCTTTATTGTAGGTGACGGTGATAGGCATGACAGCTGGGGATCCACTCATCTGTATGAAGCCACCCTTTCCCCAAACAAAGGCTCCCCAGCATAATGCTTGAATTACCTCAAAAAATACTTCTTCTGCAAATGAATATTCAAAACAGTGAGTTCTCCAACTTTCATAGCACAAGCAAATCTTTTTCTGTATGGGTTCTCCCTCCAAAACAAACCCTCGAGAAGCACAAGCATAACCCAGGCCTCTGTCTCTCTCCCGGCCCCTGGTCCCTGCTCCAAAGGTGACATCAGCCCCAGCACCCCCATTATCTGGGAGAGGGAAATTGCTGTTAAATTAGCACATCCACAGAGCCCCATTTTATATCCCAATTCAGAAGATGACATGAACATCTGCTTTCACTTCAAGACATTAATTTTCAATTATTGGAGAAAAACAAAATTAGTCCTGACAAATTGCTGGCGAATACAGGCTCTTGTCTGGTGGTTCATAATAATAACTTCGGGGGCCCACAATTAGTGTCTCGGACGGAGTTTCCTGATGGATCCCTGTCATCTGGAGGCAGTTGGCAGCAGGGCAGCACCTCGCACCGCAGTGTATCAGGCAGGAGGATGCTCCAACAACCCGCAGCTCGAAGGTCACTGCTTCTTGGATGACCAGGTTTAGAGAACTAAGGAATTAGGGTTTCCTCTTTCTGGGGAAGGCAGGGAGGGACAGAAGATAGGGGGCAGGCATCTAAAAAATATCCACCTGAACCATATTCAGCTTTGAATATTTTTCAAGGTTTTCTCCTCCTGTTCAGTAGCAAGATTTTGCACACTTAGACGGGAATGCAAATCACTCCTGAGTCCTTAGTGGGCACACTGGGATCACCTGATAGGATCGCCTTATGATTGGAGTTTGCCATCTGCAAAGGGAGAAGGACAGATGACATGATTTTCTTATGAGACCCCTTCTACCCTTCTACATGACGTCATTCAGGATCCCAAATCCAGAACTCAATGGCTCCAGCCTCTGAGATACAAATGCCTATAAATCTTCTGTAAGAAAAAACTGTTTGCCAGGGTCCCATCGACCCAGAACCTGGTTCAGCCCAGGTTGTAGTCTCCACAAAAAAAAGAAAGAAAGAAAACTCTGAATTTGCCAACCTCAATGACCCCAAATCCAGAGAACAACCCACTTGATAAGAGATTATCAACACTGCAATCTCATTTGATGGGTTTTTATGTATCTTGGCTGCTTTAGTCACTATATCAATAAGAAGCCACTGAAATGTGAATGAGTTGAAGAATTCGGAGATAATGATGTGGTTGCCTTTGAATTTGACTTGTCACAATTGAAACCAGAGTGTGTTTGCCTAGCTAGGATGTTCAGACTCTTGAGGGGGGTGAGGCAAGAGGGAGGGGAGGTAAACAGAGGGAGGCAGGTTAAAAAAGAAAGAAAACGAAACAACAACCACAACAACAAAGGGAAATTATATCTTTAAAAAGAGAATGAAAGACATTGTTACCTCCAAAGTCAACTTGGTAACTGAGCTCCGACATTGTGTAATTGACTTTGCAAGTAGAACAACAGCAACGTAACAAAGAAAATGTCAGTGTTTTCACAGCACCAATCTATAACGCTGGGAGGCCGTCCCGCTGTCAGCGAGGGCTGACAATACAATAGCTTTCAAAGGGATATTACCATCATGCTTTTATTCCTGACATCAATCAAGACAAAGAGAATCCTTTTCACAAGACATTAAAAATCAAACCTTTGTGCAAGAAGATAGGTAAAACAGCATTCTCCTTAAAGACAGCCACATGGAGCAATCAGCTAATTGGCGCTCCTTGAAAGCGGTAAAGTATTTTTATTTACTGAGTGTACAACCCCAATCGTTGGCTGCCACCGATCCTGGCAGGTAAGCTATGAATCAAAAGTTTCCATCAGCATTTCCTCACTCACTTCACCCTGCCTCTCCCACAGTAGGCTGAGGGAGCTGACAGCCAGCCCCAAAAACTTCAAGCGGGATGTAACCAATCCAGGTTCAATTCATCCATTTTGGGTGGGAAACTTCTCTGATTACCCGCTAACATGTCCATGCACAAGATGCCCTTGCAAGCTGACGGGAATTTGCAGAAATTGTCAAATTCTCCAACCACAGTGTATCGGGGTTTTCCTGGCTACCCAAATAATGGGGACCCCACTAACAGTTTTCAAGGTATTCTACTGTAATCAACCTAGACTCACAGATACGAAGGAACCCTGATATCTTCTGCAAATGTTTTCAAGACATGAAGATAATACCCTTTGCAAACACCAGCGTGCCGTGGACAAGGCTGGGCTTTGCTTCAGCCAGTGGCCAGGAAAGCCAAGTCCATCCTAACCTATGTCAAAGAGTGAACTAAACGCACCCACCACCTTGGCAAAAACGATGGGGCCATCAGGAAATCCAGCCATCCTCTGCCTGCTTACTTTCGAGACAGTTTCAGATGCCTGCATGTCAGAAGTTGTTGACACTTACAGAAAACTGCAAGTCCAGAAGCAGGAAGTTAGAGAGCCTCATGTTTCAAAGAGGTCATTTCCCAGACACTTTCCAAGCCACTGACATCTCACAGCCTTCCAACCTTCCAAGATGCCATGTCCCCACATCCAGTCCAGGCTTGACAGAGCCACTGGTCTAGGTGGTCACAAGTCTCAGACCATTGTTGAGGAGGAGTGGGAGCAAGAACTATCTCTGCAGGAGGGCTGTCGGGAACTCAGAGCCGAAAGGCTCTGTGACTTGCCCCTTTGGTACCCTACAGACCACCTGCCACAAAGTCCAGTCACTCAAAGACAGGGAAAGCACTCTCAGCATCTGCGGCAGAAAAGGATGTTTTTACTTTTCAGCTATAATGGGATACCGTTGTTTTATTTTTAAACAGAATTTGAACAGGTGCCGTTCACTTCACTACAGAATGGACAGAAATTTTGAAAGAAGAGGGAACTGGTCCTAACACTGCCTTGAAAAAGCATATACTCCCACCACCACCACCTAAATCAGCCTTTTTCAAAGAGCCGGGGAGCATGTCTGCACCATCAGCCTCAGTGGTAGGTTCCTTTCGTTTACACATCCAAATGAACAGTTAAGAGAAATCAATGCATCTAATTGCCAGACTATTAAATCCTACATCAGGGGAAGAATTCCACAGCCACTAGCTTAAGAGTTGGCTACCGATATAGCAATTATTGCAACTTTCTATTAGATTGAACCAGATCCCCAGCCTTTCGTCTCCAGCTAGGAACGCTGTACTCAAGTGCTCCAGTTTCCTGCCTTCCTGGTTCCCCCTCCTCCTCCTCCTCTGTTAACACACTGTAGCATGCCACAACATTGCCAGGGCTGGCTGCTTCTTCTGAATTACTTTATGACTGTAAAGTCACCCGCATTTTGCACCTTTCATTATGAATGCACGCTAGGCACCTCATGGTTAACCGTTTAGCAGGATTCCCCTGCCAGAGGCACATAGTTATCTTATTTTATTGCTTATTAAGTTTTTGCAAGGAAACAGGTGTAAGAATCTAAACAGCAATTACTAGACGTAAAGGATGTTTTCTAGAATGAAACAGGCCCTACCAAAGCTGGGAATCGATAACTTAATTGAGGAGGGGGGATTAAACATTAGGATTAAATGTTAGCTACCCCACTCCACATAGAAAGCTAAAGACCCTATAAAGGATTTGTTTTGCCCTTCCTACAAGATCATGTACATTTAGCCAAACAAATCTCGACAATTTATACTTGTATGTGGTCTCAGCTGAATCGAGAAACCTGTAACCTCAGAACGCCTCTATTTATTACATCTCAATTATTTCCATGGAAACACGCGCAGTGTTCCCAAGTCCCTAGACCACCAAATTTATAAGATGGACTTAGAGGAGCTACACGCTGGCAGAAGAGGAAGACAAAGAAGGGGAAGGGAGTGCCGAGAGGTCACTGGGGGTACTTTGGGACGTTGGGGTGGGCGGGTGTATGGACATAGCCTGAGCGCTAATTAATATTAAGAACTGTAATTAACAGGCAGTTGCTAGAGAGAGAAAATTGACAGTATTAAAATTATTCAAAAGTTTTAAGCTAAGGCAAGGGAAAAGATGTATCAATTTTCTCTATAAATGAAGAGGCTGTTGCATGGATCTGAGAAAGCCATGGGGTGAAAGGGGACAGGCCTCCTTAATGTTGAGTGACAGAGAGAACTGCAGTGGTAATCGTTAACCAAACCACCTGATATCATCGGCCGAAATAACATCAGTGAGCATGATGAGAACAGCCCGGGAAAATGAGGCCAAAATTATCAAAGAGAACAAATCACTGCAACCACCACACCATACCACACCACCAGGAAACAAAAAAGGGGAGAAAGGTGTAGGGAGGGAAAATCGGTCAGAAAAATGTGACTTTTATAACACTCCCGGCTTTAGGGTTGTTTTTTTTTAAATAAAATTACAAGGCTTCTGAAAACCAATGAGGCTATTCTCCCCCCTCCCCTAGTGCCCCAACCCCCTTCCCTATTTACTAGGTGTCCTCCCTGTGAGCTGGGTTTTCCAAAGAAGGACAAACACACTGCGGGGACAAGGGACCCCACTCCAGAAGGGAGGTTGTGTCCGTGAGTGGGAAGTGAGACCACCCCAGCCCCCAGAGGCCAGTTTTATTTTCAAAGCAGCAATGCCTGTGCTTTCAAATCACACTTTCTGAGCATCCATTCGAAATTGTTGTATTTCTGTCTTTCCTTCCTGCTATGGACTTTCACATTTCCGAGATCAACTACAAATTACAGTCAAGCGACTTTCACAGCAGAATGCTCGGGGCCGGGGAAGTCCACAAAGCCTCTACATTAGCCCTGACACACAGCAGTGGAGGCAAAATAAAATAAAATAAAATGTAAAAGACACCGCTGTTCCTTAAGAAGCACTTTCAAGCATCTTTAAAGGTGAAGACCTTGTCGTTTCAAACACTTGGTGTGGAGCTGTCCACACTCAAGCACACACTTTTGAATATTGCTTAAGAGAAGGGGCGGGGCGGGGGGGGAGCAGTTCTTGAAAAGCAATAAATCCCTCACCTGCTGGAACTCTTATCTATCCAAATTATCTTCTCTCTTAATTCCTCCCTTGATAAGTGGCCACATCTCCACCCTCTTCACCCCAGTAAACAGAATAAAAGGTAAAATGGTGAGAGACAAGGGTTGTAGCTGCTTTTGGAAAATGCAAAAAGCCATGGGAAGAATCAGGGGGTCTCTGACTCTGCGGACAGAAAGGCTCTGTGTGGCTGATATTTACAACACCGAGTCTCGAAATGCCTCCACTGGTCTCCTGTTCACCTTGCTGCCTTTCTCCTACCAACCTGCTTGAACTGTCTGCTACACATACACACATACACATTTGAGAGAGGCACTCACTAAAAATCATTTCAAGGCTCATTTCATGAAAGGCTGAAGACCAATTCTTGAGTCCTTCTCAGAGATCCACAGAGTGGTTTTAGAACTCGGTTCAAGCAACTTTGAAACACCCACCCATCTGTTCACTGCAAACTGCTCTCCTTTTGCTTTCTGGGTCTCGCCGTCTAACGTAAGGAGGTTTGGAGAAGTGGATTGGAAGTCTAGGTAAGCAAGCTTTGCAAACTCAAAATCAACTGCCTGAGTTAAATAAAACTGTTTTTCCAACCAGAAATTCCAATTCCACATTTTCTTCTGGGTCGCCTCTTAAGTGGCTCCTGAAGGAGTGAGCAGTGAGCCAGGGAAAGAGAAAAGAAATCCAGTATTATTTCAAGCCGTACAGCCCTTCCATCAGCAAAAGAGAAACATCCACCCTTCTTTCCCGTCCTCTTCTTGGAGTCTCTCTTCTGGTTTCCCTGTCCCCCAATCAGAACACCCTCTGAACCCCCAGTTCTGTGGAGCAGGCCAGGCTGTCCCGGATTGGGAGACCAGCCAGGGTGAGGCGAACAAGACCAACTTCTCTCAGGGAAAAGGAGGAGTAGGAACGGGCCGGGCGCTCCGTTTGGACTCAGTTGGTCTCCTTCTAATATGACGGGGAGGATCTCTGCTGGGCCGGGGGCAGTCCCTCCGGGGACTTCAGGAGGACAGAACTGACGAGTGTCTCAAGATCCTCCTTGCCAGATTCAGTTCCAGCCATTCCAGCCAGGCGCAAGGCTGGCAGGAAGGGAGCGGGGCCCCAGCGCCTTCCCGCGCAGGCCTCCAGGAAATGAACTTTTCAGAGCAGAACTGGGCTCAGGCCAGAGGTCATCAGGGGAGATGGGAGAAGACAAGGGCCTGGGGGCTTTTGGCTCCGTAGACTTAGCCGCTCTCATCGTTCCCCCCTTCCTCGATCATCTCCCATCTCACAGCCGAGCGCCCGGGCACCCAACCGAGGGGCTAGAATCGGGACAAAGCAGCAGGCAAGGCCTGGAAAGGCCAGCCGCGGGGAGAGGAGGCCAGGGGAGGGGCTCTGCTGCCGGCGCGCGGCCTTTCCCCGGGGCCTCTACTCTCCAGGGGTCCCCTCGAGCTGGGGGCCCTCGCTGGAAATAGAAAGCAAAGCGTGGAGACGAAGGGATGGGTGTGTGTATCTATATATCTGCAGCTCCCCACAAACGCGCGCACCCCGGGGAGCCAGCACAGAAAGCCGGCCTGGGTGTCGAGGGTGCCGGTGCCCGGGGTCAGATCCAGGGTGCCGGTGCCCGGGGTCAGATCCGGGGCGCCCTCCGCGGAGGGGCGCGCACCGCGGCCGCTGAGCTCCCCTGAGGACCTGCGTCCCGCCGGCGCCGTGCAGACAATGAACTCCTGGCGGAGGCTCCCTGCCCGGTGGGCCTCGGTGGAGGAGGCAGGAAGTGCAGGGGCCCGGGCCGGGAGAAGGCCTGGGCAGGGGCGGGAGGGGGCGCCAGGCGGCCGGGGCGAGGGCGCGGCGCCCGGGGCGCTCGCCGACAGCGCCCGCCGCTCCCCGCGTCCTCGGGCGACCAGGCAGGGGCCAGAGAGAGCCAGCGAGGCCCGGGGCCAGCGAGGAGCGGTCGGCCTGCCGGGCGCCCGTCCTCGCCGCCTCTTCCTTCCTCCTGTCGCCCGCCCGCCGCCGCCGAGATTCGCAATCCCCGCCAAGTCGGGCCAGCACCCCTTGATTGGCCACACGGGCCCGGGCCCCGCACGGAGGGAGCGGCAAGGGCCCCTTAGCGGCGCCCCCAGGCCTGGGTCCCCCAAGGGCGACGGCGCCGAGTCCGGGCAGGGAGGGTGTCCGCGGCGTACCCCCTCCGCCGCCGCCGCCGCCGCCGCCGCCTCCGCCTCCTGCTCCCGGCTTCCTCCTCCCCCTCCTCCGCCTCCGCCTCCGCCTCCGCCTCCTCTGCCGCCTCCTCCTCCTCCTCTCGGCTCGCTCGCGCGGGTCCCCGGCAGCCAGCCCGCTCGCCGGTCCCTCCTCCCTCGCTCCCTCCCTCCTCGCTCGCTCGCTCGCGCCTCCGCCGGGCCTCGCTCGCTCACCTTTCACCGAGCGCGGCTTCGCCTGCTTCCGCCTGGACATGTCCGGGGCTCCGGGCGCTCCGTCGCCCTCCGCAGCCGGCTCCCCCCGCCGCCCCCCGCCGCTCCGGGCAGCCCTTCTCCCCCTTCTCCTCCGCCTGTCTCTTGGAAACTTTTTTTTTTGCAGCCCGGTTGGCGGCTGTGGGGAGCGGACCGCAGGTCCGGGGCGGCCTCCCTTGGGGGGGCAGCCCGGGCCGGCCGAGGCCGCTCGAAGGCGGGGGGAGGCCCGGGGGGCGCGCCGGGGCCCTGCCTGTTGCAATGCGGCAGTCCGGGGCTCCCGATCCAAGCGGCGGTCCCAGCGGCGCGGGGAGTCCGGAGGCCACTCGGCCGAGCCGAGTTATGCAAAAAAAAAAAAAAAAAAAAAAAAAAAAAAGCCGCCCCCCTCCTCCTCCCAACCCCCCGCCGGCCCCCGGCCCCTGCGGCCCCCTCCTTCCCTCCCCCACCCTACCGCCACCCTCACCCTCCTCCTCCTTCTCCTCCTCCTCCGCCCCTTGCCGGATTTTTGTGCAAAGTTTGCAGGCGTCCGGCCACGCAGCCCGGTGCGGAGCTCACAATGAACCCATCTGAGGAGGGGGAACGGGGCTGGAGTCGAGGGTATCTCAAGGGGGGAGGAGACCGGGAGGCGGTCGGGAGCGCGGAAGCTCAGTACCCCCCAGGAAAAAAAAAAAAAAGAAGCCTTCGAATTATCCCCTGCCGCACAAAAAAAAATAATAAATATTAATGGCTCAAAAATGCCCAAGCGCCTGGTTTGGAGATTATGATGGATGGGGGGCGGGGGTCCCTCAACTCAGCCTACTTGGAGGGGAGGCTCGAAACGGCCGCAGTGGCTCGGAAGCCGCGGCTCGGGGCCCCTGGCTCACGCCCCCTTCTCTGGCTCTCGGATCGGCCCGGCGCCGGCCCCCCGGAGGAGGAAGGGGCGCGCGGGGGCGCTCAGGCGGCGGCCGGCAGGCGCGCCCGTGCCCCGGGCATCGCTCAGCCCGTGCGCCGGGCCGCCGCTGCCTGCCCTCGGGCTGCGGTGCTCAGCGCGAGGCGCGCAGCCGATCCCCAGGCCGGTGCCAAGTCGCCGGCCCCGCTAGCTGCCTCCATGGGCCAGGGGCTCGGAGAGGGGGGAGGCGGCGGCCGCGGTGGCGGAAGAGGAGGACGAGCAGGCGGCGGCGGCGGCGGCCGGGCTCCCGTCCTCCTGGGCAGCGGCGGCGGCGGCTGCGCCCCGGCTCCTCCGCGCTCCAGCCGGCGCCGGCCCGCCCGCCAGCCTCCCTCGCGCTCCTGTCTTCTTTGTGGTCGCTGGCTCTCCTCCTCCCGATCCGGCTGCTGGGGCTGCACTGCAGAGACACATAATAAAGCCAGGCTTGGCTGGAAATGTAGCCGGGTCCCAGCAGGAGGATGTGAGGAGCGGAGTCCCGGCGGGGGAGCGCTCTGATCCCGTGGGGCGCCCCGCACTGCTCCGGCTCGGATCAGACGGAGAGAGGGCCAACAGCACCGAGCGATGGACAGCGCTGGAAATACAGCTCCGGCCGCCCGCAAAACCCGGACCGTGGTGGCGGCGGCGGCGGCGGCGGCAGGCACGGCGCGGGCGCGGGCACCGCACCAGCACGCGGGGCCGGGGCTCGGGCGCTGGCTGCACCGGGGGCAGGAGGAGGGAACACACTTAGGGCCCACGCGGCTGTCAAGCTCGCCAAGACGCATGAGCCTCACAAACTGTAAAAAGTGAAAGAATGGGGGAGCAAACGGAGTTGGGCTGCCCTAGTATTGCCACCTCGCGATGTATGCCTCACGCACATGAACTATCCAGGGACCTGGCTCTGCCAGGTTGGCTTTTGCCCACCGGTCGGTGTTCAAAGACCACCCCTGCCCCACATCCAACAAATTCTTCCACCACTGGGCTAACCCCGTGCGCCCCCTACACCCTTATTTGTAGAATTCTCGCGCCTGGTGTGCACTTCCTCTGTCCGACTGTAAAAGGAACACCTTACCCCTGAGACCTTGCAGGAGCACCCCCTCCCCGCGCAGTTGTCAGAAGAAATAAACCAGCTGCTACTTTCTGCGAGGTTTTACCCAGCCGCCAGGGGGCGCCGCGCGTCCCCCGCAGCTCCTGAACCGGCTGAGACTCTGGTCTCCGGGCAGGCCCGGGAAGGGTTCTGACTTGGGAAAAGTCTTCCCCAGACGGCTCCCCTAAACCGTTCCTCGGAGCCTCTCCCTCCCCAACTAGCTGCAGGCGGCCAGGTCTCGGGTGGGGAGCGGCCCCGACCTCGCCCCCCTCCCGGGTGAGTGGCGCCACCTTGGGCCGGCGCGCCCCGGAGCCAGGAGAACGGAGCGGGTGCACGGCGCGGCGCTGGGGGTTATCAATCTCTCGGATCGATAAGTTGCCACTTGGAGAGGGGAGGGCTACGTCCCCTCGGAGACGAGTTACCCAGGGCAACCTTTCACGGAAAAACCCGCTGCCCGCCGAGAACAGCGCCGGGGCCGGCCGGGCCGCGGCGCCCGCCCCACGCAGGGTGCCCGCGCCCCGCCGCTCCCCAGCCTGCCGGCCAGCCGGGCCCGGCCCCGCTCAGCTCTCTCCGCGGTCCCGCCGGGCCCTGCTCGCCAACCCCGTGCTGGGCTGATTGCCGAGGTAGATGCCACCCACGCACCCCCGCGGCTGGGGAGCGCGAGCTGGAGGATGCGGAGAGGCCTGAGGCAGGGGGGCCAGGCGCGCGCGCCCTAGGCAGTCTCAGAGGTAGAGTCGGGTGACGGGCTAAACGCGACGCCTAGCTGGACACCCTGACAGCGGCAGCGGGCGAGCGAGGCTCCCCAGAGGGGCGGAGGCCAGGACCGAGACGTCCCCTAACTAGACCTAAGCCTTGAGGGCCGCCCCTCCCCAGGTTAGCGCTACCATCCCCAGGCCACAGTCCTCCCCAGCTTGTGCGTCCAAGAGTGTCCAACATCTCGGCCTTCCCGGAGGGAATAGGAGCCCCCCCCCCCACGCCCCCGCGGCCCAGGGATGGACGGAGTTGGGCTGAACCGGGGGTGCCAAGGGCCGAGGCGAGGGCAGGGGCCGCGAGGCGCCTGGGAAGGAGCCAGGAAGGAGGGGCAGAATCAGCCGCTCCCCCACCCCCGCCGGCGCCTGGGATCGAGGCCCGCGGAGAGTGGCTGACAGGCGGCAGATGGCACACGCTGGGGGAGGGGGACGATTGGCCTCGGCTCTGGGGTGCCCCCGCCGCGGGCTGCCTCTGCTAGAGGTAGGGGGCGGGGAACGGCCCCCAGCTCGCCCGCCCAGGCTTTCTGGGGGGCTGGAGATTGCGGATCCTGCCCAGCCGGGAGTCTGGAGAGTGAGGGGGCGGACAAAAGGAGCGCGGTGGGGAATGCGTGTGCGGGACGAAAGAGGGGCCGTCGGGGGAGAGGGGTGGTTGGAGTCCCACGGGGCTGCCCTTTTCCACCCCTAGGGGCCTGCTGAAGACTGAGGACGGAGGTGGGGGCAACAGGATGGGGAGCCCGCAATAGCCCATCCTGACCTAATCCGAAAGGACGAGATCCTGGAGCCGCTCACAAAGTTTTCCGGGCCCCCTCCCACGCGTCGCCTGCACGTATGTCCGTTTCCCGACGCTCCGCCCTCCCCCGCCAAGTTCGGCGTCTCCCAGCTCAGCGGCAGTCAGGGTGCAGAGGGAGCCCGACCTTGTCCCCGCCTCGGCCCGTCCCGCTTCTTCTGAAGCTTGTTTCATTTTTAACTCCTTCCAGAAAAATGTTGTTTTAAGGAAAATCTCAAAGGAACAAAAAGCCAATAGTGCCTTCCTTATTTGCAATCCCCACCCACCTCTGAGCTCGGACTGCAAGGGCCTCAAGGGACACCAGGTGACACCTGGGCCTTGCTTCTCACGGGTGACCTTGGACCAGAAAGGGTCATTTTCAGGTGTGTTTTATACCCCCCACCTGCCTACTTCTGGCAGGGAATAGGGGGTCCAGTCCCCTCCCCTATGAGAAGGGGCCCCTCTGGGCTCTCCTTCTTCGCCGGAAAGTGAACAGCTGCTCCTGCCCTGCTTGGAGGAGTGGCTGTGGAAACCCACTGTAAGCTGTAAGGAGCAGGAGCCACCATCATAAATGCAAGAGAAATTCCAAGTTGAGGTTTTTGAGAACAAGTAAGACTTTGCCCACAAAAAGGTGCATCTTCCTTCAAAGTCATAACTTGGCTGGAAGAGGGGAAACCTCTTGCCCAAGGCGGTGCCTTCCCCAACCATGCTCCTTAAGAATGTTTTTCCTACATGTGCAGCAACTGAGGCTTCTTCCTTGAATTTTCAAGAGGCAGGCGTCATTTTGAGCAGTCTGGTGAATGCACGAGGGTCTGGTGGGCTACAAAAACAAGATAGGACAATAAAGAAAACAAGGCAGTGTTCACTTTGTGGCCTCAGACCTATGATCCCTGCAGAGCTCCCAGAGTTGCTCAAGGGATGCTTTCCAGTAAGTGACCAAATGCCCACCTTGGCCAGGTGCCGTGGCTCACACCTGTAATCCCAGCGCTTTGGGAAGATGAAACGGATGGATCACCTGCTAGGGAGGCCCTGGCTTATGCCTGTCATCCCAGCACTTTGGGAGGCTGAGATGGGTGGATCATCTGAGGTCATGAGTTCGAGACCAGCCCCAGCAACATGTTGAAACCCTGTCTCTACTAAAAATACAAAAATTATCTGGGCATGGTGGCACGTGCCTTGGTGGCATATACCTGTAGTCCCAGCTACTCGAGAGACTGAGGCATGACAATCACTTGAACCTGGGAGGCCGAGGTTGCAGTGAGCTGAGATCATGCCACTGCACTCCAGCCTGGGTGACAAAGTAAGACTCCATCTCAAAAAAAAAAAAAAAGAAAAGAAAAAGAAAAAACAAATGCCCACCTTTTCCCCTTCCAGGCACACACACATCACTTACTTTAAATGACAACAGTCACTTGAATATATACGATCTGGAATGAGTGGTTTTTGTTTACTGCTTTATTACTTGAAACTCCCAGTCCCTACTGTGGAGAATTTGCATCAGCCTATGAGGAGCAGTCATTTTGGGGAGGGATGATTTATCCCTTCAGCTTTTCCCCAGAGAATAAGTTCACTGCTTTGTTCCTGTGTTTATTCAACATTTATTTATGATTTTGCACTTACTGTGTGCCAAGACTGAGGGTAAAACAATGAATGAGAAAGATCGCAGTTCCTCCCTGTTGGGGCTTGCCCTCTAGTTGTAGGGGGTAAGGGGGGTGGCTGACTTAATAAATGGCCACGCAAGGCCAGTCGCGGTGGCACACATCTGTAATCTCAGCACTTTGGGAGGCTGAGATGGGTGGATCACTTGAGGTCTGGAGTTCGAGACCAGCCTGGCCAACATGGTGAAAGTCTCTACTAAAAATACAAAAATTAGCTGGGCGTGGTGGTGGGTGTCTGTAATCCCAGCTACTCAGGAGACTGAGGCATGAGAATTGCTTGAGCCCAGGAGGCAGAGGTTGCAGTGAGCCAGGATCACGCCACTGCACTCCAGCCTGGGCAACAGAGTGAGACTCTGTCTCAAATAAATAAATAAATAGCCACAAAAATAATTATTTACTTATAGTTTTGATCAATCCTGAGAAGAAATTAAAATATAGTACAAAGAGGCCACAAAACAGAGTCTCAAAGGTGGTCTGCTGAGAGCCCTATGGAGGAGGAGGAAGGAGCCAAGCGGGGGGATGGAGAATAGAGTTCCCAGCTGTGAACAGTGTGTGCAAAGGGCCTGGGGCACAAAGGAGCTGGAGGCTTCTCAGCGAGAGTTGTCACAGCTCAGGCAAAGGCCACCATGGCCAGGCTTAGGAGCCAATTCCATCCATTTTCCAGTCCAGCTTCCCTCACCACCTAGCTGAAGAACCCGGAGCAAGGGAGCCCGTGTTCCAGTTTTGCATCTGCAAAATGAGAAAACGGATAGCACGGATCTCATAGGGTGGTCCTGAGGGTTTCTCATCTGTCCATGCTGCCTGTCTGGCCACAAGACAGCAGTCATCTGGCCTTCGCTGTCCTCCCTTACCTTTTCTCTCTCACCTTCACCACCTCCGAGGTCAATCATGTTCATAGAGATGCCAGTTACACAACTGCAGATCCCCTCCTTGCACCAATAAGTTCCTCTTTCTCCCTGGTATTTCCTTGATTCAGACTTGCCCTTGCTTTCTAGAAGCTTTCTATCTTCTTTATGTCTATTGAGAAGGTTTTGTGCATTTGCGTTTTATTATTTTATTTATTTGTTTATTTATTTTTTGAGACAGAGTCTTGTTGTATCGCCCAGGCTGGAGTGCAGTGGCACGATCTCGGCTCACTGCAACCTCCGCCTCCCAGATTCAAACAATTTACCTGCTTCAGTCTCCCAACTAGCTGAGATTACAGGCATGCGCCACCATGCCCAGCTAATTCTTTTGTATTTTTAGTAGAAATGAGGTTTCATCATATTGGCCAGGCTAGTTGTGTTTTATTTTAATGATGCATCTATCTGTAGAATCCAAGTTTCCCTGAACACTCCTGTTCTCAGGGTACTGAGGAAGCAATGACCATGCTCTCTGGTCAAGCCTTCCAGGAGATGGCCTAGCAGCATGATTGTTAACCAGCAGCTGCCACAAGCCCAGGTCTTCCTCACCTCTTCATCATTATTTGCAGGGTTCTTCTCACAAGACTTGGTCTTGAAGCTCCTGAGGGTTCAGAAGAGAGGAAGGCAAGATCGAAAAGAGAGTCCTTTCCTCTGCTTTTAGTTCTCAGCCTGGTGTTTTGAGGAGGGAAATCCCTGCAGATGCTCCTGAAATTCCCCAGAGGTCCCCATTGTCCCCCCCTCCCCATGACCACAACTCAAAGAGGCCAGCAGTGGACCCAGACATCTGCCTCTCTGGGGCTCTCTGGGGCTGTAGTAGCCTGGTGCCAAAAACAATAAGCCGGGTGTGGGAACCTCCTTGTCTTCTCTGGTTTCTGTTCAGCTGGGAAAGCCATTTCTATTTTATCATCATTATTATAATCATTTAATTCTTCAAACATCGGCAGTCTTTGCAGGGAACACCCACAAGGCAGCAAGGAAACCAACTTGGCGGGAGGATCCCCATGGACTCATACCCTCAGAAAGCTTGAAACTCCAGGCTCTGGCCCTGAGAGCATCTACCTCAACCACCTGTAGCTGCCCAGGTGTGCAGCACGCTCGAGCCTGGGGTCACTTGGCTCAGAGTCACTTGCTGCTTTGTTCTCTTAAAATACTTATTTTATAATGTTTGTGATTCTCTTTACAATTTTTTTTCAGTATGATTTTTGTAAATTTTAATACTTTTTTTTTTTTTGAGATGGAGTCTTGCTCTGTGTCACCCAGGCTGGAGTGCAGTAGCGCAATCTCAGCTCACTGCAACCTCCGCCTTCCAGGCTCAAGTGATTCTCCTGCCTCAGCTTCCCGAGTAGCTGGGATTACAGGCACCCACCACCATGCCCAGCTAATTTTTGTATTTTTAGTAGAGACAGGGTTTCACCATGTTGGGCAGGCTGGTCTCGAATTCCTGACCTCAAGTGATCCACCTGCCTCAGCCTCCCAAAGTGCTGGGATTACAGGCATGAGCCACTGTGCCTGGACTTTTTAAGAAAATGTTTAAAACTTCTGTTTAATGAATGTGATGTGATGTCAAATTCTTTCAGCTTTACCCAGAAGTGGTAAGGCAAAATGCTCTGTAGCATGCAAATTTCATGACTCAAACACTTCAGGACTGGTCACAAGTCCTTCCACCATCAGTAGCTTAACCAACCACCATCCAATCTAATTAGCAAACTGGACATCAAAAAATGTGATATGTTTAGCAGTGGGCTCTCATTGGTGAAACTGAAAGCACTCATGTACAGTTTAGCAAAAGTGATCCAGAGACACACCCCACCTTGCATGAACAGGGACTATAAAGCCAGAGAGGCTGGGATAAGCTGTATCTTTAAGGCGAACCCCCTGCACACATACCTTGAGCCCTAAGGGGCCCTGAGTCCAGCCATTGAGTAGGATTTCAGCTGCATGGTGCCCAGTAGAGGACACAGATTCCTGACTGGAAATGTGATGGGTATCTCCATAGTGTGCCTTTCACACTGGAACTGGTCAGAGAGTCTGGAAGGATAGAGAACTGAGACTTCATGGAGCTCACAAAAGTGGTTGCAGGATCTGTTTTGTGCTTAAAATGGTCCTACTTTGCTACTGGACATCCAGGTTTTTTATTTTTTATTTATTCATTTTTTTTTGAGACAGGGTCACACTGAGTTGCCCAGGCTGGAGTGCTGTGGCATGATCATAGCTCACTGTAGCCTCGACCTCCCCAGCACAAGCGATCCTCCCACCTCAGCCTCCTAAGTAGCTGGGACCACAGGTACACACCACCACACCCAGAGAATTTTTGTATTTTTTATAGAGACAGCGTTTCACCACATTGGTCAGGCTGGTCTCGAATTCCTGGCCTCAAGCAATCTGCCTGCCTCAGCCTTCCAAAATGCTAGGATTACAGACATGAGCCACAGTGCTCAGCCAATGTCTGTTTCATAATGGTCAGTGTGTGCGGCAGAATTTGGCCTTCAGTATCACCTGGTAGAGAGGTTGTGGGGGAGTAGAAAACCTTCATCCACCTCTGACCTCTTTTGTGACCACTATTATCTACTGAAAAGGATGAAACTGGCTTAGATCATTTTGGGGGGAAAAATCTGGTATTTATTTCTTTCCTTGTATAAATACTCTTTCCCCACCATCATGGAAAGAACCTACTAGATGCCCAGGCCTGGGAGAAATACCATGGAGATTTCAGAAGAACATCAGAAGAACATCAGCATGTGTGGTCCCTGTACCGGCACATATAATGCCCTTAGACACCCAATGCCTCCAGGAAGGAGGGAGAGAAAGAGGATTATCAGGGCTGAGTCTACACTGCTCCCCATTGCATCCCTAGTACCCTGCAGATGCTCAGAACTTAGGGGTGGCTTTGGGAGAAAAAACATCAATCTGTGTGGCACACAGAGGAAGTGCCCAAATACCTCCCTGGGCAATCAACCATTGTTATATGAAGGCTTTCTGCCGGACAACAGAGGCTGATTAGAAGGCTTTGAGCTGGGCATTCTTTCACACACCTGTAATCCCAGTTCTTTGGGAGGCCAAGGTGGGCAGATCACTTGAGGTCAGGAGTTCGAGACCAGCCTGGCCAACATGGTGAAACCCCATCCCTACCGAAAATACAAAAATTATCTGGGCGTGATGGTGTGCACCTGTAATCCCAGCTATTCAGGAGGCTGAGGCAGGAGAATCACTTGAACCCGGAGGTGGAGGTTGCAGTGAGCTGAGATCGTGCCACTATACTCTAGCCTGCGTGACAGAGAAAGACTGTCTCAAAAAAAAAAAAAAGAAAGAAAACAAAAGAAAGAAAGCTTGCCCACCCAACTAGGTCAAACACTCTTTCAGGGCAGAGCCCTCAATTTTGCTCTATACCCCTTTCACACAAGGGTGCCCACTGCCTGCCCAGTGAGTGCTGGTGACTGGAAAAGCTGGCAGGACACTGTCCAGAGGTCAGCAGTGGGCTCTAGACACACAGGGGAAAGAGCTGGTGAATTGAAATCCCAGCCTTACCTTGGGCAAGACAACCTTACCTATAAAATGAGAGGATAGTGTCCCTGGCACAGGGTGGTTGTAATCCATAAGACAATGTCACCATAGTGACCTGCCTCCATGATATGAAAGGGGCATGGAATCAGCTCATGCTGTAACACACCTAGCACGCAGCACTTTGCACATAGTAGGTGCTTGATCAATGTTCATTATAAAGTTTTGATTGTGGTTCCTTTTCAGTAATGGGTATGGCTGAGACTCTGCTGAGGGGGTGCTGACAAGGAAGTAAGCTCTTTTGCAAGGACCTGAACTAAGGCTAGAGAAGAGAGCAGGTAAGCAGCTTCCTGAGAGCCCCAGAACACAAGCACCTAGTTTTATTTGTTCCTCCGTTCCCTGGATTCCTTCCCTAGGGCCTTCATATTGTGAGGGCTTAATTCACATTAGCTATTGTTAATGTTTGTAGGCAGAGCACACACAACAGCCACTCAATCAGTTTAGGTTCCTGGCCGTGGTTCACACCCATAATCTCAGCACTTTGTGAGGTTGACTGCTTGATCCCAGGCATTCAAGAGCAGCCTGGGCAACATAGAGAGACCCCCATCTCTAGAAAAATAAAAATGGCCAGGTGTGGTGGCTCACACTTGTAATCCCAGCACTTTGGGAGGCCAAGGCAGGTGGATCTTTTGAGGTCAGGAGTTTGAGACCAGCCTGGCCAACATGGTGAAACCCATCTCTACTAAAAATACAAAAATTAGCCGGACATGGTGGTAGATACCTGTAATCCCAGGTACTCGGGAGGCAGAGGTTGCAGTGAGCTGAGATCATACTACTACACTCCAGCCTGGGTGACAGAGTGAGACTCTGTCTCAAAAATAAATGAATAAATAAATAAAAAATAAAAACCAAATTAGCCAGGTGTGGTGGTGTGTGCCTGTGGTTCCAGCTACTGAGAACCTGGGTGGAAGGATGGCTTGAACCCAGGAGTTCAAGGCTGCAGCGTGATATGATTGCTGGGTGACAAAGCAAGACCTTGTCTTTTAAAAAATAAAAAAGTTTAGGTTCCCTGGGTGGCCTTGGGCAAACCCTCTCAGTGCCTCAGTCTCCCCATTTGTGAAATCCCCCTGGTTCTCTGTCTGAAGGAAGAAGCACATCTGGGCTTATTCCTACCCTCTGGCCCAACCAGCACCAGGCCACAGTTCAAAGCCTGAGGAGCAGAGGAAATTCAGGGAAAAGGCCACCAAAGGGAGGTTATGGGGCTTGGGCCCCACTGGGATGGGAGCAGATGGGGCAGGACTCAGACCTCAGTGGACACAGCCCGGTGCAGTAATTCCCGGGGCTGCCGCTGCCTCCGCTGAGCGGCCCAGCCCCATCCTGGCCATGCGCTTTGGGACATGCCAGGGCCTGGCTTCCCAGGGGCCAGAGGGAGCTCCCGCAGGGGACTTCAAAAGCCCAAATGCCTTTCAGAAAGGAACTAAAACTTTCTGCTTAACCAAAGCCTCCACAGGAGAAGAACAGGCCTAGCCCTTTTCTTTTTAAGTCTCTTTATTTTCCAGCCGGCTGGCCTGGTCATTCTCTTTTTTTCCTATTATAAACGGTCCCAGCTGCAACACACAGGGAAAAAAAAAAAAAAAAAAAAAAAAAAACATCTCCCAGGCCTGGGCAGGGGCCGGTTGCAGCCGCAGCCGCCTGCCTGGCCTCCTGCAGCAGACAAAGGCGGCTCTGGCCTCCGGCACCCACTGGGAGAGGCCCTGGAGCCCCTGCCCAGAGCCAAGACCATAGCAGGAGTAAGGGGAAGATTCAGGAAGTTTCTGCCTGCACTCCAAACCTTCTCCTGCCCCTGGGAGCAGAGCCACCATTTGGCCAAGCCAAGGACTTCTGGAGGGCCTGTTTGTCAAGGGCAGAAAATGAACAATTAGGTCCCCCTTACAAAAGCAACAGGATTCTGGGTCTAAAGGACCTGGAAGGGCCTTATGAGATGATCTAGCCTTGGATTAGAAAGATGGAGAAACTGATGTCTAGCAAGGAACAGATTTGCCCAAGGTCACATTGCCAGCTAATGGCAGAGCTGGCCTTGGAGCCAGTACTCTCAATTCCAAAACCAGATAACAAAGAAATGTTGGGGGAGGGAAGGCAGGTGAGGGAACTGAACATCCTGAAGTTGCTAGATGTTGGTGGGGGGTAGGTGTCAGGGTGTCATTGCTTTTAGTCCTGGGTGAGACCGACATCTGGTGATCTGAATGCAGACAGCCCGCTTTGAACTCAGCTCCTCTGCCTCCCAGCAAGTAATTTCATTTATCTGTGCCTCAGTTTCCTCATCTGTGAAAATGGGGGTATACTCATATCTACCAGGTAGAGCTGCTGTAAGGATTAAAGGAGCCTATAGATAAAACACTTAGAATAGTGCTGAAGAAAGTGACATCTTACTATCACAAATGCTTTCTTCACCTAACCCATGTTTGCAACCTCCGGTGGGGGCCCTGCTGTGACAGCCACTGGGCCAGTGGTGGGCACCAGCTGGGCAAGGCAGAAAAGCCCCTGGTCTGATGGAACTGCCTGGTCATGGCGGGGGGAGTGGGGGGTCACACTAACTGACACGCTGGCTTGTTAGCCCAGAGCCGGCACGTAGCACACGCTAATCTTCCATTCTCCTAGTGGGAGGTTAGCAGGGACCACAAACTCAGCTGTCCCCAGCTGTCCCCAGATCCTAACTGACCAGGCAGGAGAAGGCAAGCAGGCTGGGATCTGCGTGGAGTCAAAGGGAGTGTGTTCCCTGCAAAGACGGGGGAAGCCACCCTGCAGTGCCCCTTACAGACTGTAACCATGTTTCTAAGTGGGACTAAGCCCCAGGCCCACAGTTTGCGACCTCCCCAGCCTGGTGAGTCTGGCTCATTCTCGTTGCCTGCCACGGTGCCAGGGAGGCAGGGGTGGTGTGTGAAGAAGAGGGAGCCCTTATTCTGGCGCTCTTGCGGTGTTCCATTCCCCCGCCGCCCATTCCCACCCCAAGAGGCTCTCCAACTTTGCACCACCTCCCAGCGCTAGAAGCGGAGCGGCCCTGGGCATGGTCTGCGAGCTAGGGGTGCGGGGCCGCCGGCGGGCCGCAGCCAGGTGCCCCTCGCTGCTCTTGGCTCTTGCACTCTCGCCAAGCCCCGTGAGCAGCGCGGCCCAAGCTCCCGCAGTGGCCCGTGAGCAGCGCGGCCCAAGCTCCCGCAGTGGCCCACAGGGACACTGCCTCCCGTGGGGCGCCAACCCGCTCTCAAAAAGCCAGCAAGCCCGAAAACAAACTCTCCTGATCTTCTGCCCTGGGAACCCCATGGACCTCACAGAAACCTTGTCTGAAGCAGGAGGTGGGAGGAAGAGGACCCAGATCCCCTGGGCTAAGGACAGCCCCCTCCTTTCCACGCTTTTCTCCCAGCGCCCCACTTCCAAGGCCCAGCCCAATATCCTGCAGAGTGGTCTTCCTGTACCGTTTAAGTTCACACCCATGATGCAGTCATTATCTCCATTTTTCGTGAGAAAATCGAGTCTCAGAGAGGCCATGTCACTGGTCCAAGGTCACACAGCCCTTAAGGAATAGAGCTGGGATGGAAATCAAGGCAAATCTTCCTCCAAAGCTGGAGGTGTTCGCCTGCCCAGCCAGTTAATTTCAGTTTCTGTAACTTGCCTGAAGCATAGTTGACATATTGATTTTAGATGGATGGACGTTTAGATAGACATATAAACAGATAGATAAAGATGGCATCTGGGAACCACAGACGATTATATCAGGTGTCAGGTTGGGGGCACAGCATGTCCTTCCTCTAAATCTCCATCAACCCCCAAATTCTTTTGTGTTCATGGTTAATTAGGAAAGATTTTGAACATGCAGAAAATAATAATAGCTGATACTTATGTGCACCTAATAGATATGAAAATGTTACATTTGTTGGGGAGTGGGGTGGTGGAGTGGGGTGGGTTAGTTGATATGGACAACTGATGTTTTCTCAATCTTACTCAAATGTAGCTTCAAGTCAAATCACCTAGGTTCCCTGTACCCCTCCAACTAGACCTAAGCCCATTTAAGAATGCTGCTACAGGGGTCAGGGGCCTGCAGGGGTAACCAGCAGGGGGTCAGGGGCCTGCAGGGGTAACCAGCAGGGCTGGGAAAGCCTCCAGTGTTAGGTATTCATCAAAGCTGCAGGGGCCTTGACTGAAATATCAGATCTTGAACATACCACCCTTAGGAGAAAGGCCCTATGAACAGACAGCAGAGATAGCAAGGGTCCTGATTTACAGGGGTGCAACCTGAGGCTGGAAAACGACTTGTCTGGGGCCAAAGATTCCGCCCTTTCTTTCTCTTCTCCACCCCTGCTTCCCTGTTTCCCCCTTGCTTCCCTTGGAAGAGTAGATGCAGAAAGGAAGGCGGCACCTGTTGAGGGAGGGGCCCTGGAAGATGAAACTCCTGGCAAGAGGGAAGGAGCCAGGCTATGCCTGGCTTCCAGGGAAGAAGGCTGCAGGGCCCTGGGGGTCAGCTGCCCTGCCTGCTTCATGGGGCTTCAGGGCTCTGTTGGCCCCTGCAGAGATGCTGAGCAGGGATACCCAGCAGAGCATCTGGAAATTGGGAGGGGGGTGTTCACAGGCACCCTCAGGAACGACAGACAGGCAACATGTCAGGCAGGTTTGTATCCCTAGACATGAGGAAGGGGCCGCCTGCCACCATGGGATGTCCACCTGGATCAGGAGGTAGATGGTGACTCTCAAGCATAAGACCCTCCGTCTCTTTCTTTGGACACTCCCCGCACACGCACACTTTTTGGGGGTCATTCTTGTATGAATATATCTGTCCAGCTAGCCTCAAGGTTTGGGAATCTGGAACCAGAAATGCAGAACCCTCTCCTGGGCAGGTCCCTGGACTCACTTGAACTTTCAGAGAAGCCACAGGGTCAAAGCAGTGAGATGATAGCAACAAGAATAATACTAAGAATAACAATTTAGGAATTTTTCTGTTGCAAATGATTTTTTTAAAAAAATCTGGCTTAAACAAAAACTGTGTGGTTCCAGATTCAGGCTTGAGAGGATCCAGATATTCAAATCATATCACAAAGGACACCATCTCTCCATCATTCAGCCTGGCTCTCCTGCATAGTGGCTTCATTCTCAGACTCCACACAGTGACAGCATGGCTGCCAGGGTCCAGCTGTCCTGACAGTTTCAAGGTCAATGAGAAAGAGTCGGCCAGATGTGGTGGCTCATGCCTGTAATCCCAGCACTCTGGGAGGCCAAAGTGGAATGACTGCTTGAGCCTAGGAGTTTGAGACCAGCCTGGACAACATAAAGAGACCCCATCTCTACAAAAAATAAAAATAAAAATTGGCCGGGCATGGTGGTGTGTGTCTGTAGTCCCAGCTACTCAAAAGGCTGAGGTAGGAGGATGGCTTGAGCCCAGGAGGTTGAGGCTGCAGTAAGCTACGATTTAGCCACTGCACTCCAGCCTGGGTGACAGAGCAATTCCCTGCCTCAAAAAAGAAAAGAAAGAGTGAGCCTCTTTCTTCAACTGTTTTTTGTTTTTTTCTTTGAGATGGAGTCTCGCTCTGTCACCCAGGCTGGAGAGCAATGGCGTGATCTCAGCTCATTGCAACCTCTGCCTCCCAGGTTCAAGTGATTCTCCTGCCTCAGCCTCCCGAGTAGCTGGGATTACAGGCATGTGCCACTATGCCCGGCTAATTTTTGTATTTTTTGTAGAGTCGGGGTTTCACCATGTTGGCCAGGCTGGTTATAAGCCTGGCCATTAGATTATAAGCTCCATGAGGACAGGGACTTCTTGAATCTTATTCACGGCTCTGTCCTCTGTACCTAGAGCAAACCTAGAACAGCAAAGGCACTGAAACAATTTTTTATTGGAAAGAACACAATTTTACCCTCCCAGAAGCAGAAAATGTGGAGGTGGAGGGAGCAGACAGTTGTTCTCAAGCTCTGACCAGCTCACCCAAGATAAAAACAATGTTATCCTTGGTCCCTGTCACTAGCTTCTCATTGTTTATATGCAAATTTGCTTTTGCACATTTACAATAGTATCTTGTATAAGACATTAGGTTACATGTTTTCAGTTAACATTATGCAGTAGATACTTTTCCATTTGGGTTGTAGACCAAGCTGTTTTCCCCCTTACTTATCTAGCCTTTTCCCACTCCTCACTTCCAAGGCCAGCAGCCTGGTTTCCATGCTCACAGGTCATACACAAACAGAAGTACCTGTATGGGAAGGGGCTGGGCTGGTACTAGCGTGATAAGGTGCTTCACACTGAAGAGGCTGGTCACTTGCCCACCTCTGGCTCTCCTCACTGGACTTAACTACACATCCTAGAAGCCCTTCCAGGCACTTGGAATAGTGCTAACTAGGGCGGGCGCGGTGGCTCATGCCTGTAATCCCGGTACTTTGGGAGGCCAAGGCAGGCGGATCATGAGGTCAGGAGTTTGAGACGAGCCTGGCCAATATGGTAAAACCCTGTCTCTACTAAAACCACAAAAATTAGCCGGGCGTGGTGGTGGGCGCCTGTCCTCCCAGCTACTTGGGAGGCTGAGGCAGGAGAATCACTTGAACCCGAGAGGCGGAGGTTGCAGTGAGCTGAGATTGCACCACTACACTCCAGCCTGGGTGACAGAGAAAGACTCCATCTCAAAAAAAGAAAGAAAGAAAGAAATAGTGCTAACTCATCATTTTTTCATGGCCACATAATACTGCACATGTAAATGTATCACAATTAAACTTTTCATCTTGGGTATAAATGTTTCCATGCTTTTGTTCCTTCATAAAAACACTTTAAGGGCTGGGCATTGTGGCTCACATCTGTAATCCCAGCATTTTGGGAGGTTGAGATCAGAGGATAGCTTGAGCATAGGAGTTCAAGATCAGCCTGAGCAACACAGCAAGACCCCATCTCTACAAAAAGTTTAAAAATCAGTGGGACATGCTGGCATGTGCTTGTAGTTCCACTTACTCAGGAGGCTAGGGCCACAGGGTGGCTTGAGCCCAGTTCGAGGCTTCAGGCATTTCACTCCACTCCAGCCTGGGTAACAGAGTAAGACCCTGTCTCAAACACACACACACACACACACACACACACTTTAATAAGTATCCTGGTATATTTACCCTTAAGTCTCAGGATGGAATCTCAAGAGTGCGACTGCCGGAAAAAGGGTATGTTTTTTGGTTTGTATGGTTTTGTTTATACAGGTTGAATATACCTAATCTGAAAATCCAAAGTCCAAAATGCTTCAAAATCCAAAACCTTTTTTTTTTTTTTTTTTTGAGACAGAGTCTCGCTCTGTCACCCAGACTGGAGTGCAGCGGCGCTATCTCCACTCACTGCAAGCTTCGCCCCCCGGGTTTACGCCATTCTCCTGCCTCAGCCTCCCGAGTAGCTGGGACTACAGGGCCTGCCACCACGCCCGGCTAATTTTTTTGTACTTTTAGTAGAGACGGGGTTTCACCGTGTTCGCCAGGATGGTCTCGATCTGCTGACCTCATGATCCACCTGCCTTGGACTCCCAAAGTGTTGGGATTACAGGCGTGAGCCACCGCACCCAGCCAATCCAAAACTTTTTGAGTGCTGACATGATTCTCAAAGAAAATGCTCACTGAGGCATTTCAGATTTCAGATTTTTGAGTTAGAGATGTTTAACTGGTAAATATAATGCAGATATTCCAAAATCTGGAAAAAAAAAAAAAAGAAATCTGAAACATTTTTGGTTCCAAGCATTTCAGACAAGGGCTACTCAACCTGAATTAATATATACTGCCAAGTTTCTTTTCCCCTCAAAGCCATAACAATTCCTATTTGCACCAACTATATATGACAGTGCCTTCTCCCCCAGATTCCCCCAGGACTATCACCCATTTTATTTTTGCTGATCTCATGGCATACTAGTGGCATTTTATGTGGCTCTAATTTGCATTTTTCTGGACCAAGAGTCATATTGAGTTTCTTTTCATGCATTTTTGGCTATTTGAGTTTCCTCTTCTGCAAAACACATGGTTGTATCCTTAGCTCGTTTTAGGATGTGGTCAATCCAGAAGAGCACTCTGACTATGCACTTACCTCAGTGGATCAGAGTTATTTATGTTCCAGAAGGCTGTGAGCTCCACCCGGCAGGGGCTGTATCTTATTCCTCCTGCACTAGCACCAGCACCAAGCTCAGCACCTTGCACACAGGATTTCAGGAAGCACTGAATGAAGAAAGGAGCCTCTGGCAGCCCTGGGATGCCCCAGCAGGCCCAGTCACCAGGGCAGGCTGCTGGGGGATCTGAGCACATTCTTACACTGAGGGTTATGTGTTATTTCTCCCAGCCCATGGTCACCCCTTGCTAGGACCTTTGAAGAGCTCCTTGGCAAAGCCGAGTGGAATCTCATCATGGCAAGTGCCCCCAGTGAGCCTGGGGCTCCTCTGCCTCCTCTCTCTTCTTTCCCCCAGGACAGGAAGATCCAAAGCCAACAACCCCTTGGCCATGGAGCACCCTCTCCCCAGAAGGTCAGGGAATCCATTCCCTCTCTCTCTCTTTTTTTTTTTTTTTTTTTTTTTTGAGTCTCACTCTGTCGGCCAGGCTGGAATGCAGTGGCACCATCTCACTCAATTCACTGCACCCTCCACCTCCTGGGTTCAAGCGATTCTCCTGCCTCAGCCTCCCAAGTAGCTGGGATTACAGGTGTGTGCCATCATGCCCAGCTAATTTTTGTATTTTTAGTAGAGACAGAGTTTTGCCATGTTGGCCAGGCTGGTCTTGAGCTCCTGACCTCAAGTGATCTGCCCACCTTGGCCTCCCAAAGTGCTGTGATTGTGGGTGTGAGCCACTGCGACTGGCCCCAAGGAAGCCATTCTCAAAATCCTTCCAGCCACTTCACTGCCTGCTGTGAGTCTGCCAGAGGGGGAGGGAAGGAATGAAGACCCCCCCTCCAAGTGATGACACCAAGTTGCCCCTCCCTAGGGTGTGATTTGGCTGGATAGAAAGGATCTGGTTTGGACCATGTGAGTGCCTCACCTAAAGCAAGGCCAAACTCAGCAGGAGCAGCTTCCCTGTGGCCAGTCTGATTTTTGGTCCCCGCTTAAGGAGACTGAGGGGTCGGGGGTGGGCAAATTCCTTCTTCTGATCTCCGAACGAGCATCTGCTTGAATCACTACAGACCCCCATGCCAAGCTCAGGAACATTGGAGCCTCTGCCTCACAACTGCCTGGGACCAAACTCATTCATGCAACAAATACTTATTGGGCATCTATTATGTTCCAGGCAGAGTTCCAGGCACTAGGGATACATTAATGATCCAACAGGCAAAAATCTCTGCACTCTTGCAGCTGACCTTGTCCAGCAGGGCTTGACAAATTTTTTCTCTAAAGGCCAGAGAGTAAACATTTTTGGCTTTTCAGGCCATAAGGTCTCTGTTGAACTGACTTAACTGCCTTTGTAGTGTGAAAACACCCATGCATGGGTGTGGCTGTGTTCCAATAAAACTTTATTTATGGACACTGAAATTTGAATTCTGTGTAATGTTCATGTGTCCTGAAATATGAGTGTTTCTTTTTCTCTTCCCCAACCATTAAAAATTTGTAAAGCACTCTTAGCTCAAGGGAGGGCTGTATAAAAACAGGTGGTGCCAACCTCTGTTCTAGAGGGATAATAAAAACTGAAACTTACACAGCACTTATATGTGCCAGGTACTGTTCCAGTGCTTATGTAAATTGACTCATTCAATCCTTACACAAACCCTGGGAGGCGTGCAATCATTGCTGGCCCCACTTTACAGAGAAGGCAAGAGGCACACAGAAATTGACATAAAGTTATATTATTAGAAAATTGTGGGGCCAGGATTTGCATCCAGATCCAAAGTGTATGGTTTTATACACTATTCTATACCTTTGCCTCCAAAAAAATCCAACAAAATCATAAACAGCTGTCTTTGTTTCTTTGGTTTTTTTTTTTTTTTTTTTTTTTGAGATGGAGTCTTGCTCTGTTGCCCAGGCTGGAGCGCAGTGGCGCGATCTTGGCTCACCACAACCTCCGCCTCCCAGGTTCAAGTGATTCTCCTCCCTCAGTCTCCAGAGTAGCTGGGACTACAGGCACGTACCACCACGCCCGGCTAATTTTTGTATTTTTAGTAGAAACAGGGTTTCACTATGTTGGCCAGGCTACTCTCGAACTGACCTCGTGATTTGCCCACCTCGGGCTCCCAAAGTGCTGAGATTACAGGCGTGAGCCACCACGCCCAGTCCAGCTGTCTTTGTTTAATATCTATTATGCCCAGATACTCCGAGGCACTAAATGTACAATAAAAGAAATAGACGCAAACAGCCTTATAAGACATATGACCCACTTCACAGTGGTCAGCTCAAGGAGAGGACACCCCTTCCCTGGGCCACTCTGCCCCCCTGCTCTCAGTTTCCTTGCCTTGCCCACCTTCCCTACAGTGCCCTCCAAACACCCTGCTCCACAGCCTTCCACATGCTGGCTAAGCTACAACTTGAATTCCAAAACCAGAATGATGTCGGCATCATTGTAACACACCCAGATATTTGAGGAAGAAGATTCAAAGCTAAACAGCCCAGGAAAGAGACAAAGACTAGGGAGGTTTCCAGGGCCTGAGAAAGCCTTTTGTGGGTAGGGCTGTGGTACAGGCACGGGGAGGTGGACTCTAAAAGAACCACTTCTTTGGTGTACCTCCCTCTATTCTCCCCTCTCTCCCAATGCTAGCAAGGCCTCCGGGTCTTTAAGAGGGGAAGGGGGAAGCAGGTGAACGCTTCTCGACTTCCAGAACACGGGGGAAAATGCCTCTGGCATTAAACAAAGCCTTTTTATATTTAATGCCAGCCCGGGATTTTCAGAAAACTTTCCCCAAGAGTCACTGAATGTGTGTGCACAAAAAATTACACACCAGTGTCTAAGCAGAGTTGGATGCAGAAACACGCACTTGTGCACGCTGAAACATCCAGCTGGGTCCACGCAGCCGCGGCTGCCCGCGAACCGCGTGTTCATCTGCGTGCTCGCACGCTCGGCGGGACTTGTTGCACGCTCGGGTGCAGCCCGGGCTGGGGGAGTAGGCTCCCCCAGGAATTCCAGAGCCACGGGGGGTGGGAGGAGAAGGAAGCCGTCGCAGCGGGGGTGGGAGGAAGGAGAGGGGAGGAGGGCGAGAGAAGAGGGAGCCCCCAAGCTGGAAGAACAGGGCGCAGGCCCGAGGCCGGGGGCTCCGAGGCCCCGGTCCCCAACTGAGGAGCCGCCCAGCTGGCCGAGTAGGGGAGGACCGAGCGGCGGGAGGCAGGAGTGAGATCAGAGGGTCGAGGGGCCAGCCCAGGGGGCGGGAGGGGGCAGGGACACAGGAGGGAGCTGGGCGGGGGCCGCTTAAGGGTCAGGGTGCGGCGTGGCGGGCGAGGGGCGGGAACGGCTGGCTAGGGTTGTTCCCAGGGCAAGCAGCTGGAGACCCGCCCCGGGAGGCGTCTGAGAGGGCCGGGAGGACCAGCGGTCAGCGCGGGAGCTCGGGCGCCCCCTGCCGCCAGGCCTGGGCATGGGCCCCGCAGGCCTTGGAGATCCTCTCCAGCCGGGATCCGAGAACCCAAAGCCCCGCAAACTGCGCAGGCCCAGTAGGGGCTCGCAAACCGGGGGCCCCAGGGTTCTCACTGGCCAGCATACTTGTGTAGAACTTTGTTTTTTCTTTTTGGAGACAGGGTCTCACTCTGCCGCCCAGGCTGCAGTGCAGTGGCACAAACACAGCTGACTGCAGCCTTGACTTCCCTGCCTCAAGCCATCCTCCCACCTCAGCCTCCTGAGTAGCTGGGATTACAGGCGCACGCCATCACGCCCGGCGTTTTTTTGTTTGTTTGTTTGTTTGTTTGTGTTTTGTTTTTTGGGTTTTTTGTTTGTTTGTTTGTTTTACAGGCAGGGTCTCCCTATGTTGCCCAGGCTGGTCTTGAACTCCTGAGCTCAAGCGATCCTCCCACCTCGGCCTCCCAAAGTGTTGGGATTACAGGCATGAGCCACCGCACCTGGCCTGTTTTGTTTTTTGTTTTTTAACATGAGTCCCAGTCTTTGTAGCTGGAGCCTGGGCTCTTTAGGTCACCACATCACTCCCCAAACACCCCGCTGTAAACCCAGCCCTTCTTTCAGTCGCTCACCCAGCCCCTGAAGGCATCCCCTGCTCTAATCTTGGGAGTCAGATACACCTAGGTCCTGGGTTCCAAAATGAGCTGGGCTCCTCTCAGACTGTGTCTCCCTGAGGGAGCACCATCTGTCAAATGGGCCAATTATACCTACTCTCTCAGGCTGCCTGGGGGTTTCCCAGGGAAACACAGGTAGAAGCTTCGCCTTGAGTCAGTGCCTCCCCTCAAATAAATTGGGGTGAATATTGGGCATTCACAGTGAAGACAGGCCCAGCCAATATGATGTTCAAGAAAGCAGGTGATGCTGAGACTCAGAGCAGAGAACATTAAACCTCACAGCTGGCCAGAGGCAGAGGTGGCGCCCAGACTCACATGCTCCAGCCCCCAACCTGGGGAAACTTTCCACTGTCTCAGTCCTGAAAGCCAAAGGGTTTGTTTTCCAAAGCCAGGTTCAAGCATCTAAGTCAAAAGCAGCTTCCAATTGCTTTTCCATCCTCACTTCACTGGGCACCTTTTTAATGTGCCAAGCCCTTTACCTAAGAGAATGCTGCCTATATGCCCACTGCCCCACTGCTCAGATAGCTAAGACAAGGCTCAGTGACGGAACCTACCCCAGCCACCCAGCCACCCAGCCAGCCCAGGATTCAGCCCTTCAGCTGCGCCTCAAGTTCCTCAAGATGCTCCACCCCTGGCCAGTAAGTCAGCATTCTGGGGGGAAGTGGAGAGTTAGCTTTTTTTTTTCCCCTAATCCCCAGGTAATTACAATGTGTACCCCTGGTGAGAACCACAGTACTGAATGTCAGGCAGAAATGTTCCAGTCTGGAGTTAGCAAGCGGTGGTCCCTGGGCCCAGCCTGGCTTACTGGCACATATCCTTAAATCCCCAGAGTAGTTCATAAAATTGTGAATTCATTACTAGCAGGTAAAAGTCAGGAAATTTCTTTTTTTTTTTTATTCTCTAAGTTCTGGGGTACGTGCAGGTTTATTACATATGTATACATGTGCCATGTTGGTGTGCTGCACCCATTAGCTAGTCATTTACATTAGGTATATCTCCTAATGCTATCCCTCCCCCCTCCCCCAACCCACGACAGGCCCCAGTGGATGGTGTTCCCCACCCTGTGTCCAGGTGTTCTCATTGTTCAATTCCCACCTATGAGTGAGAACATGCGGTGTTTGGTTTTCTGTCCTTGCGATAATTTGCTCAGAATGATGGCTTCCAGCTTCATCCATGTCCCTGCAAAGGACATGAACTCATCCTTTTTTATGGCTGCATAGTATTCCATGGTGTATATGTGCCACATTTTCTTAATCCAGTCTATCATTGATGGACATTTGGGTTGGTTCCAAGTCTTTGCTATTGTGAATAGTGCCACAATAAACATACGTGTGCATGTGTCTTTATAGCAGCATGATTTGTCATCCTTTGGGTATATACCCAGTAATGGGATGGCTGGGTCAAATGGTATTTCTAGCTCTAGATCCTTGAGGAATCACCACACTCTCTGCCACAGTGTTTGAACTAGTTTACAGTCCCACCAACAGTGTAAAAGTGTTCCTATTTCTCCACATCCTCCCCAGCACCTGTTGTTTCCAAAAGTCTGGAAATTTCACACCGAAATCTGGATTTCTGATTTTTTCTCCAACAGTTGGAGAACCAGAAGACACTGATTACTGACTTATGTTCCCTTTCGCTGTGTAGACAGGGACACTCAGGGCAGAGAGGGGCAAGGTGTGTCCAGATACTCCCAGGTCGGATTCCAGGTACAGAACTGGAACTCGGAAATACCCAGGTTTCCCAACTCTGGGTCCTGTGCTCATTTTTGACCCATGCAACTACCAACTGCCACTGAATCATTCTGAGATGAACCCCCCTGTAAAGAACACCCCCTTCCCGAGACAAGCAGGAGTGGTGCCTCTGTATGTCACCTAGGAAAGCCCCACGCCCAGCAAGCCCAATGGCCTCCACTGCCACATACCGTTTCCTGCTTCAGAAACTTGCAGCAGGACATGTAACTCAGAGCCAAGAGGGTGCAGCACATGAGGCCACATCTACATGGACACTTTAAACATCCTAATACCTGCAGTTGGGTGCACTGTGCTAGCTATTGGGAGCTATCAGGGGTCAGAGTGGAAGTCCACGGGTAGAAGGGGATATTCTGGGGCAAGAGGCAGGACAGACACCAAGGAAACAGATACCCAGGTGAAAACAGCCACCTTGATTCACACTCTCAGCCCCTTGGGATGACAGAGGAGGCAGGGATCTCTTTCTCCCCGTTCTACAGAAGGGCAAATTGAGGATGGAACAGTCTTAGAAAGCAGAAGGGGAGAGCTGAGAGGGACCTTGGGATCTGAACTTGTGCATGAGTGGCAGATGTGTTTCATTTCACATGCCACCTGTGATTGACTGCTATTGCCTGCCCCAGACATTGGGGGACAACCAGTTTCCAAGCGGGCCCAATGAAAAAGAGGACCAAGATCTGTTGGTCTACAGCCACAGGCTGGGGAGGGTGAATGGGCAGGGAGATAGGAAAGTATTTCAAGCCGAGAGGATGCGCCAAGGCCTGCAGGGCCCACAGAGACTGGCACATTTGAGGAGAAACAGCGTGGCCTGGGTGGGCAGGAAGGGGGTCAGATCGGGCAGACCACGGGGCCAGTTAAGAAGCTTTGGTTCATCCTATTAATGGGAGCAGTACAAAACCACTTAAAAGGATTTTAGGGGGTAAGCAGCAACTGAGGACAGAGAGCTCCTGTAGGCTGCAGAGATAGGGCAAGACCAGTGAGAGGCCGTCCCAGCTGCCAGATGAGAGACGATGGTGCTAGGACAGTGTGGCCAGATGGGTGCGGAGACCCAGAGACCTCCCAGCCCAGCACTGGCCAGATGACAGAGGCCTGTGGGTGGCCAGCTGGGAGCAAGAGCTTCTAGTCTCATAAGTCAGATTGGGAGCTGCTTAACCCTTTCTTGGTCCCTGGCTCTTTAAAACAAACAAACAAACAAACAAACAACAGCTCAGATGCCCATGGCCAAAGTGAGTGAGGCGGTAAGGGGTACACCTGGAGCCACCCAGCATGTTTTGCTGTTTTAGTCTGTGGTCTAAAGAACCATGGACCCACCCCTCCGGCCTTAGCAGGTAGAGGGGCTGACAGTGGGCCCTCCAAGCTGACGGGATCTGCTGGATTTTCTCGCCTCTGCCATAAACCACCCACCTTCTCATTATGGCATGCAGAGGATGCAGGAAGTGTGGGCTAGACACCGCTTACCAGGTGGAGAGGATATGGAGCAAGGACATTCGTTTCTGGACATAAGTTGTTGTTGTTGTTGTTGTTGCTGTTGAGACAGGGTCTCGTTCTGTTGCCCAGGCTAGAAGGCAGTGGCGCCATCATAGCTCACTGTAGTCTCAATCTCCTGGGCTCAAACAATCCTCCCACCTCAGCCTCCCAGGTAGCTGGGACTACAGGCACACGCCACCACACTGGCTAATTTTTTAAGTTTTTTGTAGAGACAGGGTGTTGCTGTATTGCCCAGGCTAGTCTCAAACTTCTGAGCTCAAGCGATCCCCCTGCCTTGACCTCCCAAAGTGGTGCGATTACAGGGCATGAGCTACCACCCCTGGCTGGACATAGATCTTTCCAGAGAGGGCCACAGGTCTCCCAAGATGTCCCTCACAGCCCTCCTTGTCATCTGGGACTCGGCTCATGGAGCGGTTTTCCGATGTACGTGGCTGTTACTGCAGCAGGTGTGGTGCTGCGGCAGCATTTGTGGAGGCCAGCACAGGCCTATACCCCGCAGACACACCACGCAGGGTCATGGTCCCCTCCCACAGCCCCAGGCAAGTCCCATCTCCCTCCTGGAGCTCCTTGGTGTGGGGAGCCAGAGGACCAGACCTGAGGTTGTCGGAAGGGCAGGGGTTTCCTCCCTATTCTGCCCTGTGTATCCTTGGGCAAGTGACTTATCTCTCTGAACCTCACATCCCCTGCTCTGCCCAATGCTCATGGCTGCAGGGAGTATTCGAGGCAGAAATGAATGGAGAGGGTAAGGCCTGGAGATAACCTCAGGCCGAGTGCAACTTGAACGTGGTTCCCAAACAAACATCCAGAGCCCTGTGTTCAGAGCTGGGGCTGCTCCGGTCCCAAGGAGAGGCTCGAGGCAGCAGAGGAGGCAGACCCCAAACAGATCTTGACCGCGTCGTGGCCAGCTGCAGTCCAGGAGTATGGCAGGCTAAGTCACAGAGGTGGCCGCTATGTGCCTGGGAAGCAGAGCAGGAGGCAGTGGGGCAGCATAGTTGAGTTCATTTGCAGTCAGCCTTGTTTGGGCTCGAATGTGGCCCCACTGCTTGCTAGCTGTGTGACCTTGAGCAAGTTACTTAACTTCTCAGAACCTCCATTTCTACATCTGTGAAATAAGAAAAATAAAAGCCAACACTTAGTGAGCACCAACCATGTTCCAGGAACTTCTCTAAATCCTTTTTAAGCCTAAATCATTCCTTAAAACCACCCTGGGGTATGGTACTACTCCCGCCCTGGAGAACAGATGAAGGAACGAAGGCCCAAAGAGGCAAAGTAATTTCACCAGGCCACACAGCTGGCAGGTGGCAGAGCCAGGTTGGCCACAAGGTCCCTGATCCCTAGGGTTAGTGAGGATCATGAATGGTGACACGTGGATCAGGCTTGTCACTACGGCTGGCACCTGGTTAGCCTGCAGTGTGTCTTGGCTGGTGTTATTGCTGTGAGGGTGGCTGCATTTGTTTCTAGGGCTGCCATAACAAAGTACTGCAGACTGCACAGCTTCGGCATGAGAAATTTACTTTCTCACGATTTTGGAGGCCGTAAGTCCATGGGCAAGATACTGTCAGCAGGGTGGTTTCTTGCGGGAGCTCTCTTCTTGGCTTGTAGAGGCTGTCCTCTCCCCAGCCTGCGTGGTCTTCCCTGAGCACGAGTCTATGTCCTCATCTCTTTTTTTTCTCTCTCTCTCTCTCTTTTGAGACAGGGTCTTGCTCTGTCACCCAGGCTGGAGTGCAGGGGTGCAATCTTGGCTCACTGCAACCTCCACCTCCAGGGATCAAGCCATTCTCCCACCTCAGCCTCACGAGTAGCTGGGAGTACAGGCATGCATCACCACGCCCGGCTAATTTTTGTACTTTTTGGTAGAGATGGGGTTTTGCCATGTTGGCTAGGCTGGTCTTTAATTCCTTACTGCAGGAGGATCTGCCTGCCTTGGCCCCCTAAAGTGCTGGGATTACAGGCGTGAGCCACTGTGCCCCACCTGTGTGCCCTCATCTCTTTTTATAAGACTGGTAGACATACTGAATGAGGACCAAACCTAATGACCCCTTTTTAACTTCACGACCTCTTTAAAGGCCCTGCCACCAAATACATTCTGAGGTGCTGGGGGTTAGGGCTTCAACACATGAAATTTAGGGCGACACAGTTCGGCCCCTAACAGTGGGAGAGGGGGTTGCCTGTTACCATGGCAGGGCTGGAAACAGAACAGGCTGGAGGAGAGATGGTGGCTGCCCAGACGCCCCCTACCCTGAATGCCTGGCCATCAGCGCCCCTGAGCCCTGTTCAGTGGGAAGAGGGCCAGGGCAGGCTTGGGCTCTGGAACTGGGTCAAGGTTACCTCTATGAGGATGGAAGCTGCAGGGCAGAGCCCCCTTTTCCAGCTTTTACACACTCAGGCCATCATTGGGGCTCTGTGCCCCAGTACTTTGGGGACAGTCTCCCCAGGCCCTGTGTGGATGAGGGCGTTGTGTCCAGAGCCCTCAGAGGGCACCTGGGCCCCAAATACCATCTGGACAGCTCGCCAATCATCCTTCCTCCTGCCCAGATGGACCATGAACATGCTTCACCGGGTTGGGAAGCTGCCTCCAGCTCACGCTCCTCAGGAAGGCTTTTTGTTTTTTTAAGAGTCTGGGTTTCACTCTGTGGCCCAGGCTGGAATGCAGTGGTGCCTTCATGGCTTGTTGTAGCCTCAAACTCCTGGGGTCAAGCGATGCTCCCACCCCAGCCTCCCAAGTAGCTGAGATTACAGGTATATGCCACCACAACCAGCTAATTTTTTTATTTTTATTTTTCAGAGATGAGGTCTGGCTATGTTGCCCGGACTGTTCCCAAACTCCCGGCCTCAAGCTATCTCCTGTCTCAGCCCCCAGGGTGCCGGGATTACAGGCATGAGCCACCACACCCAGCTCAGGAAAGCTTTCTTAAACCTCCTCCTCAGAAATTCTGCCTAGAAAGAAACAATGACATGAAAAGATTCCATAAACACACTCAGGGATTCAGGGCTCTTCAGCATTCATTTTTTTTCTTGGCCTCACACGTGGCTGAGTTTGGCCGGCCCTGGAATGTGCACCGACCCCAGTCCCAGGACCCCACCAGCCACAGTGCCAATATTAAAACCTTCCAGGATGCAAATCCTGAAGCCACGAACAAAGCCAGGCCTGAGTTCATCCTAGCAGGACCGGGCTTCCCACTGGCTGTCAGCGACCCCTCCTCCCAAAGTTGTCCTAGTCCCCTCCAGCTTGTGGCCACCACCCCAGTGCCCCCCCCCCCGACCCCCAAACCCGGCATTGCTCTCACACTAACTGCAATTTGCCTCCTAGGTGACCCTTTGTCTTGTTCCTCTCCTGTGGATTGGCCACAAAACAGCCAGAGGGACCTTTGCACCATAGGTTCCTGCTCATATCTGATTATATCACTCTGGTGTGATGATGCAATTGTTGCCAGAGGAGGAGGACGCTGGTTGGTGAAATGCCTGTCCTTTTTTTTTGCCTTCTCCATATCCGGTCAACTTTCTTTTGTCCCCTTTTTCTTACCTGATGCAGTGGTCAGGACCAGGGCTGAAACTCCAAGTACTGGACGCCGGGATGATTCCTAGGCAATAAACTGTAACTGTTTTTAAACTTTGTTGGAATTCCTAAGGGCCTGAGGGGGCGTGTTGTGCCTCCACACCCTCTGGCAAAATCGGGGTTCACAGTGAAAGCAGCTATATTGACTGGTGCTAAAAATAACCCACTAACTCCACACCTGGGTAACCTTACTTTATCTGAATGGCAGTGGACTCAGGGGGAGGTGCTTACTGGACTAGCTCTACTGCCTGCAATCTGGATGAGCACGGTGGCCAAAAATAATGTCCCTTCCACAGAGGGAAAAGCTTGGGCATAAATGGAGAGAAGGAGAAAAAGTAGCTGAGGATAAAGAAAGGAAGGAAGGGGTTACATAGTGAGGGAAATCCAATATACTCTAACATCTTGAAAGAGGCACACAGCAAGAAACGAAAGTGTATCTTAGCTCAATCATAGCAGATGCCTGAAAGGGTGAGGCTACGTCTGCCAAGACCACTCCTGCTTTTGGAACCTGACAAGATCAATGCAAGCCTGCAAACCCGAGTGGCTTCCCCTGGGAGACATTTTCATATGACGTGGTGGTGGACTGGACGAATTATTAACGACTGAATGGGATTCTAGTAACATGCCAGTATTTTTTGAGTTATATGTCCTTTTGCTATAAGGGATCCGTGTCTGAAGAGTGAAAGGTGGACTGTGATATTGTGATTTATAATATGAAATACAGGGCCAGGCCCAGTGGTGTGTGCCTGTGATCCCAGCTACTTGAGAGGCCGAGGCAAGAGAATCGCTTGAGCCCAAGAGTTTGAGAACAGTCTGAGTAACACAGTGAGACCTCGTTTCAACAAAAATTTAAAAATTAGCTGGGTGAGATGGCAGACACCTGTAGTCCTAGCTACTCATGAAGCTGAGATGGGAGGATTACTTGAGCCCAGGAATTCAAGGCTGCAGTGAGCTATAATTGAGCCATTGCACTCCAGCCTGGGTGACAGAACAAGACCCTGTCTCTAAAGAAAAAAAAAAAAAAGAAACATATTTGTATTTTGGTCTTTATCCCCAGTTCCTGATACTGGAGAAATTCCTAATCCCTTGAAATTTCCTGGGTGATGGGAGTGTCTTTTGTTCTGATGAAGTGAATCTTGGTGAGTTCCTGGGTTCCTGAACGGGGCTGGGAACCAGAAAGACCAAGCCACTACTAGAAACTTGGATTCCCCCACCCCCATCCTCTGGGTAAGGGTAAGAGGTGGGAGAGTGAGTTAAAAATCAATCATGACTAAATGATGACATCCATAAAAATCCCAGAACTACGTGAGGTGGGAGAGCTTCCAGGCTGCTGAAGACATCCACATGCTGGGACAGTGGTGCACCCCAACTCCATGGAGACAGAGGCTGCTACACTCAGCATTCTTCCAGACCTCACCCTATGTACCTGTTCATCGGATGTTCAATCCACACCCTTTATCACATCCTTCATAACCAATAAGCTGGCAAGTGTGTTTCCCCGAGTTCCCTGAATCATCCTAGCAAATTATCTAACCCAATGAGGGAGTTGTGGTAATTCTGATTTACAACCAGTCCATCAGAAGTACAGGTGACAGAGGCTGGGCGAGGTGGCTCACGCCTGTAATTTCAGCATTTTGGGAGGCTGAGGTGGGAAGATTACTTGAGGCCAGGAGTTTGAGATCAGCCTGGGCAATATAGTGAGACCCCATCTCTACAAAATGAAAATGAAAATAAAAATAAATTAGCCGGACGTGGTGGTGTGTGCCTGTAGTCCTGGCTATTCAGGAGACTGAGGTGAGAGGATTGTTTGGGCCCAGGAGTTCAAGGATGCGGTAAGCTACAATTGTGCCACTGCATTCCAGCCTAGGTGACAGAGCAAGGCTTTGTCTAAAAAAAAAAAAAAAAAAAGAGGTACAGGTGAAAACCTGGGACTTGTGATTGGCATCTGAACTGGGGGGTAGCATTGCAGAACTAAGCCCTTAACGGGTGGAGTCTGCAGTAGCTCTGGGTAGTGTCAGAATTGAAATGAACTGTAGACACCCAGTCGATGTCCACAGACAATTGGAGAATTGCTTGGTGCAGGGAAAAACCCTAGACATCTGGTTGCAGAAGTGTTCTGTGTTGAGGGTTGAGAGTGTATGGGAGAAACAGTTTGTTTTCCTATTCTGTAAGCACTAGCATGCTCTCACTCGCTGCAGCTCCCACTGGCTCCCGAGCCCTACTCCTTCTCCAAGGGTTTTGGTCTTCTCTGCTTCTCTGCACCCACTGCAGGGCCAACCCTGGGCCAGGCCAGCGTCCTTGGCAGCTCGGGCCCGGGTCTGCCAGGCTCGGTTGGTGAAGAAAGCCTGCCTCTTGCATTCACCCTAGGAACGCAGAGAACTCGGGAATGTTTGGCTTGGTGCAGACATCTCTGAGCTTTGGGGCCTCCCAGTCCTTATCTGCCCCACTGCAACCTTGAGAATATCTCAGCCAGAGCCTGGGCGTGAGCTTGGGGCAGAGGTCTGGGGGTGTGACCACCTGCCTGGGAATCCACATCCTCTGATAGGCTCAGTCTGCCCCCATTTTCCCTGCACACCCTATACCCCCTAATTGCTTTCCAGAGGCTCAGACATACCTTCCAGAAGGGCTTGGTCAAAGTCACCATATTAGTTAACTATTGCTGCTGTAACAAATTATCACAAACTTAGCAATGTAAAACAACATAAACTTATTATCACACGGTGTGTGAGGTCAGAAGTCTGAAATGGGCCTCGCTGGGGGTAAAATCAAGGTGTTGGCAGGACTGTGTTATTTCTGGAGAATCCATTTCCTTTTTTTTCTAGCTTCTAAAAGCCACCTGCATCCATTGCTTCATGGTCCCCTCCTCCATGTTCAGAGTCAGAATTCACTGCACTGCCTTCAAATCTCTGACTCTGTTCCCTCTTCCTCGTCCTTCTACTTTAGAAGACACTTGTGATTCCATCAGGCACCCAGATGACCAAGAGGATCTTATTTTAAGGTGAGCCAATAGCAACCTTAATTTCATCTGCAACCTTAATTCCCGCTTGCCATTTTACATAACATACCCACAGATTCCAGAGACTGGCATGCAGACTTGTATGGGAGCCATCATTCTGCCCCCGTGAAAGGCATCATGGCCCAGTTAGAAGCAGAGAGAAGGCACAGGTGGTAGTTAGGAGAGTGGGTCCTGATGCAATCACCTGGGTTCAAGTTCACCAGCCAAGGTACTTTGGGCAACTCACTTCACTTCACTTTCTGAGCTTTAGTCTCCTCGTTGTGTAAATGGGACATGAGGCCAGAGGCCAGACTTGGTGGATCATGCCTGTAATTCCAGCATTTTGGCAGAGTGAGGAGGGAGGAGTTTCTTGAAGCCAGAAGTTGGAGACCAGTCTGAGCAACATAGTGAGACCCCATCTCTGCAAAAAATTTAAAAATCAGCTGGGTGTGGTGGCATGCACCTGTGGTGACAGCTACTCAGGAGGCTGAGGCTGGAGGATCAATTGAGCCCAGGAGTTCAAAGCTGCAGTGAGCTATGATTGTGCCACTGCCACTGCAGACGGGGTCCTCACCCTGTTGCTAAAACAAATAAATAAACAAACAAGCTAAATTGGGAGATGATGTGATACATCTATACAGTGGAATACTGCTTAACAGTGAAAAGAAATGGACTGTTGCTATTCCACAGCAATGTGGATGAATCTCAGAATTACTATGGGAGAATGAAACCAGAGGAAAAAAAGTACATACTGGGCCAGGTAAGGTGGCTCATGCCTGTAATCCCAGCAATTTGAGAGGCCAAGGTGGGCTGATCTCTTGAGGCCAGGAGTTTGAGACCAGCCTGGCCAACCTGGTGAAACCCCACTCTACTAAAAACACAAAAGTTAGTCAGGCTTGGTGGTGCATGCCTGTAATCCTAGCTACTGTAATCCTGTAATCCTTCCTACTCAGGAAGTTGAGATGCTTGAACCCAGGAGGCAGAGGTTGCAGTGAGCTGAGATCGTGCCAGTGCACTCCAGCCTGGGCAACAAAGTGAGACTCTGTCTCAAAAAAAAAAAAAAAAAGAAAGAAAGAAAATGCAAACTAATTTATAGATTTGGAAAACAGTTCAGTGGTTACTCGTGGCCAGAGGGAGGAATGACAAGGGCACAAGGGCACAAGGAAACTTTTGGGGGTGACGGATGTGGTCCTTGTCTGTGTTGACAGTTTTGTGGGTGTATGTATACATGTCAAAACTTATCAAATTGTACACTTTAAAATGTGTAGTTTATTGTGTGTCAACTATACCTCAGTAAAGCTGTTAAAAAATGGGAACCGGCGGGGTGCAGTGGCTCATGCCTATAATCCCAGTACTTTGGGAGGCCGAGGCAGGTGGATCACCTGAGGTCAGGAGTTCAAGACCAGCCCCAATATGATGAAACCCCCTCTCTACTAAAAACACAAAAATTAGCTGGGCGTAGTGGCACGCACCTGTGGTCCCAGCTACTCAGGAAGCTGAGGCAGGAGGATTGCTTGAACCCAGGAGGCAGAGGTCGCAGTGAGCCGAGATTGCACCACTGCACGATCCAGCCTGGGTGATAGAGTGAGACTCTGTCTCAATAAAAAATAGGGGGAACAGATGAACTGATGACAGTGTCTTCGGCATAGGGTGATGGTGTAAATTAAATGAGTTAATTCATGAAAAACCGCAGGACAACACCTGGCAGGTGGTAAGTGCTCAGAAAGCACTACCCAACCTCATCGTTGATGTTTTTGTCGGGATAAACGGCAGTGGTTTCCACCTGGCTGCACATTAGGATCACCTAGCAAATTTTTTTTTAAGTTCAGTGGCCTGGGCTTCCCCCAGAGAGAGTCTGATTCAGCTGACCTGCGGTGGGGCTTGGGGCTGGGAATTTTTAAAGCTCTGTAGGTGATTTTATAGGATTTTAGTAAGTCAGGATTTTTCTTTTACTTTTTCTTTTCTTCTTTTTTTTTTTTTTAGTTGAGACAGAGTATCACTCTGTCGCCCAGGCTGGAGTGCAGTGGCACAATCTCAGCTCACCACAACCTCCGCCTCCCGGGTTCAAGTGATTCTCCTGCCTCAGCCTACCAAATAGCTGGGATTACAGGTATGCACCACCACACTCGACTAATTTTCGTATTTTTAGTAGAGATGGGGTTTCACCATGTTGACCAGGCTGGTCTTGAACACCCGACCTCAGGTGACCCACTTGCCTCAGCTTCCCAAGGTGCTGGGATTACAGGCATGAGCAACTGCACCTGGCAAGTCAGGATTTTTCTTCACTGCACCAATATACATCGAGTCCCATGATGCGGAAACTATGCTAATATCTTCCAGATAGTTCTGTCCTGAAGGCCACCTCTGGCCGCATTAATTTATTCTGCAAATGTAGCTGACTATGCTGTGCAGCCCTGACCAGACGTTGGGGACATAAAGGTGGATCCAACTTCCCACCCTGCGGGATGCCCGGTCTAAGGAGAGAGATGAACACAAAACAGATCCACACAGGGAAGAAAAGGCCACAAGAGGCAGGCACACAAGAAGCTTCCAGGGCATAGAGGAGCTGGGGAAAGCTTCACAGAGGAGGAGGTGTCATTTTTGCAGGGTTTTGCAGAATGTATAGGAGTTTGCCAGAGAAGAAGAAGAGCATCATGTGCGTATCAGTTATCGCTTGCTGTGTAACAAATGACTCCAAAATTTAGCAGCTTAAAACAACAATTTTATTAAGTTCACAGACTCTGTGGGTTAGGAATTTTGGTAGGGCAGAGAGGAGACAGCTTGCCTGTAGTCCTCAATGCCTGGGGCCTCAGCTGGAAAACTTGAGGCTGATGCAACTCAAAACTGAGGGCTGAAATCACCTGAAGTCTCATTTACTCACATGTCTGGCTCCAGACCAGAGTGACTCAGAGACTAAGACTGCCAGCCAGAGTGTCTATACCTGGCTTGTCTATGTGGCTTGGGCTTCCTCACATCATGGTGGTCTCAGGGTAGCTGGACCAAAGCTCAGGGCTCTAATAATGAGTATTCCAGTGGAAAAGATAAAAGCTGCCTTTTATAACCCAGCCTTGGAAGTGACAAAGCAGCACTTCCACGGTTTTTTTTTTTTTTTTTTTTTTGAGACGGAGTTTCACTTTTGTTGACCTGGCTGGAGTGCAATGGCATGATCTCGGCTCACCACAACCTCCATCTCCCATGTTCAAGTGATTCTCCTGCTTCAGCCTCCAGAGTAGCTAGGATTACAGGCATGTACCACCACGCCCAGCTTATTTTTGTATTTTTAGTAGAGACGGGGCTTCTCCATGTTGGTCAGGCTGGTCTCGAACTCCCGACCTCAGGTGATCCGCCCACCTCGGCCTCCCAAAGTGCTGGGATTACAGGCTGAGCCACCGAGCCCGGCTTCCACTGCCTTCTGTTGGTTGAAGCAGTCATAAGCCCTCCCAGATGCAAGGATGGGAACCATGAGCTCTGGTTCTTGATGGGAGACGATGTTCGAGATCTTGCTACAGTGTGTTCAGAGAGTAATAATAATGATGAAGATGGTAACACCTTACATAGATATTGAGCACTTACATGTGCCTGACATCCTTCTGAATTCTCTTCATATAGTAACTCATTGAGTCCCCACCACTGCCTAAGGAAAGTGGAGACCTTCTGCAAAGTCAGAGTTGACAAGTAAAAGAGGTGAGACTGAAACCCAGTCAGCCTGGCTGCAATGCCCAGCATAGCTGCTACCCTATTCTGCCTCCTAGCTGCAGAGACCGGCGTGACTGGATCTTGCGGTGCCTGTGGGGAGGAGCTGGAGCTGCATCTGGGGAGGAGGAAGTGCAGGGGCCCAGAGGCCCTTGCCAGTCACTCAGGAGAGTCTGGAGTTCAAGCCAAGAACAGTGGGGGCCGCTGAGGGGTCTTACCCCTCCAGAGGCTGGTAAAGAGTGACTGGATGAAGTAAAGCCAGTGCTGGGAGACGAATCAGCAATTGAATCAAATTATAATATGTACTATATATTATACTATATATTATTATTTATATATAATATTTTTATATATAATTTATATGTTTTATATGTAATATATCTAAAATACATATACATATACTACATGGTATAGTATATAGATGTATATATAGTATATTGTTACAGGATCTTTGGGGTATTGCTTTTCTGGCTGGAAACCTCTGTGGCTGGTGGTGCCTTTGCCTAAGTTCTTGTCCTACATCCAGGAAGAAAACAAGTGGAGGTTGAGCCAGATGAAGAGGAGCTTTACTGAGGTTAGAACAGCTCAGAGGAGACTGGCAGTGGGTAGCTCCTCCCTGTAGGCAGTCAGGTCATCCCCTGGATTCCAGTTGGGATATTAGGGTAGATGAGACACAAGGTAGGGCACTGTCATGGGGGAAGAGGGTAGTCTCCACTGGGGGATGTTGAGCTTAGGGGTCCTGTGTGGAGATGACCTGTGGGGAGATGACTGGGCATAACGGTTTGGAGGGCCAGGTGCAGTGGCTCATGCTTGCAATCCTAGAACTTTGGGAGGCCGAAGCAGGAGGGTCACTTGAGCCAGGAGTTGCAGGCTGCTGTGGACCATGATTGTGCCACTGCACTCCAGCCTGCGTGACAGAACAGGATTCCATCTCAAAAAAACAAAACAAAACAAACAAAAAGGTTTGAGGGGAAGATCTAGATGGAAGAGAGAGACCTAGAAGGATCAGCAGAGGAGGAGGTGCAAAGAGAAACTTGGGAAGTGGAAAAGGTCGCCCTTCCACAAACAGAAGGTTTGTGGTGTAAAGAGAGCAGATGGTGGAGGAATGGGTCACTGGAGGACCACCACTGGAGGGAGTGTGAGGTAGGAGATCAGAGAAGAATGTGGCATTTGCAAAGAAGGAGTGCTTTAAAATGCAACCGGCCTTGGCATGAGGACTCTGAAGCCCCGGGATGTGGCCAGGACCCCAGGATGGACCTTGCAGCGAGAGAGCAGCTCACGTTTTCTGGCTTCTGTACTGAGTCACACTGGCTAAGAGTGTCCTTATTCCATCCTTCTGTGGATCCGGAGTAGCACAACCCCGACCAAGATTGTTCCCTCACGTTCTCCAAGCTTGGGAAGCCAGTCACCAACTGCCTGTGGGAGGAAGGGATGTTTGTGTAGGCGGCTCTAGTTCCTTGGGGTTGTTCTGCCGAGAGGAGGCTTTTCCCTGTTTTTTTCAAGAGCTGTCTTAATTTCCTCCTCCTCTCTGCACACACCTGTCAGGGGACCTAAATGTAGAGGAACCCACTTTTAAACAGACACTTAACAGAAACACACTCAGAAATCTACACTTTCAGGCTGGGGTTCCTCTTAAGATCCCATGTCTTCTTGAGTCATTGCAGTGGTAGCAACTTCAAGAGGAGGGAACAGCGCCTTAAAAACCCTTCATAGCATCCACATGGGACTAACGTTGCTTCTCTGAGTTCTCAAAGCCCAATTTAATCCAAGCTTATTAACACATAACATATTAATTTGCCTTTTAAATATGTTCTGCACTGTATGAGAGTAACAAATTTAATAATATCGGAAATAAGAATTTCATATGTTAATTAATTACAAGGTTTCCCTTTCTTTGAGAAGCTCTATCCAGTTGGGGTTACCCTCTGTGGACGACAGACCACTGGAAAGGGAGACAGTTTCAGGTCCTTCCCCAACTCCATTCCCAAATTGCAATAAAAAAAAAAGAAGAAGAGATGAGCTGGGCACCACGGTCCTAACTCCTTGGGAGGCTGAAGCAGGAGAATTGCTCGAGCCCAGGAGTTTGAGGCTGCAATGAATTATGATCATGCCACTGCACTCCAGCCTGGGCAACAGAGAGAGGCCCCATCTCTAAAAACAAAAAGTGACCGGGTGTGGTGGCTCATGCCTGTAATCCCAGTACTTTGGGAGGCCAAGGTGGATGGCTCACTTGAGATCAGGAGTTTGAGACCAGCCTGGCCAACATGGTGAAACCCAGTCTCTACTAAAATAACAAAAATTAGTCAGGCATGATGGCACACATCTATAATCTCAGCTACTCAGGAGGCTGAGGCACGAGAATCACTTGAACCTGGGAGGCAGGCGTTGCCGTGAGCCGAGGTTGTGCCACTGCACTCCAGCTTGGGTGACGGAGCAAGACTCTGTCTTGAAAAGAAAAAGAAAAGAAAGAAAAGAAAAAGAGAGAAAAGGATGTAATGAGGAGACTCTTAGCCAGAGGGACTCAGGACAGAAGCCAGGTGTCAATTTGGTTTCTAGCTCCAGCTGCAGAGCTCATTGAGAGCTAAAAGAGGAGTGGGGGCTTATCTCCGACTCCCCTACAGTGGCAAAATGGTCTCCAGTGCCCAGAGAGCACCCACAGGCGAAGGAACACAGGACCTGGCAGTTGGAAATCAGGCTGGTGTGTACTGAAGTGGCCAGGGTGAAGGAACCTGTGTGAGGCACAGGCATTGGTGATACAGCCCAGATCCAAGGGCCCTGGGCACAATCCCCGGTCCCGGCACATGTTGGTGGGGCCATTAGTTCTTGGATTGTGCTATGTGTTGAAGGACTTCAGCCCTAGCTTCTCCTGGCCAGAGGAGACTCTAAGCCCCTAGACCTAAACCATTCAGCAAGTAATTTTCAGCAATCATGAGGCACTAGACACTGGTTAGATCTGGAGCCTCAGCCATGGGTGACACTTGGCTTTGTCCTGAACATGTAGGCAGTCTGGGACCTCTATGCTACCCAGAGTGGCATGTGAAGCCCTGGTGACAGGCACGGTCACTCCAGTGGTTGCAGACACACTTTTTTCTTTTTTGCTTTGTTAGTTATGTATTTATTTAATGAGTATTGAAAACAAAGTTTACTATCCAATTCTTGCTTTCATGGATATTATTGCTTAGGAAATATAGCTGAGTTTAAAAAGTGAGCCAACCTAGCCGGGCGCCGTGGCTCACGCCTGTAATCCCAACACTTTGGGAGGCTGAGGTGGGTGGATCACTTGAGGTCAGGAGTTCGAGACCAGCCTGGCGAAACCTCGTCTCTACTAAAAATACAAAAATTAGCTGGGAGTGGTGGCACACACCTGTAATCCCAGCTACTCAAGAGGCTGAGGTAGGAGAACCGCTAGAACCCAGGAGGTGGAGGTTACAGTGAGCTGATATCGCGCCACTGCACTCCAGCCTGGGTGACAGAGTGAGACTCCGTCTCAAAAAAAAAAAAAAAAGTGAGCCAACCTGAATGTCCATCAACAGATGAATAGACAAAAGGTAGAATATACCTATGGTGGAATATCAGTTAGCCATGAAAATAAATGAATTCTGATACATGCTACGACATGGAAGAACCTTGATAACATTCTGCTAAGTGAAGTAGGCCAGACACAGAAAGACAAACTTTGTGTGATTCCACTGATTGGAGGTCCCTAGAATAGAAACATAGAAACAGAAGGTGGAATAGAGGGTGCCAGGGCTGGGGGAGGGGAGGATAGGAGTCAGTGTTTAGTGGGGACGGAGTTTCTGTCTGGGGTGATGGGAAAGTTCTGCAGATGTGTAGAGGTGATGATTGCATAATTTTAGTGCCACTGAATTGTGCACCTAAACATGGTTAAAATGGTAAATTTTACATTATATGTATTTTGTCATAATAAAAAATGTGAGTCAATTAAAACATTGATTTAGGCCAAGTGCAGTGGCTCACACCTATAGTCCCAACACTTCGGGAGGCCGAGGCAGGAGGTTCACTTGAGTCCAGGAGTTCAAGACCAGCCTGAGCAACACAGTGAGACCCCTGTCTCTACAACAACTTCAAAAGAAAAAAAAATAGCCAGCATGGTGGCATGTGCCTATAGGTCCCAGATACTCAGGAGGCTGAGGTGGGTGGATCACTTGAGCCCAGGGGTTCAAGGCTCCAGTGAGCTGTGATTGTGTCGCTGCCCTCCAGCCTGGGTAACAGAGCAAGACCCTGCCTTTAAAAACTTAATAAAAAATTTTAAAACATTGATTTAAATAAAAATGCCAAGTAGGTAATAGTGTTCCTGCGTACATCTGTGACAAAGGAAGTTTGAGAAACTGTCAGGTGAGCTTAGAGGAAAAGGGACCAGCTGCTGGGCAAGATGTCAACAAAGCTCTGGAAGTGGACCCCTGAATTTGCCAAGGGGAGGAAATGGGGAAAGACAGTCCAGGCAGGGCAGGGAAGTGGGGGCAGAGCATGCCATTGCCCTGGTGGCCGCTGTGGTGGCTGGGGCATCCTGGGAGACATAGTAGGGTGCTTGAGCTGCTCCTGCTGAGGGATAGCTGAGCTGGCTGGGAGCTGCTCCGGGGAGTGCCGACTCCCCACCTCCCTGACCTGCCTCCTCCACAGGGACCAGAGAAAGTCAGGGGCTGGCAGGAAAAGCCACCAGATGGGCACCCCCACCATAGGGAGTGCTGCGGGGCTACGGCAGGGGCCCACAGTGTTGGTGACAATAGTGGAATTCCATCCCAACTCATTTCAGGCATGGAACCACCTCTCAGCATGTGAGGTGGGGAAGAAAGAGAGGAAAAGGGTCAACTTTTTATTTATTTATTTATTTTGAGACAGTCTCGCTCTGTCGCCCAGGCTGGAGTGCAGTGGTGGGATCTTGGCTCACTGCAACCTCCGCCTCCCGGGTTCAAGAGATTCTCATGCCTCAACCTCGCAAGTAGCTGGGATTACAGGCACCTGCCACAATGCCTGGCTAATATTTGTATTTTTAGTAGAGACGGAGTTTCACCATGTTGGCCACGCTGGTCTCATCTTAACAGGCAGGCTGCTCTGCCCGCTGCTCCCTCCATGGTTGAGTGTGAAATAGAAGCACAGCCCCTCCTCCCTCGGTTGGCCTCGGGGCCCTGGTTTCTCTCACAATGCAACCACCTTCCTGCACTGGGAACCACTCTAGTGTTTTTAGTGTATATTTTTCCTACCACTTGACCCCTGAACACAAACCAAAATGTCACCCAGTCCTTACCCATAGAAACTGGCCATGTCCCAGGAGTTTGAGACCAGCCTGGTCAACATAGTGAGACCCCATCTCTAAAAAATAAAAATTAACAATAAATAAACAACAATAAAAAATTAGCCGGCGTGGTGGCACACCCCTGGTAGTAGTCCTAGCTGCCTGAGAGGCTGAGGCGGAAGGATCACTTGAGCACAGGAGGTCAAAGTTGCAGTGAGCCATGATCACGCCACTCATTCCAGCCTGGGCCACAGAGTGAGACCATCTCTCAAAAAAAAAAAAGAAAAAAAAAGAAAGAAAGAAAAAAGAAACCGGCTATGTTACTGTTATGGGAGACACTGGGGTGGGGTTGTCTCACATGGCGCCTCCATAAAGGGAGTCGGTGTCTGCTTTGGGGCGCCTCCCCACGCTGCCTTGCCCTTCTGTGGCTCCGTCACACTTGCTGTCGCTGACTCGAGGATTGCTCATGAGTCCAGCTTCACGGGGATCAGCTACAAGTTGCTTGTGTTCTCTATGGAATCCCAGGGCCTGGCACTGTGAGACCCACAGTAAATATCCATCAAACAAAGGAAAGAGCACATGCCCAGTGCCCCGCCCTGAAGCACAAGCCTTACCGGCATTCTCATTCAGTCTCAGTCACCTGAGGAGACAGGCTTCTTACTTATTTTTTTAAAGCAAGGTTGCTCTTATTATCCCCATTTTATAGAAGAAGCAGTGGAGGCTTGGGCTACATAACTTGCTGCAGCAGACACAGTGGATGCCGCACCTATATGCCTCCATACAGCCCTCAGCCAATGGTGGCGAGGGCTGGCATATAAATGCCCTGGCTCCCCCATCCATCTGGGTGCAGCCAAGTGCTGACTCCCAGAGCTGCTCAGAAACAGACCTGCTGAGGGCCGGACGCGGTGGCTCACGCCTGTAATCCCAGCACTTTGGGAGGCCAAGGCGGGCAGATCACGAGATCAGGAGATCGAGACCATTCTGGCTAACACGGTGAAACCCCATCTCCACTAAAAGTGCAAAAAATTAGCCGGGCGTGGTGGCAGTCACCTGTAGTCCCAGCTACTTGGGAGGCTGAGGCAGGAGAATGGCGTGAACCCAGGAGGCAGAGCTAGCAGTGAGCCCAGATCGCGCCACTGCACTCCAGCCTGGGCGACAGAGGGAGACTCCGTATCAAAAAAAAAAAAGAAAAAAAAGAAACAGACCTGCTGAGAAACAGACCCTTTACTGGTTCCTTCCTGCCCTGCTCTTTCCTGTCTCCCGTGTGGTGCTCTCTGAGATCCCCTCTAAACACACTTGGATTCGTGTCCTTGTCTCTGAGATGGCTTCTGATGGAGCAGCTCCCAGGGTCAGACTGTAGATCTAAACACAGGAGTACTCCCTCAGCGCCCACTCTTCGCCCCATGCCACCCTGAGTTCACTCAGTGACCCTCAGATTTCTCCAGCCAGAGCTTCCAGGGCTGGCTGACTTTTCCATACTCCCTGGGAGCACCATCCAGACTTGTGAATGAGGAAGCCTGGAGTTAGAATTTTAAGCAACTATAAGGGACTCTTTCTGCATCCTATTCCAGAAAGACAGTTATTCCATTCCTATTTTTCCAAAACCTTTGGAAGAGCAAAAGCTTGGCAGTCCCCTCTACTTTTTCCAGCTATTTCTGCCTTTCACCAGACCTAACTTGAGATTTCCTCTTTAGAACTCACAACCAGGTATCTTCTGCCCACTGATGATCAGAGATGGGACCATCCTGGTGCCTGTAGAGCCTGAAATGAGCTGGTCCCCAAGTGAATCCTGCAGAGAGGAATATTACCAGAAAGAAACGTGAGCTGGGCAGCAAGCTTCCGTTTGCCCTCTGCACTAGCCCCAGCTAAGTACTCCCTTTTCATTCCGAGGGCAGAGGTGAAATCAGCCTCCCATGCCTCCTTCACTGGGCTTTGCCCCGGGGGTGGGCTGGTCATGGTGCCCAGTGACCAGCTGCCTGAACTGCCCTGGCCTTCTCAGGCCAGAGTTGAACTCAGGTCCCTTCTTGCTCCACAAAAGCAGAATCTTTGTGTGTGTGTGTGTGTGTGTGTGCATTTGTAGAGACAGGGTCTCACTCTGAGGCAGGCTGAAATGCAGTGATTTGATCATAGCTCACTGTAACCTTGAACTCCTGTGCTAAAGCGATCCTCCTGCCTCAGACTCCCTCACCTGCTGGGATTATAGGTGTAAGCCATCATGCCCAGCCCCATGTACACATTTTAAAATAATAAACTGAAACCCTCTTCTACCCAAGCAGCAGCCACAGATGGTCAATTAAAACGCAGGGTAAGATCAGGCACAGTGGCTTACGCCTATCATCCTAGCAGTTTGGGAAGCTGAGGTGGGAGGATCACTTAAGGCTAGGAGTTCGAGACCAGCCTGGGCAACATAGCAAGACTCCATCTCTATGAAAAAATTAAAAATTAACTGGACATGGTGGTGGCACCTGTAATCCCAGCTACCCAGGAGGCTGAGGCAGAATGATTGCTCGAGCCCAGGAATTCGAGGCTACAGTGAGCTATGATTGTGCCACTGAACTCCAGCCTTGGCAACAGAGCAAGACTCTGTCTCTAAAACAAAAACAAAAAACCCAGGGTAACCCCTATAGTTGCAAATGCCTCCGTAGGCCACCCTTTTTTTACCTTGAAGACTGAAGTGGAAGCCAGCACCATGTCTCACCCACCTAAGAGGCCTCAGGGCTCTTAAGGAGTCCCTCTGATCCGTCTCTGCACGCCCTTACTGGTCCCTCCAACCTGCTCCCTTCATGGCCTCTAGGACAGTGTCCTCCAAATGCAGAGCTGATCACATCAATCCTGGCTAAAACTTTCCAGTGGCTTCCCTGACTATCAGAGTAAAATCCATCACACGCCCACTGCCAGCCCAGCCCAGCCCACGATGACGGGCCCCTGCTGATGACACCTTTCAGATGCCCCTGACTGCCATGCCCGGCACTCAGGCCATCTCAATGTTCCTGGAATCTGCCTTGGGTCCTTTGCCCTTTTAGGACTTCAGTGCATCCAGCGAGCCTCAGAGGAAATGTCCCCTCCTCACAGAGGCCATTCCTGATGGCCTGGTTTAATATTCTCCTATCCCTCACTTTCTGTCACATCGTTCTGATTCCTGCCAACACAGCCTCTATCACAATTAGAAGTCACTGCGTTTGTTTCTGATCTCTCTGTTCATTGCTGTCAGCTCCTTGAGATCAGGGCCTCTGGCCATCTTGCTCAGCGCTGTAGCTTCTGCACCTGGCACGGAATGGGTGCCCAGTAGATATATGCTGAATGAATGAATGAGTAAATTCCACTGGGGGCAACCAGCAAGAGAAGGTGAATGAAATAGACAAGAGGAGCTGCTTCTTGCACCTGTGTCCCCAGGGAGCTTGGGCTCCCTCCTTCCGTTGGGAATCCTCAGAAGCAAACATGTGGCTAGGAGAACCCTGTAAGCTGCTGCTTACAGATCCTTGTGCCATCGTTAACCACTTGAATATTGCATTTTTTTTTTTTATCAAGGCCTCTCTTGGCCCCCAGGGAGGCCTACCCTCTGGAACCTCTGGGATGCAGCTCCAGTCTCCAAGTGGTGGCCCTGGCAACGGGCCCTGGGAGCACTGGGTCCTTGGGGCTTTCTCCAGCTCCTCCTGGTCCCCTGGGTCTTTGGTGTCCTCTGCTCAGCAACCTGAGCTGAGCCCCAGCCCGAGAGGGGACAGGTCCCTGAGGGAAGGGACTGGAAAGTGAGACTCTGGGGTCAGGGCCCTCCTAGGAAGCAACTAGGAAGGAGGGGAGGTTTGCTTGGGAGTTGTCCAGCTCCAATCACCCAGAGGCCAGTCCCCAGGGCCCCGCACCCACGGGGGCTGAGCCCAGGGAGGCAGCAGGCTGTGTTGTCAAAGGAAGCCTCAGGCCACTGGGAAGTTGCTGGGAAAAGTTTGCAGCGCTCTCCCCCAGGTGCCCTCTGGGCCCCTGGGCCCCTGCTTCTCCAAGGACAGAAACATGGGTTCCCTGAGGCCTCATGCCTGGCTGCCCTCACTCTTTCCGAGGAGGGTTTCAAGAGCCAAGAGCTCAAAGAGAATTAGACCCTGGGCCTGAGAGATCCCAGATCTCACGGGGTGGAGGCCCACTGTATCCAACCCTCCCAAGACAGTATTTTATCATCTACAGTCAGGAAGTGCTTCCTTAGGTCTAACTGCCACGCCTCCTGCTTTCATGTAGGTATGTTCTGCAAATGTGGTATCCAAAGGTCAGGCCATATCTGTATCTTGGGTGATAAGGAAGTCTGCTTTAAAGACCAGACACTCGAGGACCCAGTGTTTGGAGGTAAGGAAGTGTCATAAAACTGGAAAGTGCTGTCTTCCCTCCTTCCTTGTCTTTTTAGTTGAGCAAGACCGAGCAGGGAATGGAAGGGTGGGGAGCTGGAGCTGGAGTACAGCTCCCACCCTGCTCCTTCTGCTGTGTGGCCTCTGGAAGGGGCCGGAGCTCTCGGAGCCTGCAGGTACACATCTCTAACATGGGTGGCGTCCGGATACTCATTTCAAAGGTGGGATTACACGGGACAACTAGTGGGCCTTGAGCCCAATGGTAGCTGCTACTAATGTAGCCACTGCCACATCCTCCAAGGCCAGCTTTGCCCTGCAAAGAGTGTGCAGGGGGCCAGGACTTCCTCCTCTCCCTCCTCTGGGCTTACAGAGCCTAAATGTGCATATTCTCCCCAGTTAGAGAAGACAGTGTGGAGGCTGGAGAAAGGAAGAGTAGCCACCCTCTCTCTTCCTCTCCCACACAGTGGGCGCTTATTCATTCAACAAACACCACTGCAATCAGCTTGTGTCCCAGATGCCAAAGTGGGGGCCACATTCGCCAGCTGGGACTCATAGCCAAGGAGGTCACTGGCAAGTCACCAGGTCATCACGTGAGAAAGGCTAGGAAGGGAGCATGGGGTGGGGCTCAGGGGGCTCCACCGAGAAACTTCGAGGGATGGTGTCAGTGTGGAGTCGATACCGGAGCTGAGTTTGAGAGATTGAACAGAACCTCACTAGATGAGGGGCCAGGGAGGATCCCCAGGCTGCAGGCAGAGACCTTTGGCCCAGTGGATCCTGTCCCAAGGCCCACTTTTTTGTTTATGTATTTTACATATATTAATATTATTTTATTTAAGGTTTAAAAGCTGGCATTACAAATAGTCCAGTGACCTATCTTTGGTGTGTGCAGCTCACAGAATTTTTATGCACACGTACACCCGTGGGACCGCCTCCTCGGTGGAGATGTAGGACCCCGTCAGCTTCCAGCAGGCCCCTCCTGCTGCTCCTAGTGTGTGCCCCCAACCCCAGGCGACCCTCCTCCAGCTTCTGTCACCCTAGATGACAGGACACCCCCTTTCATAACACGTTTGTGTAACACCCCTTCTACTACCCTGACATGAAATTCATAGACTGGCCCTAACCTGAATTAAGAAGATAAATAAAGTATAATACATGCATATGTGTTTATAATAAAAACAAGTACAGTAGTTCAGGATGTCAGTGTCCCCATGGGAATATCCCAGACCTAAACCTCCTGAGAAGGCACTTATACCCCTGTGGAGAACCACGCCCTTGACGGTTAGAGCTGCAGACTTCAGAAGCGCTCAGCCAGCACCCTCCGCATCAGAGGGGCAGAGTGTGGCTCCAAGAGGGAATGGGACATGACCCAGATCACAGGGCCACACCCCAGATCAGTGGGATAGCATCATACAGTGTTCAACAGCTCGAGCTTTGGGGTCAGACATACTCAGTTTCAGTCCTCACAACGGCAGGTCACTTGTCTCCAGAAGGGTGATGACAGAGGAGCCTTACAAGGACTAAATAAAATGATGCGTACGGAGTGCTCGAGATCAGTATAAATAAGGGCCTTCGTTTACTTGATGGACATTTATTGAGTACCTACTATGTTCCAGGTCCTGGGCTGGATGTGAGAAGTGGACCAAGATGGATGAAGCTTCAGAAAGCTTACACTCTGGTGGGGGAGAAGCAGGACATAGGTAACCAAATTCATGGAGAAGAATGTTGTAGATGGTGATCTACAGCCAGCCGATATTAAAATAGGAAGTAATTGAGAGTTTCTTAGATGCTGGGGCTCAAGGATGTCTTCTCCGAGGAGGAGACACTTGCACTGAGACAGGAATAATGAGACATAACCCAGACAATGTTGGGAGGAAGCAGCATTTGAGGCAGAAGGACAGCCAGTGGAAAGGCCCTGCGGCAGGGACTGGCTTGAAAAGATCTAGGAAAACAAGACATAGAGAACAAGAGCATTAAAGCCTGAAGGTGGCCAGAGACCCGGAGCCAGATCATGCAGGGCCTTATAGCATGGTATTCTGGTTGAAAGGAAAGCCTGTAGACACTTTTAACCAGGGATACCACGTAATCTGACTTATGTCTTCAAAATCTCCCATTGTTGGCCAGGCATGGTGGTTCACCCCTGTAAACCCAGCACTTTGGGAGCCTGAGATGCTGACGTGGGAGGGTCACTTGAAGCCAGAAATTTGTGATCAGCCTGGGCAACATAGCAAGACCGCATCTCTACCAAAAAAAAAAAAAAAAATTAGCCAGGTGCAGTAACGTGCACCTCTAGTCCCAGCTACTTGGGAAGTTGAGGCAGGAGGATTGCTTGAGCCCAGGAAGTCAAAGCTGTAGTGAGCCGTGGTCACACAACTGCACTCCAGCCTGGGTGACAGAGCAAGACCTCATCTAACATATATATATATATAAAAAATAAAACCTTCCCACTGGCTGTTTGTGTGAAGGGGTTGAGGGGGCAAGAGTGGAAGGAAGGAACCCAGTGAGGAGGCTGCTGTGGGTGTCCAGGTGAGAGGTGAGAGGTGTTGGAGCCCGGGTCTGGAAGGCCCTGGGTGGGCAGATGTAGGTTACGCATGACTCAGTCAACAGGAGGCGGGATCAGTACTTCCTTCCAGTGCTCTTCCTGCTGTACATTAAACAGACATTACCCTAGTGCATCCCAGTAGTGCCTTGCTCTTTTAATGCAACGGATATTTATTCAGGACCTACTGTATGCAAGGCTCCACATTAGACTGGGTAGGAAGGGGGTTGGTGGTGAAAGAAGACAGAAACTCCCTCTGCCCCACCCTCCCAGCAAAGACCAAAAAGGCAGAGCCTTGCGTCCCAGACAGCTTTCACTCCCAGCTTCTGCACCACCTGTAGGAGCATCTTCCTCCCATTAGACCACAGGGTTCCCCCAGTATCCCACCTCCAGGCGTCCCTTCATCCCGTAGCTTATGTCCCCTCTGCCTCCAAACTGGTGAGGAGACTGCAGGGTACAGGGACTGTGCCTCCAACCTGCTTCCTCCACGGCCACCAGGCCTCCATCTGCAATCTTGGCAGTGCCCTGGGAAGAGAATGGGAGGCCCCTTCCTCTTCAGCAGGCCAGCCAATTTATTTGAGCACTGATAATAAAACAAGTACAGTAGTCTTGTGGGCCTTCTTTTTGTTTGTTGTTTTTTTAGAGACGGAATCTGGCTCTGTTGCCCAGACTGGAGTGCAATGGCGTGATCATGGCTCACTGCAGCCTCAAATTCCTGGGCTCAAGCAATCCTCTTGCCTCAGCCTCCCGGGTAGCTGGGACTACAAGCTTCTGCCACTGTACCTGGCTAATTTTAAAATTTTTTGTAGACATGAGATCTTGCCACATTGCCCAGGCTGGTCTGGAACTCCTGGCCTCAAGTGATCCTCCTGCTTTTGTTTCCCAAAGTGCTGGGATCACAGGCATAAGCCACTGTACCTAGCTTGTGGGACTTCTTGAAGAAGCAGAACAAAGGGCGACAGGTGTTCCCCAGCCCCTGGTCCTCCCACCCACGGTCCCTGTACCTGGAATAATGGCAGTGGCCTCATCAATTACACACTTCGCCTATGCCAGGCCTTTCATATCCTTGCTGATTTAGTTTTCACAGCTCTAAGAGCTTGGGTCCCACTGCCTCTGTTTTACAGATGAGGAAGTAAAAGCCCTGAATTTACTCAATCACCTGTCATCTGAGACCTCTGCTTACACTGCACCTTACTGACACTCAGCTTCCCTTCAGCCTCCCTGGGTCACAGGCAGAGGGTGTCAGAGGCCTCTGACTCTGCCCCTCATCTCTCAGTCCACACACCTCCCCATCCCAGCTCAACAGACAGCGCCTGCCCCAAGTACTCAATCCACACACATCTATGAACGCCCCACACCCATCACAATCGGCTTCCAACACTCCCAGAATTCAACCATGCCTGGCACCTGGCTCAGCTGCCATCCTCTCCAGCTGTCTGACCATGGCCTCCTAACTGTCTTCAGCTTCTGCCCTTGGCCTATCCTGTCTACAGCAGTGCTGTCAACTAGAAACATAAGTGCTGTCAACTAGAAACATAAGCCACGTAAGGAATTTTCTAGTAGCCACACCCAAAGAAGTAAAAAGAAATGGATAAAATTAATCTTATTCATGTATTTTAAACCAAATATATCTGCAAGATTATCATTTCAATGTATAATCAATGTTTTTACATTGCTAATTAGTTTCCCTTTTTTTCATAGTAAGTCTTCAACACCCAGACCGTATGTATACCTACAGTGCAGCTGTATTCAGACAAGCCACATTTTAAGCACTCAACAGCCACATGTGGCCAGCGGTTTTGATAACGAACAGAGTAGCTCTATTCTCAACACAGCAGCCAGAGCAGTTCTTTTAAAAAGTGGACCAGCCGGGCAAAGTGGCTCATGCCTGTAATCCCAGGACTTTGGGAGGCTGAGGCTGGCTGATCGCTTGAATTCAGGAGTTTCAGACCAGCCTGGACAACATGGCAAAACCCTGTCTCTACAAAACATACAAAAATTAGCTGGGTGTGGTGGTGTGTGCCTATGGTCTTAGCTGCTCAGGAGGCTGGGGCAGGAGAATCGCTTGAGCCCAGGAGATCAAGGCTGCAGTGAGCTAAGATCACACCACTGCACTCCAGCCTGGGCAACAGAGCAAAACCCTGTCACCAAAAAAAAAAAAAAAAGTGTATCAGTGCATGTCACTTCTCTGTTTGGAACCTGCAAAATCTCCCCATTTTTCTCAGAGTCAAAGTCAAAGTCCTGACAAGGGTGAACCAGCTCCCATGCTGCCCTCTCCCCCTCTGCCTCCCACAGAGCCTTTGCATTTGCTCTTTCCCTCTGCCTGGAACACTCCCACTCCAGGTTCCTCCTGGCTTGCTTCCTGTCCTCCTTCAAATCTTTGCTCAAATGTCACATTCTCAGGAAGGGCTGCTTGGGCCACACTGTTTAACTTGCAGCTCCCCTCTACTTTATCCCTCTCCATCCCAGTTAGTTTCTCTCCAAAGCACTTAACACCTTCTAATATAGTGTATAATGTTCTTATGTATTGTGTTTACTGTCTTTGTCTCTATTGTTTAAATGTTGGCTCTAGAAGGGATTTTTGTTTGTTTTGTTCATTTCTGTTTGCCCGGTGCTTGGCACATAGTAGGTACTCAACAAATATTGCTTGGTTGGATGAATGGATGGATGATTGGATGCATGGATGGTTGGATGGATGGATAGTTGGATGGGTGGATGGATGAACGGGTGGGTGGATGGATGATTGGTGGATGGATGGATTGGTGGCTGCATGGCTGGCTGGCTGGCTGGCTGGATGGATGGATGGATGGATGGCAGGATGGGTGAATAGTTGGATGGGTGGATGGATGGTTGATGGATGAATGAATGGGTGGAAGCATGGATGGATGGAGGGTCAGATGGGTGAATGGATGGATGGATTGCTGGATGAGTGAATAGACAGATGGATGTATGGTTGGACGGATAGGGATAGATCGATGGGTGGTTGGGTGGTTGGGTGGATGGATGGATGGATGGATGATGGTTAGATAGGTGGATGGTTAAATGAATAGATGGATGCAGACCTACTATGTGCTGATCAGGCTGAATGACTTGATAGAAAGCCGTTATTTAAACACACAAACACATGTGTGTGCTGAGAGAACTGGGAAGTCTGTTGCCCTATTGCTCTTCTGTGCACAGCGGCCACCTTTCCTGGAGAATCCAAGATGCAGCAAGGAGAACTGCAGAGGTGACTGCCTGGGCTGCCCTTGAGTAGCTCATTTTCTCAGGTCAGTTTCTTGTGGTCTGGAAGGATTTAAAATAGGCTGCTATTTAAAAACAGAAAATCTCCCAGTCTGTCCAATTAATGCTCACAGTTCATTGTTTGTAATTGCACATAAAATTTTATAATGGGAAATTACAAGAATTCACTTTGAAGACTTCCCCCAAAGAACATATTTAGGAGAAAAAAATCCCATTTCTGCTTTCAAGGGATAGGTCTCTTAGTAAAGAGTTCTGAAACCTTTCCAAGAGATGAGCTTATGGGGGCAGGGGAGTGGTATACAAAGAGCAAGAGCTTTGGGTTTGGATTCCAGCTCTGCAGGTGAACCTGGCAGCCAGTATTTAGTCAGTGTAAAGCATTTCACACCCATCCATCCTGAAGTCAGCTCTGTGAAATACAAAGTGTGCCCACTTCTAGATCAGAAAACTTAGTTCATAAACGCTTCCCAAGTGGAACCCACACCCTGGACCATCCAACCCTGGCCTGTTTCAAGGAAACCATATGGCCTTTGCACAACTTCAGGCTTTGAAGAGTCTCCCACTGGGCTGCCACATATGGTCATAGGGACCTGCTGCATGAATAAATAGAAAAGACAATGTTCGGCCGGGCCTGGTGGCTCATGCCTGTAATCCCACCACTTTGGGAGGCCGAGGCGGGTGGATCACGAGGTCAGGAGATCAAGACCATCCTGGCCAACATGGTGAAACCCCATCTCTACTAATAATACAAAAATTAGCTGGACGTGGTGGCGTGCACCTGTAGTCCCAGCTACTAGGGAGGCTGAAGCAAGAGAATTGCTTGAACCTGGGAGGCAGAAGTTGCAGTGAGCCAAGATCACACCACTGCACTCCAGCCTGGGTGACAGAGCGAGACTCCATCTCAAAAAAAAAAAAAAAAAAAAAGACAATGTTTATCTTACAACAAACATCTATTTGCTCCCAGATCACCCCTGCAGGATGTATGAGTTGATCATTTTTCCTAAAAACTATGATTATCTCCTGAAGAGCATGATGGCATTGCCTGATAATTTTTTAATGTATTAAAATGTTAGTTTGTTCAATGCAAACATTTAAAATTTACCCCAATTTCTGAAATCCTGTTTGGGCATTTGTCTGTTTGTTTTCATCTATCTAGAGACTCAGAAATGACAGTGCCTACACCTCTCTGTACTCTCAGAGGCCCCAAGGTTCAGGCTCTAACCCTGAGAAGACTCCTCTGTGTCCACATGGACTTGCTGTGACCTGGGCCAGGTGTCCCCTCCCTGAGCATCAGTTTCACTCTCAGCTGCAACATTCCAGGACACCTTGATTCTCACTGCTACCATGAAGATGCTCTGGGAGTGATGAAACACACACCTCAGGCCCTACCCTGAGCCCACTCAGCCAATGACACCCCTTTGCCAGCAAGCAGCCTCTCCTCCCTGTACTGGCGGCCTTGCAAATCATTGTATATATGTATTCCCTTCCGCGTGAGCCGTGAGGCTCCCTCTGACCTGGGGCACCAGAGGGCAGCTGTGTCAGCACCCCTTCGCCTTCTGCCTCACCTCACTATCATAGAACCTCCTTCTCATCACCCCTCCTCTGTGAATTAATTCCTAAGGGTCAGATACCTGGATATGCCATTTTTCTCTTCGTCATGTACTTTATTTTATTTTATTTTTTTCTTGCTCTATTACTCAGACTGATGTTGAACTCCTGGGCACAAGTGATCCTCCCACCTCAGCCTTCCAAGTAGCTAGGACTACAGGCATGTGCCACTGTGCCCGGCTCATTAAAAAATGTTTTATAGAGATGGAATCTCATTACATCGCCCATGCTTGTCTTGAACTCCTGGCCTCAAGCAATCCTCCTGCCTCAGTTTCCAGAGTAGCTGGGAACACAGGCGGGAGCCACCAAGTCCAGCTCATCCCTTCTTTTAATAATTATTGAACACACCTACTATGTGCAAACTATGAGGGTATAGTGGCATAAGATTAGGTCTCTGCCCTCAGGGAGCTGAGTTTCCAGGGGTGAAAGAGAGAGAATACACACAAAAGCAAATAAATAAACAAGATGATTCCAGAGGAACATGAGTGCTGTGAAGACCGGGTCATATGTGACCAAGGAGGCCACTTTGAAGAGGTGACGAAGCCCCTGGTGATAAGAGAAAAGCAGGACCATGATGATCTGGGGGAGAAACAGCAGTGCAGAGGCCCAGAGGCAGGGTTGCTGAGCTTCTGGCAAAGCTCTGCAGGAAACTGAGCTCAGAGCCCCTGCTTCTTGGAGGAGTTTGAGGGACAGAAAGGGGCATTATGAGGGAAAGGAGAGAAGGTCAGATCATGTGGTGCCTTGCATGCAGCTTGTCCGAGTTTTGTTGTTTTTTTTGTTTGTTTGTTTGTTTTTGAGACTTGGTCTCACTCCATCATCCAAGCTGGAGATCAGTGGTATGATCATAGCTCACTGCAGCCTTGAACTCCTGAGCTCAAGCGGTCCTCCCGCCTCAGCCTCTGGAGTAGCTGGGACTACAGGTGCATGCTACCACGCCCGGCTAATTTTTAATTTTTTTTTTTTTTTTTTTTGAGACGGAGTCTCGCTCTGTCACCAGGCTGGAGTGCACTGGCACTCTTGGCTCACTGCAACTCCACCTCCCAGGTTCAATCGATTCTCCTGCCTCAGCCTCCTGAGTAGCTGGGACTACAGGTGCCCGCCACCAGGCCCAGCTAATTTTTGTATTTTTAGCAGAGATGGGGTTTCACCATGTTGGCCAGGATGGTCTTGATCTCCTGACCTCGTGGTCTACCCGCCTTGGCCTCCCAAAGTGCTGGGATAATTTTTTAAATTTTTTATAGAGACAGGGTCTCACTATCTTGCCCAGGCTGGTCTCAAACTCCTGGCCTCAAGCAATCCTCCTGCCTCTACCTCTCAAAGTGCTGGGATTACAGATGTGAGCCACTGCACCTGGCCCATCCAAGGTTTTAGACAGGGAGTGGCCAGTAAGTTATTTTGACTACAAAACTTATCATCCTAGCAGACCAAGAAAGGGCCAACTGGAGAGGGCCAAAGGGCACTAGTGAGGTTGGGCATTGGAGCCAGCTAGACATGGGTTCAAAGCTGGTCTTCTCCAGTTAACCACCTGTGTTGCACAACTTACCAAACCCTCTGTGTCTCAGTGTCCTGATCTGTAGAGTGGGAGTGGAGACTATCTCATGGGTTCCATCTTCATCAGCTAAGACTGCTATAACAAAACACTATAGACTGGGAGGCTGCTTAAACAGGTATTTATTTTTCACAGTTCTGGAGGCTGGGAAGTCTGAGATCAGGGTGCAGGGTCAGGTTCTGGTGAGGGCTCTCTTCCTTGTTGGCAGATGGCCACCTTCTCGCTGTGTCCTCACACAGTGGAGAGAGGAAGCTGGGTCTCCTCATTTTCCCATGAAAGGCACTAATCCCATCACGAAGGCCCCACTCCATGACCTCATCTAACCGTAATCACCATCCAAAGATTCCACCTCCAAATACCATCACATTGAGGGTTAGTCTTCAACACAGGAATTTCGTGGAGACATATTCTGTCCATAACAGGCTCTCACTAAGAGTACTCCCCACCAGGAGAATTTGAGCAGCCCCCAGAGACTGCCCTGGGCCACTTGTACTCCTTCTTCAAGCTCCTCCAGCCCAGTCAAACATGTGGCAGGAACAGAGAATCGGAATGGCAAGACAAAGGCTGCAAACTCAAGCCTGTGCAGGGCCTTGCAGGGAACTCAGTGACCATGCAGCCCGGTGCACTCCTTCCCCATCACCACCGAGAAGCAGGGGCTGTGAGCTCAATCCCCTGCAGAGCTTTGCCAGAAGAGACAGGTGCCTTTTTCCTCCAGAGGGTTTTGGCACTCAGAAGGAAGGGTGAGTTCAGATGGGACCTATCAGGCAAGTCTCAGGCTGGAAACCAAAGGTCAAGGTTGAATCCAGCAGGCAAAACTGGTGTAAGGAGGTGGGGACCCACTGAGCAAAGGCCTGGTGGCCTAATGACCACACCTGCTGTGATCTGGGCTGGCCAGTGGTGGGGTTAGGACAGAACATAGGTGATCAGAGGAACTGGCCCCAAAGACAGGCCCAGGAATCTAGGATTTACTCTGCCTGGCTTTTACCTTCCCTGGGAGGATTTCTAAATCTTTAGGTTTTAAGGAAAAAAAGCCTAGTGGACTTCTGCTAAATCCTCGACCATGTGCCCCCCTCCCCCTTCCTCCACCAGAACTCCAGGCATCCCTTCCCTCTGGTAATCTCCATAGCTCACTCATAAATTATGAGCACATTCATTTGCATGTCAGAAGCTCGGCCAAGAAATTAGATAAAATTGATCCACCGCAATTTATTCCCTCTATTTTTCCAAGAAATGGCCTCCCTCCCATGTTTTATTCATGGAGACACCCTGCTCTCTCTTTTATCTCCAACCCTCAGTAACATTTTCAATTTACTCAATTTATAGCTGCAAGACGCCCTTGGGCTGGGCAGGAGGGGAGGCCACCCAGAATGGGCCGCAGCTCCCCACGGCTTGCAGGGGCTCTGGGGCTGCCAGGCGGACGCGCTGAAGCGAGACAGAGGGTGGTTCCAGCAAGATCCGCCAGCCCTGGGCCTGGGAGAAAGGTTTCCAGGGGGCAGCCTGCGAAGACGGCACCAAGCACTAATGAGGGGCCTCTGCTCCAAGGTGAGCTGAGTGAGGAGCCGGGGTCCCTGCTGGATTCGGAGGAGCTCCCGACAGCTGCTCCCCCTTCAGTGAGTTAGGGCCGCCTTTGGCCTGACACAGGGGTCGCCTGTTAGGAAGACAGAAATGCCTGCCTCTGTCAGCCCTCCCTGTCTCCACATGCCGGAGATGCCTTCTGGAAGAAAGGAGAGGTGAAAAAGGATTTTTTCACATCTTCCCTCTCTCTGTTAGAGAAGAACACCGGACTTTGGGAAGGTGTGTGGGTTTGGTTTGCTTTTCATTTCCAGAGCCATTTTCCTCCCTGAGAGGCACAAATTCCAGTGAGTTCTCATCTGCAAGGGTGGTTTTCGCAGTGTCAGCTCACTGTCCAGCCACCCACCAGTGTCCCCACCATGGCCACATAGGTATCCTTGGTGGTGTGAGGCAACAGAGCTGGGTGGGGACTGTGGTCAACAGGAGAGGAGCCTTCCTAGAAAGGGCAGCCACTTCTTCAGCCAACTGCTGCCATGATGAAAGAATGCAGGCCTTGTGTTGCCAGAGCTTCAAATGTTAGAAGAGACTCCAAAATTCCAGAGCATGTGTGAATTCTCCCAGGTTTCAAAGATCGCTATGTAAACAAAAACAAAAACAAACAAACAAAAAACACTCTGTCTCCCAAACAAACTCATAACTATGAGAGCCACTTTATCTGTGGTCCACCATCGCCCTTGATTGCTGGCTCCTTGAGAGTAGGGACCATGTCTTGATTATCTCTGTGTAGCACAGCCCAGCCCTGTGCCTGGCATACACTAGCTGACCAATAGATCTGTGGTAGCCTAAGAGGTAGGTTGAAATCCTTGTGGCAGAGGCTGCTCTTGGCCTTCCCCACCACCCAGTTTTCCTTTCCTCTTTGAGGTTATCAAACGCTGATGTTTAGCCTGCATATTTCTCTACTTCCCTTGCAGCCAAAGATAGTCCCAGCCAGTGAGAAGTGAGCATAACTGTTGAACAGGACTTTTGGGAAGGATGTTGAAAGGGAACTGCCAGAGCTGGGAGGAGCCTCTTTTTGCTCTTCTGCTTTTCCTGTACCTATGACTTTCTTGTGATCCTGGTCATGATGGCTGGAGCTCTGGCAGCCATCTTGGGCCATGCAGTGATCTTGGGGATGAACACCAGTGCTGTGTTTGGTGGGGCAGAAGAGGAGAAGCGTGTCACTGATGGTAGAGCTATTCTACCACCCTCAACTCCCCATATCTGGGCTTGTTTTATAGGAGAGAGACAAACTTTATCTTCTTTAAGGCACTATTATTTTGAGTTTTCTATTATGTGCAGCTGACCTGTTCCTAGCCTATACACCCTTTTCCAAGGGGCGACTGCTCAGTTCCATTTCCACCATTCAGAACCTGGAGAAAGATGGGGAGAATCCAATCCAGCAGATGTCCCCTTTGCAAGCAAATCCCATGAATGAGCTGAAGAGGAGACTAAAGACGGTTTGCAGACCTTCTGGGATCCTTCTGGGTCCTCTGTTCACAGGATGCCCAGGGAAGCCTCTGTCTTTGATGGGAATCCAGTCATGACCTTGACTGATCAGCCTGGCGTGGCTTAGGTATGTGCCTGTATGGAGCTGGGGTATGGACCAGATGGCTCTGGATGGAACCATTCTATAAGAGTGGAGAGACTGGTCCGGAAGACTCCTTCATATGTAGTGGCCCTCAGAGCCCAAGACAAAAGCCACTGCTTGGGCCCCTTTCCCCAGTGGGGTATCAGTCTCCCCAGAGGCATCCGGCCCAGCTCCTCAGGGCCTGAGCCTTTCCCCAAGACCACACCCAGCACCGTGGGTAGCACTTCAGAAGTGTGAGGCCATAGCACAGAGCAGGAGTCTCTCTCTGCATCCCTGGCCAGGCCAGCCCTGTGCATGACAAAGCTTCCTGTGGTCTGGGGTTGCAGAGCAGGAGGTCCAGTCACATCCTCTGAAACATAACGAAGGCCTAGGACACCAAGTCACTGCAAGAGGCTCAGATCCAGCCTCAGCTCCACCCATTTCCAGCCAGGGGATCTTGGGCTTGTTAGCAATTCAGGGGGCGAATACAGAAGACTAACCACTAAATGGCTTTAAAAAAAAATAAGAACTGTTTTTTCTTCCTTTGATATCTTTGGTACCAAAACAATCTTGTTTTGTCTTTCTCTTTTTGTAGAGACAGAGTCTCACTCCATCACCCAGGCTGGAGTGCAGTGGTGCAGTCATGGCTTACTGCAGCCTCAAACTCCTAGGCTCAAGCCATCCTCCTGCCTCAGCCTCACCAGTAGCTGGACTACAGACATGTGCCACCACACCTGGCTAATTGTTTTATTTTTATTTTTTTACAGAGGCAGGGTCTTGCTTGTTGCTCAGGCTGGTCTCAGACTTGTGAATCCTCAAATGATCCTCCTGCCTTGGCCTCCCAAAATGCTGGGATTATAAGCATGAGCCATTGCACCCAGCTTTATTCTTGAATAACCAATGGCTTCAAGGTAGGGCAGCTCCAGGCTTCATTAATTCAGTAAGTCAATCATATTATCAGGGAGCAGATTCCTTTGATCTTTCTGCCCTGCCCTCTGTGGTAGGTTAGAGCAATGGCCCCCATTTTTCATCCCTGCCCCCAAATTCATGCAGGAACCACATCCCTGGGTACCCATCAGCCCCAGTCCCTTGACTTTGACCCATGCATTCTAGCACACGGATGCAGGTAGAGGTTTGAAATGGGCCTGATGCGTGCTAGAGCTTGTCCTTTGCACCTCTGCCATTTCTCTGAGAACCTGCTGCAGGATGAGAGACACAAAGGACACATCTGAGGCAAGCTATTTGGTTGGTGAAAAAAGTAGTGGCAAAACCCGCAATGACTTTTGCACCAACCTAATAGATCAGCTGACTCCAGTCATGTGGGCAATAAATATTTCTTGCTGAATGCCTTTCGAGTTTTGAGGTTGCTTGTCCACAGTATTATCGTGGCCATAGATAACAGATACACATCCTTAGCACAACAACTTGCACTAACTCTCCTCCTGACTCCAAGATGGCTACAGTAGTTCTAGAAATCACATGTAGCCAACAACGATCAAAGGCAAAAAATGAAAGGGAGTATTCTTAACTTGGGTCCTTTTATCAGAGCGAGGGAAACCCCCCCGCCAGTACCCAGCCGACTTCTCAGCCAGCACCAGATCTCATGCTCTGTTTATCTGTCCTTGGCAAGAAGAGGTCAACAGGGCTTGATCAGTCAAAAATCACATCCTGGGCTGTGGAGTGGCCCACTCTCCCTGGGAAGAAGAACAGGCCCCTGGGAAGAAGAAAGACAAGCAAAATGGGGATGAAGAAGGGTCTGTGTGTGAGGGATGGAGGAATGGCTGTGGGACAGGCAACCAACAGCCTGTCCCCCACATAGTATCTTGGAGACTTAGTTCCCCCATCTGTCAAATGGAGATAATACCTGCTCTACCTACTTCCCTGCGTGAAATGAGAAAATAGACGTGAAAACAGCATAGCAGATTCTACGATTATGTGGCTAGCATTCAGCTAGCCTGTAAGTCCATCAAATATTAGTCTTATCCCTTGAAAGAGGCCTTTACTAGTTCTTCATGGGGACTAGAAACCATACTAGAATATTTTCCCAACTTTCTCCCAGTGCCTAGTGGGGAGGGCTCCTGCATGGTGATGGTCTCGTGGAGTCCTATTGCAGTTTATCCAACAGGGGCCATGGGTGAGGCCACACTCCCACCAGTGAAGCAGGTCTACTTTGAGCAGATGAACACCTCACTGTCAATCATCTGCAGAAGAGGTGGGGGGAGGGGCGGGCGGGCAGGGAGGAACCAGGAACTGCCTGGCCTTGGCTGATAGGGGCAGGTCTGTAGCTTGAGGGACAGCATCTGTCCCAGCAGAGGAGGGAGTGGTGGGGCAGAGACCCTGGGGGAGCTTTACAAACTGGAAAGCCTCCTCGGGTATCTATGACATCAAGAATTTCCAAATGCACAAGAATCTCAAGGCATGCGAGGCTCTTTAGGGTCCAGCACCCCCGACCTGCTCTCCCTCAGGCAGACCCTTGGATTCAGAAGTCTCTTCAACTCAGCATGATGACAGAGTCCTTACAGATGTTCCTCCAGGGTAAGGAAGGGCTGGATGCCTGTAAAACTCATCTTTGTATGTGGTTCAGCTCACATCATGGACAGGTACAAAATCAGGTTTGGGTTGAAGAAGATTTGTGAATAGTCAGCAAAGCCAAATCCTGAACCTACTGGCTACGAGTCCCAGCCTTTCCCCCACCCTTTGCTCAGGTTCCCAACAAAACCTCTTAAGTTACAGGGTGCTTCCCACTCTTCAAAGCTTTTGCACACACGAACCAGGCTATTCACTGCAGCTTAGATTTCAGCACTCAAATGCCGGTAGGTAGGCGACTGCTAACAGAGCACCGGACAGCCACATGGCAGAATCCACAGCAGCCACTGAAAAGGACGAGACCACGCTCTCTAAACTGACATGGAAAGCTCCAAGGTATATATAGGCTCTCATGAAAAAGCCAAGTCCAGGACAGTGTGTACACGTGTGCACGTGCATGGGAGCAACATCTCTGGAGGGACGCGTTCTGTGGGGCGGGAGGGAGAAGCCAGTGTCCAAAGGCAGCAGGGAAACTTACTCTGTATCTTAGAGCCTTTTGCATGGCTTGAAAATTTTTTTCTTTTGGGACTTTTGCCTGTTTAAATAATAAACTTGTTTTCAAAGTGTTTTAAGGCTGGGCAGGGTGGCACAGGTCTGTAATCCCAGCACTTTGGGAGGTCAAGGGAAGAGGATCACTTGAGGCAAGAAGTTCGAGACCAGCCTGGGCAATATAGTCAGACCCTAACTCTACAAAAAAAAAAAAAAAAAAAAATTAAAAAGTCGCCACACACAGTGGCACTTGCCTGTAGTCCCAGCTACTCAGGAGGCTGAGGCAGGAGGGTTGCTTATGCCCAGAAGTCTGAGACTGCAGTGAGCTATGATTGCGCCACTGCACTCCAACTTGGACAAGACAGTGAGACCTTGCCTCTAAAAAAATCCAAGTGCTTTAACCCCTGCTAATGTTGTTTATCCCTCCCTGTGGGTGGGTGATAGGGTTTGGATATTGGTCCCACCTGAACCTCATGTTGAAATGTAACCCTCAGTGTTGGAGGTGGGGCTGGTGGGAGGTGTTTGGGTCACGGGGGTGAATCCCTCGTGGCTTGGTGCTGTCCTCGTGATCACGAGTTTTCACAAGGTCTGGTTGTTCAAAAGTGTATGGCACCTCCCCACCCTCCTTGTTCCCACTCTGCCACGTAACAGCCTGCTCCCGCTTCCACCAGGAGTAGAAGCTGCCCAAGGCCTCCCCGGAAGCCAAGCAGATGCCAGTGCCATGCTTCCTGTATAACCTGCGGAAGCATGAGCCAAGTAAACTACTTGTCTTTATAAATCACCCAGCCCCAGGTATTGCTTTCGAGCGATGTAAGAACAGCCTAATACAGTGGGTATGGTTATCCCCATTTCAAAGAAAAGAAGGCCGAGTCCCAGAGAAGCAGAGTGACAGACCCAGGGTCCCCAGGAAGATTCTAGCCAGGACTGACCAGCAGCCTCCTGGTTCTCCATCAGGAAGGGGTTCCAGCATCAGTGTGGCAGTTACCCTCAAGTGTGATACCCCCACTAGCCTGTTTCCCCAGCTGCCAGCAGCCTGGCCTGAAGGCCCCCTCCAGTCTAGGCATCCACAAGGCTGCAATGCTGAACCAGAGACAGTGGACCCACTAAAGTGTCTGCAGCAGGCCTCACTGCATGTCTCAGCAGCGCAGCCTCAACTTGCCCACCAGCCCTGTTCCCATCGCAGTGCATTGCTTGGAAAATACATTCTTAAAACGCCTGTCATATTTTATCTGATGTTTAAAGTTGATTTTCCTTTGGATGACACACAATATGAATGGGCTGCTCAGTGATCTCTTTATCAGCCATAGACTCCAGCATGATGCTCACCACCCGTGTCTGGATGCTCTTTGAGCAGGCCTGGAATGGACCCAGATTCAGGATTCCAGAAAGGCTCTGAGTGTGAGGTGCCCAGTGAGTGTGAGGGGCCCAGTGAGTGTGTGGGCCTGGGACTGACCAAGGGCTTTTCCAAATGACTGACAGGGCTCCCATCTGCCTATGGAGGCCATGGAAAGGTCCACACTGAGACAACTTCACTACAACTGAAAGAGAGCAAAGACCTAAAAGAAAATATCCACACATGTACTGAGGAGCTACTATGAGCCGGGGTCTGTGCTTGGCACTGTTGCTAAGCCTTCTCATTTACTCTGCATAATAGCCAGTGAGGAAGTAAGTTAATCTACTTCTTGTTTTATTTTTTTTATTTTTTAAATTTAGCTTTATTTATTATTTCTTTTCGAGACGGGGTCTCTGTCACCCAGGCTGGAGTGCAGTGGTGTGATCATAACTCACTGCAGCCTCCAAATTCAAGCCATCCTCCTGCTGTGGCCTCCCAAGTAGCTGGGACTACAGGTACATACCACCACAACCAGCTAATTTTTATTTTTATTTTTTATTTTTTTGAGATGGAGTCTTGCTATGTCACCCAGGCTGGAGTACAGTGGCCTGATATTGGCTCACTGCAACCTCTGCCTCCCAGGTTCAAACGATTCTCCTGCCTCAGCCTCCCAAGTAGCTGGGTTTACAGGTGTGCACCACCACGCCCGGCTAATTTTTGTATTTTTCTTAGAGACAATGTTGGCCAGGCTGGTCTCGAACTCCTGATCTCAACTGATCCATCTGCCTTGGCCTCCCAAAGTGCTGGGATTACAGGTGTTAGCCACTGCACCCAGCCACAACCAGCTAATTTTTAAAAAATTTTTGTAGAGGCAGGATCTTGTGATGTTGGCCAAGCTGGTCTCCAACTTCTGAGCTCAAGCGATCCTCCCACCTCAGCCTCTCAAAGTGCTGGGATTACCAGCGTGAACCACCACGCCAGGCCTAATCTACTTCTTTTGTGTGCCAGAAGGTCTCGCTGGAGCTAGCACAAAACATGTGAGGGGCTGTGGAGCGACAAGGGAGGACTTGTGGGAATTTACTACTTGCTTCAACAAATATTTGGTGAGGGTCTATGATGTGTTAGATATCATTCTGGGTACTGTAGATACATCACAGAACAAAATGCAAAAGAAAAAAAAAATCTGCCCTGCAACGGGAGGCAATTTAAACAGAGGTGATCAGAGATGGCCTTGGCATGGAGATACCATCTGAACTCAGCTCTGAATGACTTACGGGGCTAGGCAGGGGAGGATCCGGAGTAAGAAGAGTGAGGACGGTGGTGGCCCAAGTCACAGAATAAACTATTTGCCCCAAGTCACAGCATAAACTATTGCTAGCCTGGGATTGGCTGCCCTTGGGCTAGGTGCCCACTCCTGGCCCAATCAGCTGTAGCCATGAGGTCCTGTGGCCTATGGGCAGAGCTGATCCATTAGGAGGCGCTGTTGATGGCTCTCACCCTCGAGTAGTGCCCTCATTTTACAGGTGGCCCCACTGAGAGCCTAATCGAGAGACTGCCCTGTCAAGTACGGCTTGCAGAAACACCGTCTGCCTTGCTCTGTTGTTTTTCTGTTTTATAATTGAGCCAACATTTAAAATGGGAAATTTAGGCCAGGTGCGATGGCTCAGGTCTGTAATCCCAACACTTTGGGAAGCCGAGGCAGGAGGATCGCTTGAGCCCAGGAGTCTGACACCAGCCTGGGGCAACATAGCGAGAACTCCTCTCTACAAAAAATAAAAATAGGCCGGGCACAGTGGCTCGCGCCTGTAATCCGAGCATTTTGGGAGGGTGAGGCAGGTGGAACACCTGAGGTCAGGAGTTTGAGGCCAGCCTGGCCAATGTGGTGAAACCCCGTTTCTACTGAAAATACAAAAATTATCTGGGCATGGTGGTGCGTGCGTGTAATCCCAGCTACTCGGGAGGCTGAGGCAGGAGAATCACTTGAACCCAGGAGGTTGAGGTTGCAGTGAGCTGAAATCACACCATTGCACTCAAGCCTGGGTGATAGAGTGAAACTCCGTCCCCCACAAAAAAATAAAAATAAAACAATTAGCCAGGCATGCTAGTTCATGCCTGTGTTCCCAGCTACTCCGGAAGCTGAGGCGGGAAGATCCCTTGAGCCCGGAAGTTCGAGGCCACAGTGAGCTATGATTGCACCACTGCACTTCAGCCTATGTGGCAGAATGAGACTCTGCCTCTAAACAAAATAATAAAGTGGGAAGTTTTTTTTTTTTTAAACAATCATCAAATCTGGCAACTCATATTCCTGCCAGGCACCAGAGGCTGGAGTAGCCAACCCTTCAGGTGGCGTCTTGCTTTCTCTACTGGATATGTGAGACTCATTTATGCTGACACCTGGCTCCTGTGGCCACATAACTCGCCACCTTGATTTAACGGTTTGTCCAGGAACACAGAGGAGCTGGTGGGAGTTGGGATGGGATCTCCCATCTGCCAGGGTGCTGCTTGCCTGCTGTGCCCCACTCCACCTTAACTCTGGCAACCACTCCTGGGGTGCCTGTCCTCTGTCCTGCTTCCAAAGCAGAGCAGAGAGCATAAGAGTGGGCTTCTAGTAGGCTCTGTCATCCTCTTCTGCCAGTGATATGTCATTCTTCCTGACTTAGGGTCCTTCAATCCCTTCTCATGAGCCACTAAAATGTGTTCAAAAGTCTTTCCTGAACAGAAAGGATGAGAGCTCTTGGGATAGGCCTGGGGCTGGGGAAGCAGGGGCCATATTTATTCCTCATGGTGTCCCTCAGGTCTGAGCACTGTGTGTGGCTCAGAAAGCCAGTCTGAATGGTGACTGATGCACCCAATGCTGTCTGCCAAGTCCAAAGCCCTCATAGAGGGACCTGGGCCTTGTCTAGGTGAAGGGACATTTTCCTTCTGGCCAAGAGACTTCCAGCAAGAGGCTGGAGGTGGGAGCTTAGTGGAATGGTGGGGCTGGGGCTCCTGCTTTTCCAGGAAGGTGGGCTTCAGAGAGTGAGCTAAGGAGGGTGGTGCAGGTGAGGCCTGAGAAGCAAAGCCCCAGTCTCTCAGGCAGCCTCCAGACTGGCCATGCCTGTTCCCTGCCTAGAAGCTTGCAGCTAGCCAGCTCAGCTCAGTTCCTGCAGGAGGTTCTAGATCTGTAGTGAATGAAGAAAGTGCATTTCAGGGGAGGGAAGGGGGGTGGGGAGTCATGGGCAGATGGAGACCCAAGGTTGGCTCAGATGTCCCTCTTGGATACCCTTGGATTTAGGGTCAAAGCCCCGCTCAAGGTAGGCCTCTGCCGGAGGGAGCAGACACATATGAGGGGCTCCTGAGTTCACATAACACATGTTTGTTGAACACCTACTATGTGCTGGGCACTGAGCTGGGCTTGTGACTGTAGTGACATAAATAAGTGATGATGAGATCTGTGACAGCACTGAGCAGAAGGACAGGACCGAGGGTCCTGGTAGGCAGGGAAGTCCTGTTGCAATAGGCCACATTTTAGCTGACTCTCGAAGGATGAAGAGGAGTTAGCTGCATAGAGTGGGGCAAGAGAGTCCAGACAGAGTATGGCAATGTGGGACGGTCCCAGGGCAAGCCCAGGGCTCCAGAGACTGGACATCCAGGTGGCTGGTTGTGTGTGGAGGGAGGAAGTGGAGAGGCTGGAGGCCACACAGAAACACAATAAACGTCTGGATTTTGCTCTGAGGCTGCAGGAGCCATGGATATGTAACCAGTGGGGTGGGGGGCTAGACACACAGTGGGTCTTGTGCTGAGAAGGGACAGCATGGAGGCAGGACACTTAGGGCAGACACAGGTCCGGGGACTCTGGTGCTGGTACCACTGCCTGGGCAGCAGTGTATGGTGGGATGTGAAAAATACCTGCTATCCTGGAACCTTCCCCGCAGCCCCCAGGGACAGTGAGCCCTGTCCCAGTGGACGAGTGTGGGCTGGGGAGGCTTTTGTGAATTCTGTTGTGGAAATCCATCTTCACCCTGGGAAATCGAGTGCCCTTCAAAGGCCCATGCTGGAGTTCGCCTTAATCTGGGCAGACACCTTGTGGTTGCATGTCCAGCTCATGTCATTTAAAAATTCTCTTTGAGATATCCCAGGGCTGGGGTTGCTTTGTAGCTTAGGAAATCCACAAAGGACTCAATTTCAACAGGGACTGGGCCCATCATGGCACACTGCTGAAAGGCCTGTCCACGAGGAAGCTCCAGACATACCACAGGCCCTCGGCGTCCTGCGACAGCCAACACTGGTGGTGGTGGTGTGTAGCAGTGGGCCATGTGTCCAGGTTTGGGAGGGGAGGCAGTTTCTAAGTGAGAGGCCCCCATCTCCCAGCGCCTCCCACCTGGAACCAGGATGCACAAAGGCATTTAGACACTTGCATCTGTGTCTGTCTTCCATGCGGGACGATTCGGCAGCTCTGGGGGTTTCTGAGGCTGGAAGGACTTCCCTGAGCAGTGGCCAAGCCAAGGGGTGGCTTAGGGGAACGTTTTTGTTGTTGTAGAGACAGAGTCTCCCTGTGTTGCCCAGGCTGGTCTCAAACTCCTGGGCTCAAGCGATCCTTCCACCTCAGCCTCCCAAAGTGCTGGGATTACAGGTGTGAGCCACTGCACCTGGCTGGCTTCAGAAAACTTAAACCCACCTCAAATCTCCACCAGCCCCCTCCAACCCCCTAGTTAAATGTATGGTCCAGGTAAAGACAATGTGCCTGTTCTTCAGCTTCAAAACCAGCCCCAGCCCCTGCTCCTAAGGCAGACTGCCAGCCCCCTAGCCTGTCAAGCCCTCCCCAATCTGGTGACCTGACTAGACAAGCAGTGGGCCTGGGATCCTCTGAGCTAGCCCACACCTGAAGCTTCCGGAGAGCCAAGCCCAGCTGATGGGGGCCCAGCTTGTCCCAAGGTGGTGGAGGTGGTGGTTTCAGCCTGGCGCCTCCACCCCCTCTTGCCTGCCTCCTCACAGACCCATTGTGTCCCAGCTTCAGAAGTCACCGTCTGCCCCCTTCTGGTGGCTGGAAATTCTCAGGAAGCCTCCGATGGCAGGAACTCCAGCACAGGTAATGGGGTGAAGGTGCAGGGCTCCACCACCTCCCTGTGCCCCTCCCCAACCCTGACTGTGGCAATTGGTTGCCCACCTTATCAGGACAGGAGCCACAAAGGTATGCCTTTCACCTTCCCTAAATACTGTCATATACAAGTCACAGAAACAGGATGGAAACGAGGGACATTCTCCACCTTGAATCTTGCGGTCCATTGCCAGGCCAGCCTCCCTTCAGTGACCTATAAATCAATTTAAAAAATAATATGCTAAGTACCCTGGCATAGTTAAATCACACCATTTGTGTGTTAGAAGCATTAATCTGTGAAAGCTATTTATGTAAGTACACTACAAAGGTGGAAATTTGTGTTGATGCTTCTTCATTTTTACCACATAGGAACACTCAAAACTGGAAACAGCCTGGCCTTGCATGCCGCCCAGGACCAGGCACCAACTGAGACATGTAGATGGAGGGGCTTTGTCTCAGAAAGGCCTGGAGCCCAGGACAGAATCTCCCTGTGTTGGCTCTCCGGAAGCTTCAAGTGTGGTCTGGCTCAGAGGATCCCAGCCCCACTCCTTGTCTCATCAGCTCACTGAGTAGGGGCAGGCTGGACAGGCTAGGAGATTGGCAGTCTGCCTTAGGAGCAGGGGCTGAGGGCTTGTCTTGAAGCTGAAGAACAGGCACACCGTCTTTACCTGAACCATAAATTTCACTCAGGGGTTGGAGGGGCTGGGGGAGATGTGAGATGGGTTTAAGTTTTCCTAGGCCAGCCAGGTGTGGTGGCTCACACTTGTAATCCCAGCACTTTAAGAGGCCGAGGTGGGAGGATCACTTGCCCAGAAGCTTGACACCAGCCTGGGTAACACAGGGAGACCCTGACTCTACAACCACAACAAAACTGTTCCCCTAAGCCACCTCTTGGCTTGGCCACTGCTCAGGGAAGCCCTTCCAGCCTCAGAGAGACCAGAGCCTAAAAGCTAGGACCCAGGGCTCTGGGGTGAGCAGATCTGGGCTCAAGGGCAGCCTTCTTCGATGACCAGCTGTGTGGCATTGAGCAACTGACTCAACCTCACTGCGTCTAGTTTGCTCATCTGTAAAATGGAGCCTTCCGGATCCAGTAGCAGGGAGGTTTGGAGGGGATTGCAAGTGTAAAGCACGCAGCTCTGGGCGAAAGCCCAGGGAATAGGAGCAACCTCTGTGAGAGCTCCACATGCTGGCCCTGAGCATGCTTTCACTGTGACACAACGAGGGTTAGACCCACGATCTCTCTGCCATGGACGAGGCAGCTGGAGATGAAAGCCAGGATTTGCCCAAGCAAATAGCCGGAGAGCTGCAGTGCCACGATGCCGCCCTTTACTTTTGGATTCCAAGACCACTGATCTTTCCTCGTCCCATGCCTGCTTTCCAGGTGACTTGGTCTGCTTTCCTTTTCCCATTCAGTTCACAGAGCACCGGGCAAGTGCCAGGTAGGGTGCCCAGGCCTGTAGGGGAGGGAGGACCGATTGGGCTCCAGCTCCCCAGGACTCATATTCTCCAGAAGAGAAGACAGAAAGACAGACGGATGCTCAAGCAGCTGCGTACCAGGTAGGTGCTGCTCAGCACGATCGCCAGGCAAGGCTGCGCAGGTAATGTGGCTCGGAGGGCGTGCAGGTCAGCCCCAGGTGTGGGGAGTCAGGAGGGAGGTCCTCAGGTTCTAGGAAAGAGAGAGAGGCACAGACACAGCCCATTTTCTGACAGAGTTGAGAGTTTGTCTTTCCGGAAGGAGGTGGCTGGCTGCACACGGCCCACTGCACAATTCTTAGAGGATGTCAGTCAAGTGATAAACACCCAGTCAAACAGGATTCAGTATGAAAGGGGGTCGCTGGTTCTAGTATCTGAAAATGCCAGGGTGCGGCTGCCTTCCAGCACCAGGACCCAGGGCCTCAGACAATCATATCAGGAACCTGCTCCTTGCCTGCGCTGTCCTCTGTGTCTTCACTCTCAGGCAGGTTCACCATCCTCTCCCTTAGGTTGTTCCCTACCCGATCCCAGTTCGAGGATGACGTCCTAAGGGTTTGGCAGTCCCACCAGAAAAGGTACATCTGCAGGGTTCCCAGGAAGTCCTGGCAGAAGTCCTGAGGAGAGCTCTCATTGGACTAGCTGGAATCACGGGACCATCCCTGAACCAATCACCAAGGCTAAGCCAACGGAATATGCTGATTGGCCAGGCCCAAGTCACATGACGGCCTCTGTAGCCAGGGCTTGGGAAGTCAGTCCCTGGGGTTGAGATGTTCCAAAGGGCTGTGAACCGAAAATCCCTGCAGAAGGAAACCACACATGTCCACTGCAAAAAGTGGTGTTTTGTTATCCTTGAGTTGTTGTGTGTTCATTTGTTTGGCTCTTTCATGCCTAGAAGTTGATATTTTATGCTCAAACACAGAAAAAAGTACAAGCACCAATTGGCAACCTGTGGACTGAGACCCCTGACACTGGCTGCTTGAAAAAGGCCCCAGGGTGGACAAGAGCTGCACCACTGAATCTCCAATCCCAGAACACCAGGCTTTTGGCCCCATGCAGATCTGGGGCTGCCCAGACACCCATAGCTCCCTGGACAGCCTGGGTCTTAGCTCCTGGCATCCCACCCCTGGCAACCTGGACCCATGAAGCCCCAACACTGATGCATCTTCTACTCTAAGAAGGAGTTCAGGGTGCGCTGTGCTTCTAGGAAAAAGACTGATCTATGATGCATATTTTCTCACATGATATTTTAAAGTTCCTTAAATTAGTATCTGTTTTACAATTATTAAGCACCTTTCACAGCAGGATAGCTCTTTTTCTCCTCTCAGCTCCTACCCATTCCCCAACAAAATCTGTCACTAGGTAGATGAGATCTTAGTAGCAAAGAAGTAGGGTATAAGTTTTAAAAAACTGTTCTGACTGCAGAAAATCCAAAAGAATGGAACAAAAATTCCTCTTGAAATTAAGCAATTATAGCAAGGTTGCAGGATAAAGGTTATTATACAAAAGTCAGTCACTTTCCTATATACTAGCAATGAACAAGTAGAATTTGAAATTAAAAACACAATACCATTTAGATTAGCACCCAAAAGAATGAATTAGGCATAAATCTAACAAAATATGCAAGAATATTTATATGAGAGGAACTAAAAAACTCTGATGAAAGAAATCAAAGAAGAAATAAATAATAGAGAGTAGTATTATTTGTTTATGGATAAGAAGCCTTAATTGTATCAAGATGTCGGTTCTTCCCAAATTCTATAGATTCAATGCAATCCCAGTTAAAACTCCAGCAAGTTATTTTATGGATATCAATAAACTGATTCTAAAGTTTATATGAAAAGGTAAAAGACCAAAATAGCTAACTTGATACCAAAGCACAGTCAGAGGACTGCCCCTACCTGAATTCAAGACTTACGGTAAAGCTACAGTAATGAAGACTGAGGTATTAATGAAAGAATAGACAACTAGATTAATGGAACAGAATAGAGAGCCCAGAAATAGACCCACATAAATATAGTCAATTGATCTTCGACAAAGGAGCAAAGGCAATTCAAGGGAGTAAAGATGGTCTTTTCAACAAATGGTGCTGGAAAAACTGTACATCCACATGCAAAAAGGTGAATCTAGACACACACCTTACACCCTTCACAAGAATTAACTCAACACAGACCTTACATCCTTCACAAGAATTAACTCAAAGTGGATCAGAAATCTAAACATAAAATGAAAAACTATAAAATCCTAGAAGATAACATAGGAGAAAATTTAGGTGACCTTGGGTTTGGCAATGACTTTTAAAATGCAACATCAAAGGCATAATCCATGGAAGACATAATTGATAAGCTGGATTTCATTAAAATTAAAAAGCTTTGGCTCTCTGAAAGACACTGTCAAGATAATGGGAGGGCAAGCCACAGACTGGGAGAAAATATTTCCAAAACACATATGTGATAAAGGACTGTTATCTAAAATAGACAAAGAACTCTAAAACCTCAACAATAAGAAAACAGACAACCTGATTAAAAAATGGGCAAATGACCATCTTTTGCCACAACAGACACCTCACTGAAGAAGATATACAAAGGGCAAATAAGCACATGAAAAGATGCTCAATATCACTGTCATTAGGGAAATGCAAATTAAAACAACGATGAGATACCACTACACACATATTAGAATGGCCGAAATCCAGAACACTGACAGCACCAAATGCTGGTGAGGATGTGCAACAACAGAGACTCTCATTCATTGCTGGTGGGAATGCAAAATGGCGTGGCTGCTTTGGAAAGCAGTCTGGCGGTTTCTTATAAAAGGAAACATACTCTAACCATATGATCCAGGAATAACACTCCTTGGTATCTATCTCAAATGAATTGAAAATTTGTGTCCCCACAAAAGCCTGCCCATATATGCTTATGGCAGCTTTATTCATAATTGCCAAAACTTGGAAGCAATCAAGATGTTCTTCAGTAGGTAAATGGATAAATCAACTGTGACACAACCCGAAAATGGAATATTATTCAGAACTAAAAAGAAATAAAGCCAGGCATAGTGGCTCATACCTGTGATCCCAGCACTTTGGGAGACTGAGGCAGAAGGATCACTTGAGGCCAGGAGTTTGATACCAGTCTGGGCAACATAGGGAGACCTCATTTCTACAAAATATAAAAATAAACTAATCGAGTGTGGTGATGCACACCTGTGGTCCCAGCTACTTGGGAGGCTGAAGCAGGAGGATCGCTTGGGCCCAGGATGTCAAGGATGCAATGAGCTGCAATGGCACCACTACACTCCAGCCTGGAGTGAGACTGCATCTCAAAAAAAAAAAAAAAGAAAAAAGAAAAAAAAAAAGAATTATCAAGCCATGAAAAGATGTGAAGGAATCTTATATTCATATTACTAAGTGAAAGAAGCCAAGCTGAAAGGATATGTACATACTGTATGATTCCAACTCTATGACATTCTGGAAAAGGCAAAATTATGGAGCCAGTAAAATGATCAGTGGTTGCCAGGGGTTGGGGGGAGGGCAGGATAAATAGAGCATAGAGGATTTTCAGGGCAGTGAAACTACTCTGTATGATACCAGAATAGTGCATAGATGTCATTATGTATTTGTCCAAACGCATAGAATGCACAACACCAAGAGTGAACCCTAATGTAAACCATGGGTTTTGGATGATAATGATGTGTCAGTGGAGGTTCATTAGTGGTAAAAAATGCACCCGTCTGGTGGAGGATGTTGATAATGAAGGAGGCTGTGCATGTGTACAAACTGGAAATACATGGGAAATCTCTGTACCTTCTGCTTAATTTTCCAGTGCACCTAAAACTGCTGTTAAAAAAAAAAAAACAAGTCTATTGCAAAAACAAAAACTAATTGTTCTGATTATCTACTGCAGCACAACAAACCACCCAAAATTTAGTGGCTTAAAACAACAACAGTCATTTTTGTTATCTGTCATGGTTCTGGAGCTTAACTGGGTTCAGCTCAGTTCTCACTCAGGGTCTTATACATGGTTGCACTCAGGTGGCATCTGAGGCTGGAGTCATCTGCAAGTTTCCCTCACTCACTTTTGATGCCTTAGGTCCACTGGGACCTCAGTAGGGGCTGTCAGCCCGCATATCTACATGTGACCTCCCGATACACATGTCTACACATGACCTCCCCATGGACAAACCTACACATGACCTCCTCATGTGGCCTGGGCTTCCTTGAAGCATAGTGGCCAGTTTCCAAAGGTGAGCATCCCTGGAGAGGGAGGGAGGGAAGGGAGGAGGAGTCGGGGGAGCTGGTGGGAGCATATGACCTATGCTTAGAAGCCATGCAGAGTGGCAAGGTCACATTACAAGAGAACATGATGGACAGAAGACAGTCATGGCTCTCTTTAGAAAATAAAATCTGCCACACCGACCACCTTCTGGTATGGCTGAGGTCAAGGTGCCAGCTGAGTGGGCCACAGGTTTCTCTCCTGCCCTCCTCCTGGGAACTGTGCTTCTACTGTCTACCTGACTCCAGCCCAGGTGCCTCAGTTCATTAGCCCTTGTCCCTGTCAGAACCCCCAAGCAGAGTAGGATACATTCCCCTTTTCTAGGAGAGATACTGCAGCTTCCGCAGGTCTCAGAGCTCGGGCCTGACTGTTGGCTGTGTTAGGAAAGCTGGGTCCCTGGGCATGAGGCCATCTCCCTTCTACCTGCTGTGCTGCTCTCTGCCTTGCTTGCAGGACCCCCTGCTCTCCCCTCTGCCCGTGTGCTCACTTCAGTTCTTCCCTTGGGCCCTCCACATCCCCACTCCACACTATCTGACCATCCGCCAGATGTCAGTTTCTGTCCAGAACCTGGTAACCACAGTGCCTCGCTTGGGGCCTGGGAGACAGAGTCAGGCCAATTGCCCACCGGTCCCTCTCGTGCCAAGCTCACGAGGGATCACCCCACTGTCCCTCTCTCAAAATCAGCTGCTGCGTTCACATGGTGTCCAGGCTTCCTCCCAAAGCCTCCCCTGCCAATGACTGACACCAACCAGGCCCACAACACATGGAAAGCCAACGATAGCATCACGTGCATGCGTGTCCTCAGACTACACTGTGAACTTCTGGAGGACGTGGACATGACTTGTTTCCTTCCACATTCTCTGGCACACAGGGACACTCATCTACTGCATGAAGGAGTGCCTGACTGAATGAACAAACAAACCTGTGGATGAGGGCTTATGAGTTAAGCCTTGGGGAATTAAGGGAACCCATTCCCAGCCACGCCTCCCACAATTTGCTTCCAGTTGGGCCAAGACCTGCTTGCAGCTTTCTTTAAGGTTGAAATGTGTAGACTTGGCAGAGCTGCTTTCTCCCCTCCCTCTCCACACCCCCGCCTGTCTTCACCCTTCCCCAACTCTGGTTCCCACGTGGCTGCAGCCTAGCCTCATGCTGCTCAAGTAGAAATCATTCTGCAGGTTGGATTCTTTAAATTAATGTTTGTTCCTTAGGCATTCATATAATGGGTACTTTAATGTTTTAAAGAAAAGAAAAGAAAAAAGATTACAGAATAAAATTCGTGCCTGTTGCCATAATTACTATGAAAGTTTTTGCATATTTTCTTTCAGCATTTTTCAAAGCATAAATATACTTTACACAGTTGAACCTATACTGTATATGTACTTTGTAACCTATTTTTTAACACATTCTAGCATAAATTCGATCATGAGGTTTTCCCCATAAATTTAATTCTAATGTATGTTTTAATGGCTGCATAATATTCCGCCTTAGGAATAAGCTGCAATTTAAGCCATTCTTCCAGAGCTGCTTGTGGGTTGCACTTCTCACCTTTTTGCATGACGCTGTGCGGAAATCATAGGCTTCAGCAACTTTTGCCTGTCTAGCATTCACCCTTCTATTTCTTTTTTCCTTAAAAGAGCCATGGTCTCACTCTGTCACCCAGGGTGGACTTCAGTGGTGCAACCAAAGCTGACTGCAGCCTTGACCTCATGGTCTCAAGCGATCTTCCTGCCTCAGCCTCCTGAGTAGCTGGGACTACAGATGTGCCACCCTGCCTGGCTCATTTTTAAAATTGTTTGTAGAGACTGGGTCTCACTATGTTGCCCAGGCTGGTCTCCAGCTCCTGACTTCAAGCCATCCTCCTGTTTCAGCCTCCCAAAGTACTGGGATTACAGGAGTAAGCCACCACGAAAGGTCTCACTCTTCTTTTGACAGGAGCACTCCAAGTACCCTCCAGGATCCCTGCCTCACAGTGTGGCCCACGTGGGAATGGCTTGCCTCCTCAGGTCCAGGAGAGGGAATGGCTGAGGTCTACCAGTTGGCTTATTCCATCCCTCTGTACACAGCGATGGGTCAGGATGAGCAAGTGGCCCAATCAGAGCCAGTGCTTTGGTTCTAGGACAAGTGTGGAGCCCTTGTGAAGAGTTTCTCCTCCTGTCTATTGGGGCTCCTTCAGTTAAGAGGAAGGCCCCAAGCCTCTGACAGGCATTCTGACACCAGGAGAGCAAACAGCAGCACATGAGCCCCTTGGTCCAGCTGTGCTGAAGGCCAGATACGCCTTAATATTTCTTGGTCACATTAGCTAATACATTCCCATGCCTGCCTCTGTTTGCATTGGGTTTCTGACCCTCAAGTCTTATGACAGATTTGTCAGAAGCATTTCTGTCCACAGTTCAAATCCTTCATTTCCTTAAGAGGTGGACCCCAAAGAAGAAATCATGGGTCGAAGCACAATGTTTGTAAAGCTCCTACGATGTACTGATAGAGTGTTTGTTTTCCAGAAAGCCTCTGACCATCGATCCTCCCCTACAGAACAGGGAGAGAAGCCCCTGCCAAGCATCATGGCATGATGCTCCCAGTGTGCCCTCTGCATGTTCAGAAACAGCCACACTGGAATGCAGTTACCCAGAGGGGTAGGCAAAAAACGCAACTTCCAGCTGCCTAGCGGGGTAGGTGGTGCAGCATAGAGCAGGCACATGGGGCTGGGCGAGAAGGGCCCCAGCAGCCTGAGGTTGCTTCCAAGGGGACCCTGAAGCCATGGCTGCATCACGGGTAGAATAAGGGAGACCTGAAAGGCAGGTGTGTGGGCTGGGTGGGGCCGGGAAGCAATAGCTCCCAGAAGCCACTTACCAAATCACTCTGCTGACAATCACAAACTGCAGCTCCCCAAAATGGGTCTTTCTCCTTCTCTACTAACTCTTTTTGGTCGACGTTTTGGAGGCATCCAGAATCCTTTTCTCCAAAGAAGCAAGAGCCTTAAACAAATTCTTAACGTGTGAGGACATTTATTTCTAGGGAAATTCTGAAAGCAATGGTACTCACTAAGGAGAGGACACCAGGTGGAAATGTGATTCAGAAGCATCAGAACGGCTCACATGAATCAGGGCAGGGCTGGGTCTGCCGGCTTCTCTGTCCATTCTGAAAGGAAAGCCCTGCTGGGGGGTGCCTGCTGGTTCCTCGGCCCTGTGGCAGGCAGCAGGGGGGTTCTCACTGCTCTGTGCCCATCAGCAGGTGCCCGTGGGTCTGTGTAACTGCCTCTCTCCCTCAGAGGACAAGCCGCAAGCCCAGCAACATCTGTGCTCCTCTGTTTGTCTGCTCCATGCCCTGGGCATGAACACACTGCCCAGCTGCCATTCCTACGTGGTGCAATGTAGGAGCAGACACGTGAGGTCTGGGTGGGCAAGAGGGAGCAGCTCCCAGGTTCCAGTAGTGGCTGTCCCCCTCCATTGTCTTTATTTTTTTGAGACAGGGTCTCCATCCATGATGGAGTCCTGGGCTCAAGCAATCCTCTCACCTGAGCCTCCCAAGTAGCTGGGACTACAGCTGAATGCCACCACGCTCAGCTAATTGTTTTTTTTAAGAGATAGGGTCTCACTGTGTTAGCCCAGGCTGGTCTCAAACTTCCGGCCCCAAGCCATCCTCCTGCCTAAGCCTTTGACGATGCCACATGTCTCTTGACCTCAAGGCAGCTCAAATATCCCAGAATTGGAACATGCAAAGCTCTGAAAGTCTTAGAAATGACACGAATCCTTTCTAATTGTTCAAATGGGAAAACTGAGGCCCAGAGGAGAGGGGTTTGCCCAGGTCACACAGTGTGGTTTATCGACAAAGCCAAAATGAGAAGTAAACCCTCCCCTTCAAAGTCCCCCTGCTCATGGCATGGGGGTTAAACGTTGGGGTTTGCCATCGCACAGACCTGGGCTCAAGGCTCAGTTCTGCTCCTTGTTAGCTGGGTGGCCTTGTCCAAGTGTCCTAACCTGAGATCATAAGATGTACCCGCTCCAGAGTGTCACTGTGAGGATTAAATGAAATAATGTTCGTAAGCACCTACATGTTTATACGTATAACTAGCAGCTGTCATGCTCTCACAAGAGACTTCTGTACTGAGGTTTGTCAGTTGCAGGGTGAAAATGACCAGCATGGTCACCTCTCCTGGCAATGAAATGGGCCATTTTACAATGGAGGTGGACACAGAAACCAGCTGGTTTGCAGCTGTGAAAGGATAGGGCCTGGTTCTAGAAGCCCCTCCTCAGTACATGGGCCCTGCTGGCCGGTGTCCCGTCCCTCTTCCTGGTCCTGTCGGTGACCGTGACCGCCATGCGGTGAGGGACCACTGTCCTGGCAGAGCCCAGGTCTCCTTGCTGAAGGACTCTGCGTGGGGCAGAAAAGAGGAAACAGAAGAATGGGATGCGGGACTGGGAGGGAGCTCGTAATTCATGGTGGCCTTCTGCGTTCCTGGATGCTGTTCCAGAAGTGGGTGACATGATGGAGGACGAGACAGAGGTCTTGACTTTGTGAGACTCCCCTTAGATACTGAATTCCTCATTTTAAAAATGAAGCTGCGGCCCAAGAAGGGAGGCTATGTCCCTTCAGGGATCCACAGCTGCACAGTCAAGCTGCTAAACTCGGCCTTGAAATGCCACATTCCAACAAGTTCTGCAGGGGGTCGGTTTGCATTAGGTGATGGGCAGAAGAAGCGGTTTCATTTAACTTTCGTAGGACCTTTTAGAGAGGTCCTTTTAGAAAGACCTTTTAGAGAGGTTTGGCAGCTGGAGAGAAAATAATTGCCCCTACATGTGACGAGAGGCATTCTGTTCAATCATTTCGTCACAGGCTCACTCACCACTGACGGATGTTAACGCCAAACATTCTGCAGACAGGTTAAGAAAAATGAAAGCCATTTTACACTGTTATATGAAAGAAGCAAAAGACTGAACAATGTTGTAGTATACTCTTACTCCTGGAAAACCAGTAAGGACACAGCTGTATAGGAGCAGAATTTCTACAACACACAAAACCCCTAACAGTTGTTGCCTCTGGGAGACCAAGGTCTTGGGGAGGAGAGGGATTTACTTTTCATTCTAAATTTTTGTTAACTGTTAGTAAGTTTTTCCATGAATTATTTTTCCAGTTAAAACATTCTAAAGGATGGGGCAACTTAGGAACAAAAACAATAAACTAAACAATTCCTTCTTTGCTGTGGGTCCTGACTAGCTGTCAGTTGTTAGATAATTTTCCTTCTCAAAAGTCCCCGTGTTTTCTATCCTATAAAAGGGAGGCACAGATGGTAACAGTAAGAGACAGTTCTGGAATTCCTGGTTGCTGACGTGCATTTTGGCCTCCGGGCCAAAGTGGCAGCTCCTCACAGCTGTAGGAGTCTCAGTCACTCGAGTTTAACCATAAAGGCTAGGCTCCCAATTGTTTTCACAATTTCACTTCTGCCCAGGTGATAGGATGAAGCCACCCATCAAAGCACAACACTCTTAGACACAGTAATAGGAAAACAGTGGTTTCACTTCCAAACAGGCACAGTAAGTCCTCCTTCTGAAGATGTGATTTAGAAATGTCTATCTAAAGGCCATTAAAAGGGGGCCCATCCATCGCAGCTCTAAGAATGTATTGCAGGGAGATACTAGCAAGAGGCTCAAGACCAGTTTAAAAAATTAAGGAATGCTGTTATTATAGGATACTAGAGAAAAATTGGATCTATATTCACTGATATGCAAAGAGTGAGTTAAGTGAAAAAATGGATATAAAATAATAGTAAGTACTTACATGGTACTTGCTATGTGCCAGGGCCGCCTCTGAGCTCTTCATATATGGTAATCCATTTCATTTTTATTACAATTTTATGAGGTAGGTACTTTTATTGTCCCCATTTTGCAGAGGAGGAAACTGAAGCCAAGGGCACTAAAGTGACTCGCCAGGGTCACGTAACTGGTGAGTGGTGGAGCGGAGCCCAGAGTCCAGGCATGTAGCTCAGTTCTGTGTTCTTAACCACTGCTTCCCAACATGTACCCCACAGCCCCATCCATGAGAAATTGAAAGGCGGCTCACCTGGCTGTTAACATTGCTTCCAGATTGTAGGACTGCAGATTCAGTTTTAATTTTCTACATGAATGACGCTGATTAAGTAAATCTGTTCTTATTTTGGTTTTTAGGAAAAGTGTACATTCTGTTTGATTCAAAAACTCTGATCTCTCAGAATTTTTCCTCAGGAAATTATTAAACAGATGTCAGCAAAGATGGATCAGTAAAGATGCTTATCACAGGAAAACTCTAGCAACGAAACGCTGGTGTCAAACAAGATGTTCAACAAGGGATTGATTAAATATGGTATCTACATATGGGAAAAGAATAAATATTGACATGGTGAGATGTTTATGCTCTATTGATGAGTGAAACAGACAGTAAGCTACAGTTGAAAAATAAAGCCATGTCTATCCGGAGGAAAAGCATGGAAGGAAACAGAAGAAAGAGGACCTGCAGCCATCTCGGGGTGTTGAGGCTGTACCTTTTCACTTGTGATATTTCTGAATCTTCCAAGTTGTCTGCCTTGAGTGCATATTACTCCTCCAATAGCAAAAAGATGTTATTCTTATAAAATGACTGTCACTATCACCCTATTCAAGTATAAAATCTTAGAATCCCTGAGGGTTATGGTGTCCTTGTCATTGTGATTCTCAGGAAAGACTATGCAAGGTTCTACTAGAAAAAAAAACCACATTAAATTAATTTCTACCTAAAAAAGACAGCCTCTGCCAGAGGGAAACAGTCAGGATACAAAGAGCCCTTAGGTGCCATCCAAGGCGTGTTCCTTCCCTGTCCCTCCTGCCACAGTCCAGATGACCAGGCAACTCCGCTCCAGTCCGACGCACTGACAGGTACAAAACATTGATCAAATAAGGATGCGCAATTCAAACATTTACTTTTCAAACATCTTTGGAAAGTTTATCATACACAAACAAGCACAGGAGAGAGAAGAGGGTTCAAGTTCAAGCCAACTCATTTGCCCAGCGGCTCCAGGGAACACAAGCATCATACAGTGAGTCGACCACAGAGGCCCCAGGGGTGGTTCCCCTCAACAACTGAGGAGCGAGGCTGGCGGGATTCTGTGGAGTGGCTGTGAAAAATACTGCGGAGCTCTTCCAGGGGCGCTGTCTAGAGGCACCGGGAACGGCCCTGTGTTTGACACAGGGTCGTAGGCTTTCCCACAATGCAGCCGCTAACAAAACAAGGCTGTCCCAAGCCCCTGGTAACAGAATCATCCATCCCTACACCAACAAGGCTGGGAGGGCACCAGAATCTACACATGGTGTGCGCCCAGGCGGACATCGACGGATTCCTGCTGGGAGACCCAAAGTTCTTACGAGTTCCTCCGAAGCAAAAACCTGCCAGCAAGGCCTATGGAGGGTCCATGGGTGCCAGAGGTGTTCATGACAGCAGCCAGCATGTTTTCCCTATTGGGGAGCAGAAAATCTTTGTAAAAGTATTGAAGGCACAGACCAGACGCAGTGGCTCATGCCTGTAATCCCAGCACTTTGGGAGGCCAAGGCAGGTAGATCACTTGAGGTCAGGAGTTCAAGACCAGCCTGGCCAACATGGCGAAACCCTGTCTCTATTAAAAATACAATAATTAGCCAGGTGTGGTGGCAGGTGCCTGTAGTCTCAGACTTGAACCCAGGAAGCGGAGTTTGCAGTGAGCCGAGATCACACCACTGCACTCCAGCCTGGGCAACAGAGTGAGACTCTGTCTCAAAAAAAAAAAAAAAAGTATTGAAGGCACAAGCACAGAGAGAAAGTTAAATTGAAAAAGTGAAGCTATTTGGGGTAATAAAAATTAAAAGACTTTAAAAATACTGTGGAATAAGTACCACAGTCACGTGAAAAAGGTTAAGTGAAGTGCCAACTGAACACAGGAGTGGCCTCCACTGGGAAAATAATCCAAGAAAAACCTCAATGTGTCCAGCATCGTCCACAAGTGACGCGTTCAGTATATTTTCATGAACCCTCCAAGGCTATACTCGAGTGAGGCAAATCTTAACAAGAACTGCAAAATAACATGCCAGCAATGCTGCTTTAGAATCTTAATGGACAGTTGTGATTTAAAACACAAAATTCTAAAACAGTTGCCCATAGAAAATTACTCTCAGATCTGACAGTCTGGAGCAGAGAAGTCAGGCAATGTTAGCTAATCACACACAGCAGCAAGTCCCCCAGCTCCTGAGGACACGGGAGTCAGGGCTATCATGGGGAGGGAGCTCAAAGGGTGTCTGGTGCAACCACAGACTTCTGGGCCTAGAAAAATCATGCAAAGTTCGGGCACGGTGGGTCACGCCTGTAATCCCAGCATTTTGGGAGGCCAAAGAGGGTGGATCACTTGAGCCCAGGAGTTCAAGACCAGCTTGGACAACATGGTGAAACCCTGTCTCTACAAAAAATGCAAAAATTAGCTGGGCATGGTGGCGCATGCTTGTAGTCAGTCCCAGCTACTCGGGAGGCTGAGGTGGGAGGATCACTTGAATCCCAGAGGTTAAGGCTGCAGTGATCCATTATTGCATCACCACACTTCAGCCTGGGCAACAATAGAGTGAGAATCTGTCTAAAAAATAACATAAAATAAAATAGGTGGGGGCGCGGTGGCTCATGCCTGTAATCCTAGCACTTTGGGAGGCCCAGGCAGGAGATCACCTGAGGTCAGGAGTTCAACACCAGTCAGACCAACATGGTGAAACCTTGTCTCTACTGAAAATAAAAAATTAGCTGGGCGTGGTGGCACGTGCCTGTAATCCCAACTACTTGGGAGGCTGAGGTGGGAGAATACTTGAACCTGGGACGTGGAGGTTGCAGTGAGCAGAGATCACGCCATTGAACTCCAGCCTGGGCAACAAGAGCAAAACTCCATCTCAAAAAAATAATAATAAAAACAATAACAAATAAAAATTTAAAAATAACAATAAAATAAAAATCATGTGACAAGTGTGTATCAGGCACCTGTTGGGGTCCAGGCACTGTGCTGGGTGTTGGGAACACAAAAAGGCAGAGAGCACAGTCATGTACCCTGGGAGCTCACAGTCTGCTGGGGAGATGGGCAGGTGGACTCTTGATGGCATCACAGAGATGCTGTCACTGAGGGCATTCCAGGAACTAAGCAAACTTGGGAGGAAACGTCCGTCTCTGGGAAGTCTAAGGAGCCCTGGGAGAATGCGCCGCATCTGGAATGGGAAGGGGAATGCACTAAGGGGGAAAAGATTACAATTTTTTTAAGTGGGAGCAGGGAGGAGGCCGCAGCATGGGACCCTCATGGATAGGACAAGACCAGGCTGGAGAGGCGGACATGATGCTGAGTGCAAAGGTCCCTGTAAGCTGGGCTTAGGAATGTGGCTTTAGCCCAAGGACCACTGCTTCCCAAAGCTGTGTGTGCGCGCACACACACACACACACACACACACACACACATACACCCACACACAAATGCATCCACAGACCAAGTATGAGGAAAAACACTGCATGAACAGTTAGAACCCTACCATGTTGGATGTGCCCTTGGCCCCAAAGCAAACCAAACAGCAATGCACACGCTGAAATTGCACAACAGCGTCAGTATCAAGTAGTGATCTAGATCATCCAGGGTAAGCTTTGTCTTTTTTTTTTTTTTTTTTTTTTTGAGATGGAATCTTGTTCTGTTGCCCAGACTGGAATGCAGTAGTGCGATCTTGGCTCACTGCAACCTATGCCTCCCAGGTTCAAACAATTCTTGTGCCTCAGCCTCCCAAGTAGCTGGGATTACAGGCATGTGCCACCATGACCGACTAATTTTTGTAATTTTGGTAGAGACAGGTTTTCACCATGTTGGCCAGGTTGGTCTCAAACTCCTGACCTCAAGTGATCCACCCACCACCTCAGCCTTTCAAAGTGCTGGGATTACAGGCGTGAGCCACCATGCCTGGCCAATCCAGGATAAGCTTTTATTAAAAATGTCTCGAAGGTGATCATTAAAACCAAAGCATGAAATTAAGAGATCCTTATAGAACTCACACTCACCTTGATACATTTCATAGACCCCCAGGGGTCTGTGTCTCTAATTTGAAAAACATTTCCATAGGCGATGGAAGGCTTAAGTGTTGGGGGCCGGGAAGTCATAGGGGCAACTGGATTAGATGTCCAACATTTCCGGGACACCGAGTCAGTTGTATAAAAAACGATGCTTGTAGCAGTCTGAAAGGGCCTGGAGTGTGGTTCCTGGACATCTTCCATGTTCAAGGCCAGCAGCTCCCTGCTGCAGAGACTGAACAGAGAGTGGGACCCCGCCCTCCTGGAACTTGGATCCTGGTTGGAGACCTAAGACATGAGCCTCACCAAAGAAGAGGCTGAATACATCATTTTAAAAGCCCATGAGAAAGAGGCGGGATTCTATTGAGGGCAGATGATAGATGAGTTGCCTAGACTGCTCCCAGTGAGAAAGAAAGGTTTCAAGGAGAGGGAAGATGTATTAGTCCGTTTTCACGCTGCTGATAAAGACATACCTAAGACTGGGCAATTTACAAAAGAAAGAGGTTTAATGGACTTACAGTTCCACATGGCTGGGGAAGTCTCACAATCATGGCGGAAGGCAAGGAGGAGCAAGTCACACCTTACATGGATGGCGGCAGGCAAAGAGAGGAGAGCTTGTGCAGGGAAACTCCCTTTTATAAATCTATCAGATCTCATGAGACTTATTCACTATCACAAGAATAGCATAGGAAAGACCTGCCTCCATCATTAAATTACCTCCCACCAAGTCCCTCCCACAACACGTGGGAATTCAAGTCAAACCATATCAGAAGACTTCAAGACTTTAAAGATTGGAGGATGGAGGTGAGAGGAGCAACAGAGGATGGGTGGAAACAAAGGAATGAGTCCTGCTCCAAAAGGCACCCAGTTGCCAGTGGTGGGAGCAGAGGCACCACTAGGGCTGGCACGGGCATCCCCAGCTCACAGACCCAAGGCCTGAGCAGGACTGTGGCCTGGCCTGACCTCCTCCACCATCGGGGACCAAGAGATGACAGTCTGGATCCTGCAAGGCCAGTTCTGCAGATTTTAGTAGATTTTCCAAATTTAGGTCATTCCTACATAGCATTCACCATTTTCGCCAGATCCTTGCATCTCTTGTACTATTATTTATGTCCTATTTTTCTTTAAGTTGACTCACTTTTGAAATGTAAATAAGTCTATTTTAAAAGGAAACTTGGCATGACCATGGATGGAAAACCGGTGTCACTTGTCATAAAAGAAAAGTAATTGGGGGCCGGGCACAGTGGCTCATGCCTGTAATCCCAGCACTTTGGGAGGCTGAGATGGGTGGTTCACCTGATGTCAGGAGTTCGAGACCAGCCTGGCCAGCATAGTGAAACCCCTTCTCTACTAAAAATACAAAAAATTAGCTGGGTGTGGTGGCGAGCACCTGTAATCCCAGCCACTAAGGAGTTTGAGGCAGGAGAATCACTTGAACCTGGGAAGCAGAGGGTGCAGTGAGCCAAGATGGCACCATTGCACTCCAGCCTGGGCAACAGGAGTGAAACTCTGTCGCAAAAAAAAAGGAAAAGAAAAAAAGAAAAGTAATTGGAAAACTAAATACAGAACACAAACCGAACGGCAAAACAATAGGCTTATACTCCTTAAAAATAAGGAAGGCCATGCATGGTGGCTCATGCCTATAATCCCAGCACTATGGGAGGACAAGGCAGGAGGATCACTTGAGGCCAGGAGTTTAAGACCAGCCTGGACAACATAGTGAGATCCCATCTCTACAAAAAATACAAAAATGGGCCAGGCATGGCGGCATTCACCTGTAGTCCTAGCTACTTAAGAGGCTGAGGCAAGAGCATGGCCTGTGCCCAGGCGATCAAGGCTGCAGTGAGCTATCATTGCACTACTGTACTCCAGCCTGGGCAACAGAGTGAGACTCCATCTCTAAAAAAAAAAAAGATAATAATTTTAAAAAAAGTAAAAGAACCCAAAGAGACATAATAATTGAATATATTATGCAACCCTGAACTGGATCCTGGAGTAGGGAAAAGGTTGCTTTTAAAGGATGCTACTGGGAGAATTGGTGAAATACACATACATAGATAATAGCACCATATCGACATTAAATCTCCTAATTTTGATCATCACACTATGGTTAATAGAATAATACCCTTTTTCTTAAGTAAATGCCTCTGAAGTATCTAGGCATGAAGGACACTTACTGCAACTTACTCTCAAGTGGCTGAAAAAGCAAAAGAGAATTCAGATATTTTACATACATATATCTAATATATATGTCTATTTTATATATATGTAAAATAGTGACAGAGACATAAGGCAAATGAGGTAAAATGTCAATAATAGGTGAATGTGTGTGAAAATTATATGGGAATTTATTGTAGTGTTAGCATTTTTCTGTATGCTGAAATTTTCCAAAATAAGAGCTATTACAGCTGGGTGCGGTGGCTCACGCCTGTAATCCCAGCACTTTGGGAGGCCAAGGCCAGTGGATCACCTGAGATCAGGAGTTTGAGACCAGCCTGACCAACATGGTGAAACCCTATCTCTACTAAAAATACAAAATTAGCCGGGTGTGGTGGTGGGCACCTGTAATCCCAGCTAATCGGGAGGCTGAGGCAGGAGAATTGCTTGAACCTGGGAGATGGAGATTGCAGTGAGCTAAGATCGTGCCATTACACTCCAGCTTGGGTGACAGAGTGAAAGTTCGTCTCAAAAAAAAAAAAAAAAAAAAAGAGCTATTACAAAAGGCATATGTCCACACCTATGAATGGGGCTGCAACCACAGCAAGCACAGGGGAGGTGCTTAGCAAATATTCGCTGTTGAGTGAGGCTGGTACAAAAGTAATTGTGGTTTTTGCCATTACTTTCAATGGCAAAAACCGCAATTAGTTCTGCACCAAGCTAATAATAAAAATGTGTGTCTGTGTGCCCTCTAAAATTATCTCACATAACCACCAGTGGTTCACACTCCACACCTGGGGAACCCACTGTGTCAAGGGACAGGGGCATGAGCCAGGAGAAACTACTTGCAGAGACAAGCCACAAGGGAGGGTGAAAAGCATCATTCAGGGCCGTTCCAGGACAAAGAGTGTTCCTGTGCCCACTTCTTCCACCAAAGAAGAAGACAGGACAAGCAGACCCCAGGAGCTCCCGCCCCTGGAGATGGAAAGCACTACAAGAAAGCGGAGTGTGGCAAAGGCGCGACGGTGAGCGTAGCAGGGGTATGGAAAAGGAGTGTTTCTGTTTTCTTCTTACACACACCAACATTCCAATCCAAGGTAGTGGCTGAAGATAGTGTGAAGCTCAGCAAGTTCAACTCCAACTAAAAGTAATTGCTAGCTGGGTGTAGGGGCTCACGCCTCTAATCCCAGCAATTCAAGAGGCTGAGGTGGGCAGAACGCTTGAGGCCAGGAGTTTGAGGCCAGCCTGGGCAACATAGTGAGACCCTCATCTCTGCAAAAAATTAAAAATTAGTCAGGCATGGTGGTGCATGCCTATAGTCCCAACTACTCAGGAAGCTGAGGTGGGAGGATTGCTTGAGCCTAGGAGTTCAAGGCTGCAGTGAGCTATGATCATGCTACTGCACTCCAGCCTGGGTGACAGGGTAAGACCTTGTCTCTAAAAAAGAAATAAACAAAAAAAAGCAATTGCTACTTTGGTGGGGAAGAGCATAAACAAGCTGTCATTATAAAATGAAGTGAGGGGAGGCTGAGGCAGGAGAATGGCGTGAACCCGGGAGGCGGAGCTTGCAGTGAGCCGAGATTGCGCCACTGCACTCCAGCCCGGGTGACAGAGCCAGACTCCATCTCAAAAAAAAAAAAAGAAGTGAGGTGACAGCACCCAAGCAGGAAGACCTGACAAGGTCAACGCTGGCTCCTGCCTCTTCCCACTCTAAAGGGGAATCTTTTGAAAGGAGAAATCCAGGTGCCTGCTGTCAATTCTTGACCTGTCACCAATGAAAACTCATTAATCTAGAAATAGGCCAGGTGTGGCTTACTTCTGAGTTCAATGTGAGACTCACCATTATTTTACATCACAATAGCAAACAAAACTGCCAACTCTGTGAGATGCTGATATGGTTTGGATGTGCATCCCCTCCAAATCTCATGGGCTTTCCTCTCTTTGAGTGTACGTGATGTCAATTAGTATGATGAGATACACTTTCAGTTTGTCAAAAGAGAGATGATTCAATTGAAAAATGGATCAAGGACTTAAATGTAAGATCCAACACTATAAAACTACTAGAAGAAAACATAAAGGAAAAACTCCACGATACTTGGGCAATGATTTTTTTTATATGATCCCAAAAGCACAGGCAACAAAAGTGAAGGAACAAATGAGATTACATCAAACTAAAAAGCTTCTATACAGCAAAGGAACCAATCAACAGAGTGAAGACACAACCCACAGAATGGGAGAAAATACCTGCAAACCACACACTTGATAAGGAGTTAGCATTCAAAGACATGAGGAACTCAATAAGCTCAACAGCAAGGAAACAACCTAACTCAATTTTAAAAATGGGCAAAGGAGGCTGGGCACAGTGGCTCATGCCTGCAATCCCAGCACTTTGAGAGGCTAAGGTGGGAGGATCACTTGAGGCCAGGAGTTCAAGACCAGCCGGGGCAACATAGTGAGATTCCATTTCTACTTAAAAAATGGGCAAAGGACCTGAACACATATCATTTATCAAAAGAAGACATGCAAATGGCCAACAGGTATATGAAAGAATGTTCAACATCACTAATCACCAGAGAAATGCAAATCAAAACCACAATGAGATATCATCTCATTCCAGTTAGAATGGCTAATATCAAAAAGACAAAAAAATAACAAATACTGGAGGGATGTAGAGAAAAGGGAACTCATACACTGCTGGTGGGAATGTAAATTAGTACAGGCATTGTGGAAAACAGTATGGAGGTTTCTCAAAAAACTAAAAGTGGAACTACCATAGATCCAGCAATCCTACTGCTGGACATTTATCCAAAAGAAAGGAAATCATTATATCAAAGGGATACCTGTGTGGTATATATACACAATGGAATACTATTCTGCCATCAAAAAGAATGAAATCCTGTCATTCATAGCAACATGGATGAGCCTGGAGGACATTATGTTAAATGAAATAAGCCAGACACAGAAAGATAAATGGCACATCTTCTCACTCATATGTGGAATCTAAAAAAGTTGATCTCATAGAAGTAAAGAGTAGAATAATAGGAGAATCTTAGCATAGAAGCAGAGAATAGAATATCACTTACCAGGGCTGGGCACAGTGGCTCATGTCTGTAATCCCAGCACTTTGAGAGGCCAAGGTAGGTGGATCACCTAGGTCAGGAGTTCAAGACCAACCTGACCAACACGGTGAAACCCCATCTCTTCTAAAACTACAAAAAAATTAGCTGGGCATGGTGGCACATGCCTGTAATCCCAGCTACTTGGGAGGCTGAGGCAGAATTGCTTGAACCTGGGAGGCAGAGGTTGCAATGAGCCAAGATTGCGCCACTGCACTCCAGCCTGGGCAAAAAGAGTGAAACTCCGTCTCAAAAAAAAAAAAACACACACAAAAGAAGGATATCACTTACCAGGGGCTTGAATGAGGGGTGGATATTGATCAACGACACAAAATTTCAGTTAGGAGCAATATATTTCAGAGATGTATTATATAACACAGTTACTATAGTTAATAATGTATTGTATTCTTGAGAATCATTAAGAGAGTAGATTTTAAGTGTTCTCACCACAAGAAATAAGTATGTGAGATAACACGTTAATTAGGTCAATTTAGCCATTCTGCAATGTATACATATTTTAAAACATCATGTTGTACATTATAAATATGTATAATTTTAAAAATAGGGCCAGGTGTGGTGGCTTACACCAGTAATCCCAGCAGTTTGGGAGGTTGAGGCAGGCAGATAGCTTGAGCTAGGGAGTTCAAGACCAGCTTGGGCGACATGGAGAAACCCTGTCTCTACAAAAAAATACAAAAAATTAGGTGAGCGTGGCAGCACACACCCGTGGTCCCAGCTACTAAGGAGGCTGAGGTGGGAGGATTGCTTGAGCCTGAGAGGTCGAGGGTACAGTAAGCCAAGATCATGCCACTGCACTCCAGCTTGGGCAACAGAGCAAGACTGTCTCAAAAAATAATAATAAAGTTATATGTATATATAATGTATAAATATATATGTGTGTGTATATATGTGTATATATATGTGTGTATCTACACACACACACATACACACGTATAAAAATGCTGCATGGGTGAGTGTGACATAGGCAAGCTCTTTAACAGGTGAAGCATCAGAGACTCCTGCTAACCTGGGAGAAAGCAAACAGCCACAGGGAGAGAACAGGGCCACGTGGAAGGGACCTGAGGACGACCTCTAGGAGTTGAGTGGGGTTTCCTGCTGACAGCTAGCAGGAAAATAGGAACCTCAGTTATCTGGCTACAGGAAATTAATTCTGTTGACAACCAGGGAGTATCACAGGCCCTGCCGATATATTGATTTTCAGTCTGGTGAGACTGAGGACTCAGCTAATCTGTACCCAGACTCCTGACCCATGGACACCTTGAGATAATAAATTTGGGTTGCTTTAGGCTGCTAAGCTTGTGGTCATCTGCTACACAGCAATAGGAAACTAAAACATCCGCATATCAAAGGACTCTGAATGATCTGGACAGAGGTTCTGGCCAGGTTCTTGTCAAGGCTTACGCAGCAGCTCAAGCCTGCTTTGTGATGAAAGAGATTTGAAACAAATCTGCTAAAGCAGAAAATGAAAATGTAAGTAGTAGGCTAAAGAAATCCAGTAAATTCTTTCTTATCCAAATCAGTGTCTATAATGACACTCCAAATTTTCTAGGCTAGAAAGCATCTCATTGGACTTACTTTCCAAATGTTAGCCTCGTCTTCTAATGTATAGCTTGAAGACAAGCATGAGTGTTTAGCCAAGTTACAAAATACTTTTATTTGTAAAATTCACACCATGAGTTTTCATTTTATTCCCATCTAATAGCAGAAACCCAATTGTGTTATTTCTTATTGAGTAACAGGAATGATGAAATTGGCTCTAAACCTTGTTGCTCTATAACTGAAAAACAAAACCAACTTACATCAAAATAAAACTCCCTTTTGCTTAAACAGCAAGATTACAAATGACCTAAAATGTCTATCAATAAAGACTTAATTGGCTTCCTTGGTAAATCAAGTAATACAAAGCAAAAATATATATAAAGAAATTAATAAATGTAAAAAAAAATTAAAAGACCAAATGAGGTAAATTACGCACATCTAATACTGGGGAGTAATTTGCAATCATTAAAAAGAGGCAATAGTATATCTGATATACAATCATTTCCAAGATATAATGGAAAAAACAAAGGGGTAGAATAGCATTTATAATATGTTACCATTTATGTATGAGTTCACATACACCTGCCTGTGGATAAATATCTCTAGAAGGAGACACAAACTGTTAAGCTACGAAAGAGAAGTGGAAGAACTACTTTTTGCTGTTTACCTTTTGTTTCTTTTGAATTTTGTATCATGTGTATGTATCATTTATTTTTTAAAATACTAATTTTCAAAAAACAAGGAAACAAGCCAACATCACAGAAATCTGTGCTTTTTTTTTTTTTTTTTTTTTTTGAGACGGAGTCTCGCTCTGTCGCCCAGGCTGGAGTGCAGTGGCGGGATCTCGGCTCACTGCAAGCTCCGCCTCCCGGGTTCACGCCATTCTCCTGCCTCAGCCTCCCAAGTAGCTGGGACTACAGGCGCCCGCCACTACGCCCGGCTAATTTTTTGTATTTTTAGTAGAGACGAGGTTTCACCGTTTTAGCCGGGATGGTCTCGATCTCCTGACCTCGTGATCCGCCCGCCTCGGCCTCCCAAAGTGCTGGGATTACAGGCGTGAGCCACCGCGCCCGGCCAAATCTGTGCTTTTAAAAATATACAAACTAGCCAGGCGTGGTGGCTCACACCTGTAATCCCAGCATTTTGGAAGGCCGAGGTGCGCAGATCACCTGAGGTCAGGAGTTCGAGACCAGCCTGACTAACATGGTGAAACCCTATCTCTACTAAAAATACAAAAATTAGCCAGGCATAGTGGCAGGCGCCTGTAATCCCAGCTACTCAGGAGGCTGAGGCAGGAGAATCGCTTGAACCCAGGAGGCAGATATTGCAGTGAGCCGAGATCATGCCATTGCACTCCAGCCTGGGTGACACAGCGAGACTCCATCTCAAAAAATAAATAAAATAAAATAATATATATATACACACACACATATATGTACACACACACACACATACACACACACAGAAACTGTCTTCAAATCCTTAACTCAAGTTACTGTGCTGATCTTGTTCTACTAAATTATTTAGATGACTATTAAAAAAAAAAAAGTCTTTCAGCCGAGTGCAGTGGCTCATCCCAGCACTTTGGGAGGCCTCCTTTGGGAGGAGGATCACCTGAGGTCAGGAGTTCAAAACCAGCCTGGCCAACATGGTGAAACCCCGTCTCTACTAAAAAGACAAAAATTAGTTGGGCATGGTAGAGTCCACCTGTAATCCTAGTTACTTGGGAGGCTGAGGCAGGAGAATTGCTTGAACCTGGGAGGCAGAGGTTGCAGTGAGCCAAGATCCCGCCACTGCACTCCAGCCTGCCTGGGTGACAGAGTGAGACTCGTCTCAAAAAATAAATAAATAAATAAAGTCTTTCGCCCTGTAGATGTTACTGATTCATCCAACTCTGAAAGCCCCTAGAAAGTTTCTGAATATTTATGTGCAAGGGAGGGCTCAAGAGTCCCTGAGGAAGTCTCTGTAAGACAGGAGAAGGGCTCAGTGACTAACACCCAGGAAACACCAGCGCCTGAAGACAGGACCTCAGGACAGGACTCAAGGACTTCACCAGAATGAGTTTCTCACCATCCTGTCCCTCTATCACCTGGTTTGTGACCCCTGACTAGGGACTCCTTCCCGCCGCGTCGCCCATTTTGTAGAATGATAAGACATGAAATGAAACATCAACAGAGCAAGCCGAAGTGCTCTCAGGCCAATGGAAAGACTTCACACGTGAAGGAAAGACCTCAGTTCACATAATCTCAGGAGATTCCTTGAGCCAAAGGAAAGGACGTTTCTTTTGAAAGTTGTAGAAAGGCACCCATCCCAAGCTCCTCATCCTTATCTTTAAAATTCTATGATATATATATATATTAATATATATAAATATATTTTTTTATTTTTATTACTTTATACATTTTTTTGAGACAGAGTCTCGCTCTGTCACCCAGGCTGGAGTACAGAGGTGTGATCTCAGCTCACTGCAACCTCCACCTCCCAGGTTCAAGCGATTCTCCTGCCTCAGCCTCCCAAGTAGCTTGGAATACAGGCATGTGCCACCATGCCCGAGTAATTTTTTTTTGTATTTTTAGTATAGACAGGGTTTCACCATGTTGGTCAGGCTGGTCTTGAACTCCTGACCTCAAATGACCTGCCCACCTCGGCCTCCCAAAGTGCTGGGATTACAGGGGTGAGCCACTGTGCTTGGCCTAAATGTACATATTTGTAGAGACAGGATCTTGCTCTGTCACCTAGGCTGGAGTTCAGTGACATAATCATGCTTCCTACAGCCTCAAATTCCTGGGCTCAAGCAATCCTCGTGCCTCAGCTTCCCAAGTAGCTGGAACTGTAGGCATGTGCCACTATGCTTGACTGTTTTTTTTTTCATTTATTGTAGAAGTGGAGTCTCACCATGTTGCCCAGGCTGGCCTCAAGTGATCCTCCTGTCTCAGCCTCTAAACATTTGGGGAATACTGGTGTGAGCCACCATGCCTGGCCTCTATAATATATTCTTACCAATCCTCCATAATCCCCAAATTAGAAGACAGATGAATCTATTTGCTTATTACTGACTGCTATGGGTTGAATTGTGTCCCCCAAAAAGATATGTTGAAGTCCTAATCCCTATTACGTCAAAATGTGACCTTATTTGGAAATAGGGACACTACAGATGTAACTAGTTAAGATGAGGATATACTGGAGTAGGATGGGGCCTCTAATCCAACCAAGAATGTCCTTAAAAGCAGAGGGAAATGTGGACAAGAACACATGCACAGAAGAATGATGCCATGAGGTCACACAAGGAGGACGGCCATGTGATATGGAGGCAGAGATGGGAGCGGCACATCTACAAGCCCAGGAATACCAAGGACTGCTGGCAACACCCGGAACTGGAAAAGCCACAGATGGATTCTCTGCCATGGGTTTCAGATGGAGCATGGCCTGGCCTACGCCTTGACCTTGGACTGCCCAGCCTCCAGAACTGTGAGGCGATACATTTCTGTTGTTTTAAGCCACCCAATTTGTAGTACTCAATTACAGCAGCCCTAGGAAACCAACACACTGACAAAGGCATCTTTGTAAGTCTTCCCCAGGCCATTTCCTAAACAGAAAAACAATGAAAATGAAAAAGGTGTTCAGCATCATTAATCATCAGAGAAAAGCAAATGACAACCATGACAAATGTCTCATCCCCACTCAAAGGCTAAAATCAAACACTGACAACACAGAAGTGGGTGAGGATATGGATCCACAGATATTGCCAGTGGCAGCGAAAATGGTAGAACCAGTTGGGTGACTCTCATTACACTAAGCATCCATCTCTCCTACGACTCAGCAATTCCACTCCTAGGTATTAACCAAGCAAAATGACAATGTATGTCCACAAAAGGACATGTACAAGAGTGTTCATAATTATATTAGTCAAAAAGTGTAAACAACCCCAAAGTCCACCATCAGGAGAAAAGATAAACATACAATAACCTCCTGCTCAACAACAAAAAGGAATGGTCTACAGGCTCATGTGACAAGATGGGTGAACCTCAAAAGCATTCTATTAAACAAGGGAAGCTAGTCTCAACAAAATGTATAATGCATGATTCCACTTACATAAAATATAAGAACAGAAAACCTAGGTCATGGGAGTCAGAAAACGTTTGGAGGGGATGGTGCGTGCCTGGAAAGGGACACAATAAGACATTATGAAGTGATGGAAACATCTATAACTTGTTTCGGGTGCAAGTTATATGGGTATAATTTTCAAACCTCACTAAACTGAATGTTTAAGATCACACACCTCTGGCTGAGTGCCATAGCTCACGCCTGTAATCCCAGCACTTTGGGAGGCTGAGGCAGGCAGATCACCTGAGGTCAGGAGTTCGAGACCAGCCTGGTCAATGCGGTGAAACCCTGTCTCTATTAAAAAGACAAAAATTAGGCAGGCGTGGTGGTGGGCGCCTGTAATCCCAGCTACCTGGGAGGCTGAGGCAGGAGAATCGCTTGAACCTGGGAGGCAGAGGTTGCAGTGAGCTGAGATCACACCACTGCACTCCAGCCTGGGCGACAAGGGCAAGATTTTGTCCCAAAAAAGAAAAAAAAAGGAAGAAGAAAAAAATAAGAAGAAGAAGATGAAGAAGAAGAAAGATGAAAGAAGAAGAAGTAGTAGTAGCAGTTAGCACACCTCAATTAAAAGGGAGGGCAGAAATTAGCCAGGTTGGTGGCGAAAACCTGTTGTCCCAGCTACTCGGGAGGCTGAGGCACGAGAATCACCTGAACCGGGGAGACAGGAGTTGCAGTGAGCCGAGATCACCCCACTGCACTCCAGCCTGGGTGACAGGGTGAAACACTGCCTTAAAAAAAAAAAGGCAGGGGGAGGGTAGGTCAAAGATAACAATTGAGTCAGGTAAAAACCGATAGACACAACTAGGTAAAAGCTGGTAGGGGGCTAGGAGCGGTGGCTCACTCCTATAATCCCAGCACTTTGGGAGGCTGAGGTTGGCGGAAAGCTTGAGTCCAGGGGTTCAAGACCAGCCTGGGCAACATGGTGAAACCCCATCTCTACAAAAAATACAAAAATTAGCCAGGCATGATGGCATGTACCTGTAGTCCCAGCCACTCAGGAGGCTGGGGCAGGAGGATCACCTGAGCTCAGCAGGCAGAGATTCCAGTGAGCTGAAATCATACCACTGCACTCCAGCCTGGGTGACAGAGTGAGACCTTTTTTTTTGTTTGAAAAAAAAAAAAACAGGTGGGGAATGGTTGGTGGGGAACAGGATATTTGCTTGATGCCAGGAAAAAACCTACCTGCACCAGGCAGTCACCACCTTACCCAAGTGACCAAGCATAGGAGCTCTCCCACCAGGACGACAGTCATGTATGTTTTGATACGAAGCCACATAAACAGGCAGCACCATCTATGAAACCCCCTTGCCGAAAATGTACAGCCTGGCTAATCAAGCCTCTAGGCCAAACTTCTGGGATACAGAAAATACAGGGAACAGAGGAACAGTTAAGTGACACCAAGAGGAAGCCATCAGACACGTAACAGATGCAGGAGGTTCTACAAAACAAGGGAAAGGCGTGGACTCAAAGTCAGTATCATGAGAAAACAAAAAGAGGTAAGAAGGCTGTTTTAGATTAAAAGAAACTGAAGACATATAAAAACTACAGGTAATGCACAAACCTTGATTAAATCCTAGTTTTAAAAAGAAGCCATAAACGCATTCTTGGGATAACCGGGGAAATTCAAATATTAGAACTAGATATTAGAGATTATAGAATTGTCATTAATTTTTAAGGTGTGCTAATACTATCATAATTACATAGGAGAGTGTTCCCATTCTTAGGAGACACATGCTAAGATACTTAAAAGTGAGAGGTCATAAACTCTGCAACTTATCTTCACGGTTGAGGAAAAAGTTAAATGTACACAGACATATGTATAAGTTTTTACAAAAATATCATGTTAACTTTTGAATCTCGATACAAGATATATGGGTGTTCAATGTACTATTTATTCAAATTTCTTTATATTTAAAATGTTTCAAGCCAGATTTGGTGGTGTGTGCCTATTGACCCAGCTACTAGAGAGGCTGAGAAAGGAAGATGGCTTAAGGCCAGGAGTTCAAGACCAGCTTCAACAACATAAACAAGACCCAGTCTCTAATTTACAAAAAAAAAGTTTCATAAGAAAAAATGGCCAGGGACGGTGGCTCATGCCTGTCATCTTAGCACTGTAGGAGGCCTAGGTAAGCAGATTGCTTGAGCTCAGGAGTTTGAGATCAGCCTGGACAACATGGCAAAATCCCATCTCTCCAAAAAGTACCAAAAATTAGGCAGGCATGGTGGTGTGCACCTGTAGTCCCAGCTACTTGAGGGGCTGAGGTGGGAGGATCGCTTGAGCCCAGGAGGTTGAGGCTGCAGTGAGCCGAGATCACACCACTGCACTCCAGCCTGGGTAAAAGTGAGACTCTCAAAAAAAAAAAAAAGGTAAAAAATAAACTGGAACATAATAAAATAAAAAGGGGTCTAGATCTAAGTGGTACCCAGAATAGGATCCTGAAACAGAAACATTAGTGGAAAAATTGGTGAAATACAAATAAAATGTGTAGCGTAGTTAATATTGCTGTGCTAATGTTAATTTCCTAGTTTTGACAAATGTACCATGGTTATATAAGATGTCAGCATTCAGAGGAAGCTGGATGAAGGGAACTCCCTGTACTATCTCTGTACATTTTCTGTAAATTTAAAATTATTCTAAAATAAAAAGGTTTTAAACAAGGGTAACCAGTATGTAAAAGTTAGACATTTTTATTGTATTTTAATACGCACATAATTGAACAACTGCGAGGCCTACTGTCTACAAAATGACTTTCCACAAATATCTAGTTCAGCACAGACCCCAAACGTGAAAAAGTTTCTATGGGACCACGTTTCAGACAGACGGAAGCCACATTTGTACTCACAGCCTGGACATCAGTGCTGCAGGCCAGGCAGGGGCCTTCAAGGAGGGTGACGCCACCAACTGGGCAGAAACCACCTTGTTCTCCAGGCTCGGTGGAGCTTCCCTTAGTTCAGCAAAGACACAGGCTGAGCTGCCCACTCCTGTGGCTCTAACTGCAAAGGAACTGCGAAGAGGAGGAAACCGCAGCATCGGCTCACATCCAACCATCAGTCGGAGTCAGTTCCCCCAACCACACCAACCAGCCTTTGCAGGCAGAATTGGATTAACCAAGCACCAACAGACAGATATCTGTGCAATTCTTGGAAAGTCGAGAAGATTTTCATTGATATGATCTCATTTAGGCCAGGCGCAGTGGCTCACGCCACAGTAATCCCGGCACTTTGAGAGACCAAGGTGCGCAGATCACCTGAGGTCAGGAGTTCAAGATCCACATGGCCAACATGATGAAACCCTATCTCTAATAAAAATACAAAAATCAGTGGGGGGCGGTGGCGGGTGCCTGTAGTCCCAGGTTCTTGGGAGGCTGAGTGAGGCAGGAGAATCACTTAAACCCCGGAGGCGGAGGTTACAGTGAGCCAAGATTGTGCCACTGCACTCCAGCCTGGACAACAGAGTGACAACCTGTTTCAAAAACAAAACAAAACAAAACAAAAAAATCTAATTTAATCCTGATGACAGCCAAAGAATATGGGACATCTACCCTACCATCCCCCCACCTTCAATGAGTCCTAAACCCTTGTCACCTGAAGGTCCCTCTCTAAGCAGGAGATCACGGTGCCTTCTCCCCTCCAGGCACCCAAATACTTGACTTCCTCCGAGGCTGGCTCTTCCATTAGGCTTCTGTGGCTTCACCCAGACCCGCACTAACAACTTCACTCCTTCCCTCTGAATTTCTACACTGTGATGAATCAGAAGATGTGAGTGACATGAAAACACTTCTGGCATTTTGTCAAAGGGGGGCTGTACTGGCTGGGCATGGTGACTCATGCCTGTAATCCCAGCACTTTGGGAGGCTGAGACAGGCAGATCACTTTAGCCCAGGGGTTCAAGAGCCTGGGCAACATAGTGAAACCCCATCTCTCCAAAAAACACAAAAATTAGCCAGGTGTGGTGGCGCTCACCTGCAGTCCCAGCTATTTGGGAGGCTGAGGTGGGAGGATCGCTTGAACCCAGGAGGCAGAGGTTGCAGTGAGCCAAGATAGAAATCGAGCTACTGCACTCCAGTCTGGGTGACAGAGTAAGACCTTGTCTAAAAAAATAAATAAATAAAGAGAGAGAAAGGAATAAAGAAAAGAAAGAAGAGAAGAAAGAGAGAGAGAGAAAGAAAGAAAGAAAGAAAGAAAGAAAGAAAGAAAGAAAGAAAGGAAGGAAGGAAGGAAGGAAGGAAGGAAGGAAGGAAGGAAGGAAGGAAGGAAGGAAGGAAGGAAAGAAAGAAAGAAAGAAAGACAGACAGAAAGAAAGAAAGAAGAAAGAAAGTAAGTAAGTGTGGGCTGTGGATGTGGTTGAAATCCAAGAAAAAATCTAAGATTTTCTTTGAAAGCAACATCAACTTGATAACATGTATGTGCCACTGGGACTGTGTGGTGGTGAAGAGCCCAGGCAGGGGGGTCACAGGGCCAGTGTGCAGTCTCAGCTCCACCAGACACTACTGTAGCAATGGGTAGAATGGTGTGATGTTTTTACCAAGAAATTCGTTACTTAGTTTTTCCCCCTCCTTTCTTTTTTAGAGTTGCAAATGCACTTAAAAAAGGAAATATATCTCTTTCACAAATGGGTATGATTCTCGATTGCTATAAAGTAAGAAGGTAACTAAAAAAAAGCACAAAACAGTGTTACTAAATTCCTGCCCAATAAGCTTAAGGGTTGCTCTTCGCTGGTTAAAAACAGGGGTTACTAAAGGTCAAGGAGGTGTTCGTGGCATACCGACACTGCTAGAAACCCTCTCCTTGACTTGTTCAGAAGGATTGCAAGAGGTTGCCAAAGGGAACATCTTCTTTTTTGTTTGTTTTTTTGTTTTTTGAGACGGAGTTTCGCTCTTGTCGCCCAGGCGTGACCTTGGGCAGATTAATACCCTCTGTGCTTTAGGTGACTCCTCTAGCCTCATCTTCTCTGCTGCACAGGAGAAAAGGCAGCACCTGAGGAGGTGAGAGCTGGCCAGGTCTTCATTGAAAAGGAAGATAGAGAAAAAGCCTTGATTCTCCTGCAGGCTCCAGCCTAGGGCTGGGTATTGGTCAGTACCTTAAACATGGCAGATCAGACTCCTGTCGTCCTCCCAGGCAGGGGAGGGACTGTGTGCTTCCCTGAGCCAGCAGATACGGGGCATCCACATCTCCAGAGGACTTAAGGATTCACAGGCCCATGATCCAGACACTCAACCTCATTAGAAGATGTCTCCTTTGCCAGCCGGGCATGGTGGCTCATGCCTGTAATCCCAGTACTTTGAGAGGCTGAGGCGGGCGGATCACCTGAGGTCAGGAGTTTGAGACCAGCCTGGCCAACATGATGAAACCCCATCTCTACCAAAAATACAAAAATTAGCTGGGTGTGGTGGTGGGCGCCTGTAATCCCAGCTACTTGGGAGGCTGAGGCAGGAGAATCGCTTGAACTCGGGAGGCAGAGGTTATAGTGAGCTGAGATCACGCCAATGCACTCCAGCCTGGGCGACAAGAGTGAAACTCCATCTCAAAAAACAAAAAAACAAACAAAAAAGAAGATGTTCCCTTTGCCAACCTCTTGCAATCCTTCTGAACAAGTCAAGGAGAGGGTTTCTAGTAGTGTCGGTATGCCACGAACACCTCCTTGACCTTTAGTAACCCCTGTTTTTAACCAGCGAAGAGCAACCCTTAAGCTTATTGGGCAGGAATTTAGTAACACTGTTTTGTGCTTTTTTTTAGTTACCTTCTTACTTTATAGCAATTGAGAATCATACCCATTTGTGAAAGAGATATATTTCCTTTTTTAAGTGCATTTGCAACTCTAAAAAAGAAAGAAGGAGGGGGAAAAAATCTAAGTAACGAATTTCTTGGTAAAAACATCACACCATTCTACCCATTGCTACAGTTTCTTGAGATCTCCAACAGCCTAGAACTGTGCTGTCCAGCATGGTAGCCACCGGCTGCATGTGACTATGGTCATTTCTATTAACTAAAATTAAAAATTCAGTTCTTCAGTTGTACTCTCCACATTTTAAGTGCTCAAGAGCCACATGTAGCTAAGGGCTACTGTATTGGATGGCACAACCCTAGAGTGTTTCCCCCATCATAGAAAGTTCTACCGGACAGCACTAGCCTAGAATGCCACTCACAGCTCACCTGGCTACTCACCTGATGGCAGTGCTAAAAGGCCTGGCTTCTCTTCAAGTACTGGGCGCTTGGCAGGCTTGGGGAAGCCTAGGGGATCCTTCAGGGCACCCCAAAGGGTTATGCCTCTTGGAGAGGCCTGCCACAAGCAGGGGAGGGAAAAACAGACCTTCGGGGTTGACCAGTCCTGCAGAGAACAAAAACAAAAATATAGACAGGGGTAAACATGATAAATCCAGTTCTGGCTGCTCTCCCCAAAGGGATCTTTCTTCATCTTTAGAGAGGGGCTAAGTAGGAAGTAACCTGCCACTCCCGCCAGGCTCTGACTTAGCCCTGCAAGCTCCACCAAGTCTTCTTTAGACCCAGAGAAAGCCATTAGGGGTCAGCAAACCAGAATCTGGGACCAGATCAGCCCTGCTGCCTGGTTGAGGCCTTCAAGCTAAGAATGGTTTCCCCCTCCCCCAACTTTTTTTTTTTTTGAGACAAAGAATCTTGCTCTGTCAGCCAGGCTGGAGTGCAGTGGCACGATCTTGGCTCACTGCAAATTCCGCCCCTCCGGGTTCAAGCGATTCTCGTGCCTCAGCCTCCTAAGTAGCTGGGATTACAGGCGCCTGCCAGCACACGTGGCTAATTTTTGTATTTTTAGCAGAGACAGGGTTTCACCATGTTGCCCAGGCTGGTCTCAAACTCCTGATCTCAAATGATTCGCCCGCCTTGGCCTCCCAAAGTGCTGGGATTACAGGTGTGAGCCACTGCCCCCGGCCAGTTTTCCTATTTTTAAGTGGTTACATTCTAAACAGTTATGTAAGTATATACATAAAATCCTTGATTTTGGTTCTTGGCCCACAGAGCCTAAAATATTTACTCTCTGGCCCTTTATAAAAAGAAGTTTGTGGCCAGGCGCAGAGGTTCATGCCTGTAATCTCAGTACTTTGGAAGGCCAAGGTGGGAGGATCACTTAAGCCCAGGAGTTTGACACCAGCCTGAGCAACAGGGTGATACCCCTATCTCTGCAAAACAAAATTTAAAAATTAGCCATGCATGGTGGCCATGCATGGAGGCACATGCCTATAGTCCCAGCTACTCAGGAAGCTGAGGTGGGAGGATTGCTTGAGCCCAGCACATTGACACTGCAGTGAGCTATCACTGCATGGCTGAACTCTAGCCTAGGCAACAGAGCAAGATTCTGTCTCTTTAACAACAAACAACAAAAAAGTTTGCAAACCTTTGGTCTAGTCTGAGCCTGTGGTAATGTCCTGGTCCTCCATTCTCCTTTGTACAAGGGGGTTTCGTTCTAAATGTGCTGTTTTGAAGTGTTGTTTTTTTGTTTGTTTGTTTGTTTTTTGACACCTGGAATTCATATTCTTTTTTTTTTTTTTTTTTTTGCTTGTGTGTGTGTGTGTGTGAGTGACAGAGTTTCACTCTTGTTGTCCAGGCTGGAGTGCAGTGGCACAATCTCAGCTCACTGCAACCTCCGCCTCCTGGGTTCAAGTGATTCTCCTGCCTCAGCCTCTCAAGTAGCTGGGATTACAGGCGCCCACCACCATGCCCGGCTAATTTTTTTAGTAGAGACGGGGTTTCACTATGTTGGCCAGGCTGGTCTTAAACTCTTGACCTCAGATGATCCACTACCTCAGCCTCCTAAAGTGCTGGGATTACAGGTGTGAGCCACCACACCCAGCCTGGAACACATATTCTTAAACATTCAAAGCAGTGAAGTTCCCAGATGCGCCATTAATGGCTGAAATCCTCTGCTCCTCAAAAGCTGGCCTCCCTCCAGCCATCCAGAATACTGGCCTGGCACACCACCCAGCACCCAGCCTTGTCCCTCTTGGACAGGCAGGCTGTCCGGCACAGCCCTTACCCTGCTACACAAGACATTTTCTCAAAGTGCTTACCATAAAGGCCCTGAACCGGGCCTTTTGTGAAGGTCAGAAAGAGCTTTGTTCCTAAACTAATGGCAAGGATGGGAGGCAAATGAGAGCAGAAAGATTTCTTCCTGAGCCCTTCTCCCCATTCTCTGCTCACTCCTCACAGGAAAAGTCCAGGTACTCACAATGGGCCTGTGGGTGAGCCAAGAGGGGGCCTGAAGCAGGAGACACACCCAGTCTTAGGGAGGCTTGAGCCCATCGGGAGTTGGGAGGCTGAGTCCAGAGGCCCAGGGAGTGAGGGGAGGACCAGTGGAAGGAAGGGAAAAAGGAAAGGCACAAGAGCAAGGAAGCCCAAATAGGAGGGCATGGGGGTGGGGAGGCAGAACCGGACTCTCACCCATCTCCAAAGGCAACAGGTCAAAAGGGGGTGGGGCACAGAAATGCTCCCCCGCAGGGCTGAGGATCGTCAATACAGGCTGACCTTGACAATCAAAGGCCTGCACATGTACAGCTTCCAAAGCAAGCTGGCATATTCCCTCTATTTGAATCCCCAACAGCAGTCAAGGTTGAAATGTTGTGCTCATAAGAAAGATTTTTGGCTCAAAAATTCCCGGTTCCCATAAAAGGTCAAAGCTGTATTTGACTCTTATTTACAAAGACATCCCCAGATCTAAATTTTATTTAAGGTCCAGGTGAAAGCCACCTTTCCATAAAGATTTCACTGGCAACTTGTTTTTTAACGTGGCAGATTGACAACACACTCTCAGCCGGCCACGGTGGCTCACACCTGTAATCCCAGCACTCTGGGAGGCCAAGGCAGGCAGATCACTTGAGCTCAGGAGTTTGAGACCAGCCTGGCCAACATGCCAAAATCTTGTCTCTACTAAAAATACAAAAATTAGCCAGGCGTGGTGGTGCATCCCTGTAGTCCCAACTACTCCGGAGGCTGAGGCAGGAGAATTGCTTGAACCTGGGAGGTGGAAGCTGCAGAAAGCCAAGATTGTGCCACCACACTCCGGCCTGGGTGACAGAGTGAGACTCCATAAAAATATATATATATATATATATATATATATATATATATATATATATATATATATATATATATAAAACAGCACACGCTGCCATGGCTCTAAACTGCCCGCTGTCTCCGGGGAGCTCTCCGAGAAGCAGAAGAGCTACTCATCTGTTGTGTCCCTAGGGGGAAGCACTGAGCTGGCAGTGGAAGGAGGTGTCCACCAGGCCTATCACCTCACAAACGGGACTTGACAGGAGCTGAAGGAGGGACCCAGGAAGGATTTCCTGCCAGGAGTTGGAAGAAGTGGAGGCAGCTTGCCCACAATGGGGGGGATTCCTGCCTTGAAATGAGGAATGCTCACTGCTGGCTGAAGGATCCAGCATCTCCAAGCCTGGAAAAAGGAAGAAAACAAACGGTTAGCAGAAGTCTGCAGTCCAAGCCAGCAAGCCACACAAAGAACAACAGCCTACTCAAGAAAGATCTTCACGTTCACTGACTTTGAGATTTCTATAATCAAAAAGAAACAAGACTGCTGTGTTTTAAATTCATGGGTTCCCCCTGCCCTGAGAAAGTAGGTACAATAAAATTGCACCAAAATCAATCACATTCTGTGTTTTGTAAGATAAACAATTTCTTTACGGCTTTAACATGGTCCTATAACACAGCCTGCTTCTTTTTCCTAAAAGGGACAAGTGATTATTATTCTCTTCTCACCCACTTAACTCAAAACAAGCAAACGAAAAAGTCACTACTTCAAGGGTTTGGCTTCTAATTGGAATGCTCTTTAAAGTCTTTAAGATTAAGCAGGAGTGGTGGCTCATGCCTGTAGTCCCAGCTATTCCAGAGGCTGAATGAAGCAGGAGGATCGCTTTAGCCCAGGAGTTCAAGACCAGCCTGGGTAACATAGCAAGACCCTGTCTCAAAAAATAAAATAAAACCTTCAAGATTAGGAGTTGCTTCTTCACATTTACCATGTACTTAAAAGTAACCTTACAAATGTCTCAATTAAAAACTGAAATCTAGGCCAGGTACAGTGTCTCATGCTTGTAATCCCAGCACTTTGGGAGGCCAATGTGGGTGGGGTGGATCACTTAAGGTCAGGAGTTTGAGACCAGCCTGGCCAACATGGCAAAATCCTGTCTCTACTAAAAATACAAAAATTAGCCATGTGTGGTGGTGTGTGCCTGTAATCCCAGCTACTCAGGAGGCTGAGGCAGAAGAATCGCTTGAACCTGGGAGGCGGAGATTGCAGTGAGCCAAGATCACACCACTACACTCCAGCCTTGGTGACAGAGCAAGACTCCATCTCAAAACAACAACAACAACAAAAACAAACTATTAAAAAATAAAACTAAAAACAAAAACTGAAATATAGAATCAGGAAAATAAACTGATAGGGAACTGGAACTATTTCTTACACATCCATCTATCTTTAGAGGTCATTCTATTTATATATTTAAAATCTGTTTCAAAAGAAAATTTAGCTTTAGAAGAAGCATTTTTGTCCATAAAGGTGAAATACTGAAACAGTCTATTCCTATCTGAAACACACTCAAATCCAATGCCTCTGTAGGATATACACATTACAGAGGCACATTCTCTCATAAAGGAAAATTTTTTTGGTTTTCCTTCACAAATGGATGTGCAGAAAAAGGACTTTCTGGTATCTGAAATGGGAGGGAAAAGGGACAGCACCAAATACCTCCCAGTTGTCCTTTTCTGGTCTTCAGGCAGTCAGTGATCAGGCTCAACTCATCCCTGTACAAATGTGTCCCCAAATTTAACAGGAAGAGAAGGTGCTGAGTGCACGGAGGCTGGGGTGGCTACGGTGGCACTCCTGTCCTGGAATGTCATCTGCCTGCTCTCCAGCCCTCTGAGAAACTGCAGGACATTCCTGCTGCTCCCACTTAGCAAGAAATCTCCTAAGTGCTTCAGTCACCAGCCCCGGTGCATCCTCGAGGGCACAGGACGATGTACCAGGGACAAGAAGAGCCTGTTTTACCACACGGGCGCCCTGATTTTTAAAAAACACATTTACAAAAAAGGAGAAAAAACCATCAGAAAACACAATTAATCTAGCCACAAGTTGTTTAAACTGTCTCTGCTTTTTGGTGGAGCTGTGACTGTCTATGGATGAGAGTGACTAGGACTCGCAGCAGCAGGGACTCTGAAGGGTTTCAAAATCAAACATTCCATTCTGTTTCAAAACCATAACAACTGGCAGCGTGGCTCCCCACTTCCACACAAACCCTCATTTCACAAGTGGACACCTCCAGGCTAGGCTGACGGGGTGGGGTCGGGGGGATGGAGGTGCTGTGTGTCAATGGGAATTCTTATGTCTAAACAAACCTGGCCTAAAAAAGGGTGAACACTGCTGGCTATTCAAAGACTAAAAAAATGAACTCAAAAGGAGAAGGTGTTTTATTTGGTTCCAGCATCAGGGTGCACAACTGAGATGTGTGTGATTCACAGAAGAAAGAGCCAGGGGCTGGGAATGGCAGCCTTTCCAGAGCGGAGTGGGGACTAGAGAGAGTGTGGCAAGGGACCGCTGTTTTTCTTTTTCTCTTTTTTTTTTTTTTTTTTGAGATGGAGTTTCGCTCTTGTCACCCAGGCTGGAATGCAATGGTGTGATCTCGGCTCACTGTAACCTCTGCCTCCCGGGTTCAAGTGAATCTCCTGCTTCGGCCTCCTGAGTAGTGGGATTACAGGTATGCGCCACCACGCACGACTAAGTTTGTATTTTTAGTAGAGACGGCATTTCACCATGTTGGTTGGGCTGGTCTCGAACTCCTAACCTCAGGTGATCCACCTGCCTTGGCCTCCCAAGTGCTGGGATTACACGTGTGAGCAACTGTGCCCGGCTTGACCGATGTTTTTCATTGTGAACCTTGTACTGCTCATTTTTCCTCTAACTTTGTACAGGCAATGCATTAATAAAACAGATAGACAAACAGATGGACGTGCCAATGCTGGGCTTCAAGCACCCTCACTGCAGCATGCAGGGTAACCCACTTCCTCTGCGTGGTTCTGCTGTCTTCAGCTCAGCCCTGTGGGATCTTAAGCCATGGAAAGGCCTTTCCAGGTCAGGTTGGGAATGCTCCAGGCTCTAAATACTACATATAAAATAAACTTGAGACACCAAGAGTGGCTTTCCCATAACTTAATGATTGTAGTCAACACATAGATGTCTTGTAATCTCTCCCAGGTTTATCTGCTGAGAATAAGACTTCATAAAAGTTTAATCTTGGACGGGAGTCCCCTACCCTGGCTTGCCATAGATCATCAAGTTCTGAACAAATTTAGCACCCAAAAGGCATACAGAGCTGCAGTGGAGATTACAGCATTGGCTAAATCTTAAACTGTGTCTATTAAGGTTACATTCAGGAAGAAACAGGAATACGTATTTGCCTTCAGGCTCTGAAGTTTCATTGTTTGACTGTTTTAAGTATTTGTCTTGGCACATGCTTCTTAATAATGGCCGCATGCAAAGTATGAAATGAACTGTTGGCCACAAAGCATTGTGAAAGAGAACCCAGCTAAGAGTAATTTACTAAAACAGATGTAGCTTTCTGGAGAAAACAGTATTCTTTTTATTTATGATTTGAGTTCAATAATTAAATTAATGGATGACAAATGAAATGTGTCCCTAACAATACTATTCTGGACACGAAAAAGAAACTATTTTCTGAATTTGTAATATGTTAAAAGTAAATTATATGCTTTTTTGAAGTAGCGCTAGTTTTGTTGAAGTATTTTAGTAGTCAACAAATTATTCAACCTACTTACTTCAGTGATAATTTCCTAAATGATCTTGCACGAATGTAAACACTTAAGTAACTAGACGTAATTAGTCCTTTTCCACAACCAGCTCAAATTAAACTGTTCCTCACGCCAGGAGACTGGGATCTGTACTTAGTGAAAGTCTGTGTTCTTTTACATTTCCAGAACTTATGTATGACATAAATGTGGGTTAGATTGATAAATTAAATTAGCCATTATTAGCTGAGAAAAACCATAATTTTACACTCTTGAGAGTAGTGTGGAGCAAGAGCTGGCCAGGTGGAGATACGGAAGCACAGTAAATAGAAAGGTGGGAATAGAGTTGTCCCGGCATCCCTGAGATGATGGGGCACAAATGTCCTTCACTTTTCACTCTTCAGACCCAATATTATGCCTGGATTTAGAACACTAACCCTGCATTCCCTTCTCTGCAGGCTCTGGAAGCTACAGGTATGATATAAATCTAGCTACTGGTGCTCTCTACACTCAAGGGAAGGTTCGCCCAACCTAGCAATGAAAATCCAACGCTGCTAAGGAGACATGAGCTGGGACGGATGATCCAGGGCCTGTTGGAGAAGTCTGCCTGATGGCTGCTTACCTACAGAGAAAAGAAGCAGCACTGGCCTGACATCATTCACAGTGCCTAGCATACAGGAGGCACTCAATATGTCTGAACTGACTAGAGCAGTACCGGGAACTTCTGCAAAGAAGAAAGGAATGGAAAACCCATGTTTGTTGGGATGGGATTGCAGGTGAGCTGTAAAGGAGGCTCTTTGCAAGGCAGCCCCCTCCCCTCTTGAAAGGGAGAGGAACAGCAGTTTAAGTGCCTGCAGCTGGGAGGAATACCATTCCCAGTGTCCATCTACTGTCCAGGGCAGGAGATGGGGCTGAGACAGGTGGAAGCAGCAGGTGTGACCAGGAAGAAGGAGATGAAGGGTGGTCTAGAATGTGTTCATCTGCCTAAGTCTGTATATTCTAGGGAGGAGAAGAGTGGTCATTTTTGTGCATTCTCATAAGCCTAACAATAATGGAATGGATGAGATCTTATAGACAAGGCAAAGCTGATAAGAAAGGAAGTCTAAGAGAATGCAGGGTATCGCTAAGGGTAGAAAAGCTGGGGGTGGAATTTGGTCAAAATTTCTGAGTAAGTCTTTAATCCCAGTACTGCGGAAGGCCAAGGCAGGCAGATCACATGAGCTCAGGAGTTTGAGATCAGCCTGGCCAACATGGCGAAACCTCGTCTCTACTAAAAATACAAAAATTAGCCGGGTGTGGTGGTGTGTGCCTGTAATCCCAGCTACTTGGGAGGCTGAAGCAGGAGAATCGCTTGGACCCGAGAGGCGGAGGTTGCAGTGAGCTGAGATCCCACCATTGCACTTCAGCCTGGGCGATAGAGAGAGACTCCATCTCAAAAAAAAAAAAAATGCCAGATAAGAGGACTGAATTGATTACCTAATATATTGGCTGAGATGTTTTGGGTTCTTAAGTAAGAAGCAATGAAAATGATGTAAGCTTCAGTTATTAGTAATACACAGGAGAGTACTTTGTGATTTTTTTTCCGCAATTAGATTCAGTTTAGTCATTGACCAACATGAACCTTCAAAGTGTACCGGTGTACAAAGAAAAAACATTACATTTTTTAAGTAGGATATATTTTAAGTGATGTGATAGACTTTTGAAGCATAATTAAGGTGCAAGAAAAAAAGTTTTACGTTGGACTGTTCAACAAGAATACATAATGGGGAACCATCATCTTTCACTCCTTGGAGTGCACAAGTAAGACCCAATCAGAGGTAAGGTGGATTGTTTCCACCACGAGGCCATGATCCCACAAACGATGACCTATAACTGCTGCATATTCCCTTAAAACACACACACACAAGGTTACTTTCAGTCAAAGAAAAGAATCTATGTCACCAAGCAGTTGTTATATAGATAATTTGATCCACAAATTTAAGTAAGTAAGGGATAAGATCCTATATTTTTACTGTATTTAGGTAAGTGAGATATAAGATGTTATACATTTTTTTAAATCATGCATGGGCTCAGCACGGTGGCTCACACCTGTAATCCCAGCACTTTGGGAGGCCAAGGCAGGAGAATCATTTGAGCCCAGGAGTTCAAGACCAGCCTGGGCAACATAGTAAGACCCCCCCATCTCTACAAATAATTTAAAAAAAATTTAACCGAGCATGGTGGCATGTGCCTGTGGTCCCAACTACTCTAGAGACTGAGGCAGGAGGATCACTTGAGCCTGGGTGGTTGAAGCTATGGTGAGCTATGATCACACCACTGTACTCCAGCTTGGGTGACACAGCAAGACCCTGTCTCAAAAAAAAAAAATCACGCAAGTCTCACAACTTGTTTTCACTCTTAGACACACTGAAACACTGAAGGCTATGCAGTCTGTCTGATGGAATCAATTAAGGGAACTGGAAGCAACTCTGGCGAACAGGAAACTTACTTTTTTGAAGATGTAGTGTCTTCATAGGGTTGACTATGTCTATGATTGTATAAAGAAAGCAGGAGATGTGTTTTCGTTTGACATGATACACTGGGTAAGCACCATGAATGTTCTTTCTCAAAATGAAAACATTTTTAAAATGTCCTTTTTCAAAATGGAAACATTCAAGTGTTATTTGATGAAGTCATTTCAATTGAAAGATCACAAAAGAAGATAAAAGATGATTTTAAAGAACAGATGAGAAAAGTACATTCAGAAAAATGAGAGAAGGCTCATCCACAGTTAGTTCCCAGGACAGACCCATACTTGTGGTCGTTACCACCAAGATGATTCCTTGCTAAAGAGTAAAAGAATGAGCTCATGCTGTCCTCTCAACACTTTGGGAGGCCGAGATGGGAAGATCGCTTGAGGCCAGGAGTTTGAGACCAGCCTGGGTAACATAGCGAAACCCTGTCTCTACAGAAAAAATTTAAAAAATTAGCCTGGTATGGTGACACAAGCCTGTAGTCCTAAGAGTCAGGAGGCTGAGGCAGAAGGATCACTTTAGGCCAGGAGTTCAAGGCTGCAGTGAGCTACAATGAGACCCTACCTCATTCATTCATTCATACACATATACACAAGTGAAAGTGAAGGAATTACACGGAAGCCACTTTAGCCAACATCGCCCATCCTATAACTAATGCTGGATCAATACCCGAAGTCATCTCATCTCTCATTTCCTCAGCCCCAGTCTCCTAGTCCCAGGGAATCTGTCCTAGGCCTCTCCACTGGGTTCATGCCTCCATTCTTGCCCAACGTTTGCTTAGAAACTTGCAAAGGCCTCTACCACAATTTCTTTTCCCACTCCAATCCGTCCTACACTTCAGCCTCTGAGTAATCTTGTTAAAAGTATTACTTTCAAAAACGCCACAGTAACTGCTCGGCATCCTAAATGTCTTACCCTAGCACTCACAGTCCTGGCAAGACAGGGCTTCAACCTATCTTCACATGTTTTGTAACCTACTGGGCCCCAGACATCCTATTCTCTTCCCAAATGTAATTTCTTGTGATCCTTGGACTCTCTCCACCCTTTTCTTCCAGCTGTGTCCTCTCTGCCTGTCTGTTTGCTGGACACATACCAGCCCTTCCCTCAAAGGCTCAGTTCAAATGATGTTACTCCCTGAAACCCCCTTGATTTATCTCCTTGAACCCCTTACAATGGTAATCCACTCTTCCTCAATTGTACCCTCTTCCTAGAGTGGAAAAACCCTCTTAGCATGTCAGGACTTCTATTGTTATTTATGTACATGTTTTATCTTATTAGGCTGCATGACCTACGAATAAGAATTATTACTTAATTATGTTCCTTCTTGTGCAAGCACAGAGCTCTACATATAACACGTGCACATTAAATGTATGTTTTGTGAATTACAAATTAATACGATAATAGGAAAAATGCTTTTCTGGTAATTTAGAAAAGGATGGATGATTCCAGAAAATAAATTCAAAAGGAAAGCAAGAAAAACACAACATGGTTCATATCTACGGAGTGACAGCCTGTGATTCAAAATGATCACAAAAATAAGTCACATTTGGATAGCATGATTTGAAAATTAATTACTGTTTTGGAGTATAAAGGGATGGATTAGCCAACTAATTTATCACCACACACCTTCCTGACATCAGAGTGACAGCAGAGCCAGCAACATGCCCCAGCTCAAGGGTTCCCGGGTGGCTGCAGTCTACATGGCGGCCGAAGAGTTCCAAAGCTGCTTCCACCCAGTCCCCTAATGCATGGCTAACTGCTAGAACCCAGATCACCAGGCTGGGTGACATCTGAGGAGTCCTTTCTAAACGCCACTCCAGGTGGAGGGGGAGAAGAAACACAACCTCCATGCCTCTCCACTACAAAAGGCAGCCCTCAAATCAACACCAGTGGGCCCAGCTCTGTAGATGGCAAGGTGGCAAGAATATCAGGGCTGTGTAAGTCCAATGGCAGCTGGTGTCAGTCACAATTCTAAAAGAATCACACGGCAGATGCAGTGGCTCACACCTGTAATCCCAGCACTTTGGGAGGCCAAGGCAGGAGGATTGCAGGAAGCTGTCAGTTCGAGACCGGCCTGGACAACATAGTCAGACCACCCCATCTCTAAATTTAAAAACTAAAAACAAATAAAAGAAGGACTAGGAATGGTAGCTCATGCCTCTAATCCCAGCACTTTGGGAGGCTGACGCAGGTGGATCACTTGAGGTCAGCAGTTCGAGACCAGCCTGGCCAACATGGTGAAACCCCATCTCTACTAAAAATACAACAACAACAAAAAAAATTTAGCTGGGTGTGGTGGCGTGCGCCTGTAATCCCAGCTTCTCAGAAAGCTGAGGCAGGAGAATCACTTGAACCCCAGAGGCAGAGGTTGCAGTGAGGCCAAGATTGCACCGCAGTACTCCAGCCTGAGTAACAGAGTGAGATTCTGTCTCAAAAAAAACCTTTTTTAAAATCATAAGATGCTACAAGTCAGATATGATGGTTGCCACAAGTCTTGAGAAAGGGAATCTGGTCAAAGATTAATGCAGTGACCCTGGGTGATGCACAGTATTGTAGCAAAGTATTGCAGCTTTGCAAGAAACAAAGCTACCGTGAATGCTGGGTCTTTACTGCCTCTGGGTTCAAAATTGGTTTAAATTACTATATGATCAAATTAATCCTGGGCACGTCTGGTGGTCTTTCAATTATTAAAAAGAAATTCCATCATTTTTGAATGTAAAAGGAATTGTCCTCTCCACCCGCATGCTGTGACTGACCTCATTTCTTCTAGTACATCATCTCCCAAGGTCCAACCCTAATACCCTCCGAATGAGATGGGGCTGTATTATTGCTTTCAAAAACTCTTAGAGAACAGATGCTTTCTACAGATAAAGTCAATTTCTGCAAAGAGGATATCATGATAAACATTCTGAGTCATCTGAATTTAAGGTTGCAGATTTTCATATTAAAAAGGTGAGAAAGCCCAGGGCAGAGCTGTGTCCCGTGTGTGCCTGGTCTTCTGTGCTGGGACTGTCCGTGCTCATCAAGCCTGGGTCAGCGTCCCTTGTTGAGCAGCTAGCTCAGAGTAAGTGTGCATCCCCCCACCTGGCCATTTGTCTACACGCCAGGCTGTTTGCCAAGCATGGTGAAACCTGACATCACCCAGAGACACAGTTATCATCACATATTAAGTCTGTCTGTCCTCAAGATAGGGGACAGAAGCAAACCAACATGTCTAACACAGCAGAGCGAGTGCCAGCCAATGCTCCCTGACACCAGGACACTACATGGGCCCAGGGGACAAGCTGAACACAGCTGAGAGGGCAGGGGCAGTGGGGCAGGATGCCCAGAGGACCAGGCTGCCACTGTGCTTAAGTTGTCCACATGAGTTCAGCAGGCGGAGAGGAGGGAACAGGCACCCCAGACTAAAGACAAAATCACACAGATAAAGGCAGAGAGGAGTTGGAGAAGCAGTTCAGAAATGAGATAAATCCTTCTTTGAAAGCTCAGCAGCTGTCAGTGCCCAGGGGCAGTGGTTTTGCCTGTTGTGTTCACCAAAGTATCCCCAGAGCCCAGAATAGTGCCTGGCACATGGTACCTACTCCCCATCCCCCAAAATAGCTTTGAACTTTTTTTCTGATTGAGAAATTGATAGATGTTCATTGAAAAAAAGAAAACCCTCAAGCAATACAGAAAAGATGCATAAGACAGTAATCTTCAGAAACATCCCCACCCTCAGGTCACTCCAGTACCACCAGCGACGCTACCACCAGTGACGCCAAGAGCATCATTCTCGCAGTTCCTAAAGCAGTGTTCTCACAGAGCACTGCGGGAGGCCCAGCTCTCAGTGACTGGCGTGCTCAAGGCTGGACACTAAATTATTCGGTTTGTACACAATCTCATTTGACACGCTACAAAGAAATAACGCTACTTCGGTTTTTTGTCGATACAAACAATAACACGATCCAAAGGCCTCTCTCACTTCCACTCTTTCTGAATCACTTGATAAAAGGGCTGGAAAAGCTTCTCTTTTTGAGTGTCCCTGATGTTGGCATCATCTGAAAAACATCTATGCGTTTGTGTTTTTGCACAGCCCAAAAAGCAATTGCTGAAGGTTTTCAGGGTCTCTTTCCAAAAGGGTAAATGAAAGACAACACCGCTACCAAGAACAGACGAGAAACTCACTAGAACTGCGACAGGATTCATTTTGTTTGTTTTTGTTTTTGTTTTTGTTTTGAGGTGGAGTCTCGCTCTGTCACCGAGGATGGAGTGCAATGGCGCTTTCTCGGCGCTCTGCAACCTCTGCCTCCTGGGTTCAAGCAATTCTCCTGTCTCAGCCTCCCAAGTAGCTGGGATTACAGGCACCCACCACCACGCCCAACTAATTTTTGTATTTTTAGTAAAGACGGGGTTTCACCATATTAGTCAGGCTGGTTTCGAACTACTGACCTGCCTCAGTCCTCATCCACCTGCCTCGGCTTCTCAAAGTGCTGGGATTACAGGCATGAGCCACGGCGCCTGGCCAACAGGATTCTTACTGAAGGGAGAGCACCAGGGTCGCCGCTCCGGTTGTCTTCATTCCCTTTTGAAGAATCAGCCACATTTCCCCCGTAATCCCTCAATGCTGTTAAATATGCATTGAAATTATTTTTCAATATTTCATAAAATATTCATAATTTCATAACTGAAAAATATGAAAATATTTTTTCAAATATTTTGCGGATGTATTTTCCCCTCTAAGTGTACCCCCAAAAGCCAAAAAGCAAATACCAGATCACCCAGCGCAATCTATAGTCACTAAAGCCTGTGTCTATCTGCAGGTAAATGTCGCTCCATAGTCTGCTCTGCTCTTATTTTAGTGTTTTATAAATTTCTAGGATTTTCTGCCCTTTCCATTTGTTTCCTCTTGCCCATGGAGATGAAAAGTGCTATATGGAGCCACTGATCTTTGTTATAGATTAGATAGAAAGATAGCTAGAGCTATATATTCACACTTTAAGGTGTTTAGTCCAAAGGGTTTGAGATAATTTTATCAGAAGCGTTCATCTTTAAAATTGGGGATGCTCCTCTTGGAAGGTCTTCATTGGATATGGATATGAGTAAAGAATGAGTGAACAAGATCTGCTCCCTTTACTTATAAACGCTCCACAGCGCCTGTGAGCAGGCTATTTTCCCTTGCTAAAGACATGCAAAATAGTGCACAGATGCTGGGTCATCTATCAGCTGTCTAAATAGTCCCTTTTGCTGTGATTTAACAGAAGAAAGGGAGAAGTAGATGTACGCTGTACCCTAAATCAGGCATTTTTACTGTGGCTCCCCAGGATCCAGACACCAATGTTTCTGTCCACAAGGAATGTCCTGACAGGGACTGAACCACGCTGGCGGGCAGCAATTAGCTGTTATCTAGCAAGAGGCGTCAGGCTGCACGGCGAGGCGGCCCCGAAGTGCACTCCGCAAACCATGACTACTCAGCAAGCTGCCTGCGAGCGTTCGTCCCTGTGCTTCCCCCCTTTCCGATGTTTATTCGGGTTGCTGTCCACAGCCAGCCTCCCAACAGACATTTCCAAGCAAAGCTCTTGCCTGAGTCCATGCCTCCCGCTACTGCCCTGAGAATCCTGAGCTGCACACAATGCTTCCCTCTCCGGAGCAGGCTTCATTTGTCTATTTGTCTTTGACCAACACCGGCCATTGATTCTAGAGGCCGTTCTGTAAGCCAACTGCTTTTCCTAACCCTTGCTGCCTTTTGTTCTTGCTGGCTTTCCCTCACACTTTCTACACTTTCTTTTGTTGTTATCATTGTTGTTTTTAGAGACAGGCTCTTGCTCTGTTGCCCACAGCCTGGGCACGATCAGTAGCGCGATCCTGACTCACTGTAGCCCAGAACTCCTGGGCTCAAGGGATCCTCCCACCTTAGCCTCCCAAGCAGGTGGGAGTATGGGTGCACGCCACCATACCTAGCTAATCTTTTTATTTTTTGTAGAGATGGGGTCTCACTAAGTTGCCCAGGCTGGTCTCAAACTCCTGGCTTCAAGTGATCCACCCACTTCAGTCTTCCAAAGTGGTAGGATTACAGGCATGAGCTACCATACCTGGCCATAGACACTTTCTTTTAATGAAGTGGTAGGTAAACACCACCACCACCAAACAATTAGAGGTGACTGTGAGGAGCCTGGGAAGCCAGTACCTGGTCATCCAGGGAAGGCAGCCTAATGTTGACAATGCAATTGGGTTTGAATCTCAGCTCTGTCGCTTACAAGCTGAGTAGCCTTGATTAAGTTACTTGACATCATCATGACTATTTCCTCACCTGTAACACGGGGATTATTAATCGACCCTACCTCTTAGTGCTATTATGAGATTGAATGAACTAATACAGGCAATATCCTCAGAATGGTGCCTGATGCAGTGTGGGCCCTGAGTCAGTGTTGGCCATTGTGATCCATCTCTGCCTTTAGGTTTCTTTCAGGTCAAGGCTAAGAAGATCTCCTTCAGAAGACCACCCAACAGTGCAGGTATTCCAGGTCTCATCTTCAGGAAATGTTACTGAGAAGAACTAACCTCCATGAACAGTCACTCCTGAATTCTACACTTCCAAGTGCTTCCGCAGTCGAGGAAAGCATTTTTCAATTCTGAATTATTAATCTAATCTGACACAAATCTCATCTTTAATGCAAGTGAGAGAGAGGCCCTGTCAAGGTTCATATATATAAAAATCAATTCAAATACAGTTCAAGGAAAACTGTTTTTACCAAAACTACAGAGAAAGATTTAAGGCAAGAATCTTAAACTGCCATGTTGATTTACCCATGTAGTTACTTAGAGGAACTTCACTGCTGAATATAAAAGCCAGAGTAAACAAAATAAAGTCGCCTTCAAAAGTGATTTATATACTCGAGGCCAGGTGTGGTGGCTCATGCCTATAATCCCAGCACTCTGGGAGGCCGAGGCAGGCAGATCACTTGAGGTCAGGAATTCAAACCAGCCTGGCCAATATGGTGAAACCCTGTCTCTACTAAAATACAAAAATTAGCCAAGTGTGGTGGTGCATGCCTGTAGTCCCAGCTACTCAAGAGTCTGAGGCAGGAGAATAGCTTGAACCTGGGAGGAGGAAGTTGCAGTGAGCCGAGATCGCACCCCTGCATTCCAGCCTGGGCAATAGACTGAGACTCCGTCTCAACTTAAAAAAGAGAAAAAAAAGTGATTTACATACTCGAGAATGCTACGCAGTGGTTACAAACAATGAGGATGAAGACTCCTTCATGATACACAGTTAAGTGAAAGAAACAAGTCCAGGACAATATGCCAGGGCCAGCCATTTCAGTTAAAAAAAAAAAGGGTGGGGGGAAATGGGAGAGTGGGAGAGTTCTGAAAAGGGATTTTTATTTTATCTTTTTATTTTTTGTAGAGACAGGGTCTCACTATGTTGCCCAGACTGGTCTCAGACACCTAGCTTTTGATCTTCCCTTTTTCATTTTTGTTAAGACCCTTTTCGTTCAAGGGTCTGCTATGGATAACCCACTTTTTATTATTACATGCTCTTATAGATCTATCCATTCCTGGGGTAAAAAAAAAAATCCAGTTTTAAGTGACTTATATTTTTATTTGGCTCTGGAGTTCTGATTTGTATCACAATAGAATACATTTACATTCTTGAGCATATACCAATGGTTAGAGGGTAGCAAAATCAAGAGGGTGAGGTGTGAGGGTGTGGAGGAAGGGATTCAAGAGTCTGCTGTGGATAACCCACAAAGCAGGTGACCCACACCAAAACAATGGAAGAACAAAAAGGCCTGGGGGGCTAAGTCCTTCAGTCTGTAGGTATATTTTAGCCACTAAAGTCTAAGTGACTACAGAAAGGTAAAAGTTAAAGCAGAATGGCTTAATCTGATCAACTTGAACTGAGGGACTTCCCAAAAGCAAATATTAATGACATCAATTTTAACAAACATCTAAGTCTGCACAGTAAGAAAGCATTTGAATTACTACTAAAGCTTTTAGCAAATTGTGCCACGACAATAAAATTTTACCTTAGCATGTCTTCACCCTCCTTTAAGTAGCCCTCTTGGGGTGAATAAGAAGTTGGCAGAAAAGGTTTATATGGCTTACTGCAAAAAAAAAAAAAAGACAAAATTACACTTCAGAAGAAATTATTTCCCATAGTTCCTACATTAGTTTCCACAGTTCTGGTACACTCAGGGGTGATTAAATCCTCAGTTAAACTGGATTTTAAAATCTCAAACAATGGCCTTTCTCAAGGTTTGTTTTTTTTTTTTTCAGAAGCTCTAACTCTATTTTGTAATGCCTATTTCTATTTCTGCCTAGCTTGTTTGTTCAACTACTTTTGCAGAGTTGACAACTGAACGCACAGCGCTGGCTCAGGGAGAGGCAGGAAACTCACCAGCAGAAAAGGGCTTCCACACAATGCATCTGATTTGCCCAACTGAACGAAACTCAACCCGAAAGTAAATAGGTAAATGCCGGTAGTAATTGGCAGTTATAAAAAACAAGCATCACTGGTTTTGTTTAAAATGTCTCTTTGATAGATGCTCCCTCAATAGCACTATAAATTTTTGTGGATCATCTGCCACCTTTAATGTATCTGACACTGACTTCACAATGGAGCTTGTGATAGAAAATTCCTACACAATCCATGTGCATACATTCCAAGTGTTAAATAACCTCAAGTAAGACCATTTTTATGAATATTTACATGCCAAATATATTTTGAAGTACGTAGCCACCATCTTCCTCATTTAAGAGCTATATAGTTAACATAGCTCTAAATCTAAGATGAAAATAAGGGGCAAAACCAAAGAAGAAAATGCTTGCTCCAAACCATTAGCTGAAAGAGACTAGGAGCTGTCCAAGATGAACTGCAATGAATTTGGACTGAGAGGGTTAAAGAGTTATCAGAAAGCATTCCGTTTCCAGTAAGGATGAGCACAGATGCTCTGCTCGACCCTCTTCTCAATGCTCCTCGCCAAGTTTGAAGGCCACGAGAAGGAATAAGCAGATGGTTCAATGTGAGTAAGTCAAAAGGAAGTTGCATTTGCCTTATTCCGCTTCCTAGCAACTAAACCAAATGATGCCAAGAAAGCCAGCCGGCTCTAAGGAGGAACGCTGCAGGGGATTTGAAACCCAGCGGTCAGGCAGAGCAGAGAAGGCCTCAAGACACCTTCACCTGGCACAGCAAATCCCCTGCCTACCAACGCCCACCCTTCCCACTCCCCTCACAGTTCCAGCACCAGCCTACCTGCCCATGCTAACATCAATCTCCTGACTGTCCATTTCACGACAACCTTCCAAATTCCAGCGACATCAGTGAGCAGTCTGGCCCAGCCATCAAAGAATAAGCCCCCACTTCTCCATGGGAAGGAAGGCCCCATGCACTCTCAACACACTTCGGCCAGCTGGACAAAGAATTCTACAGGCCAAGAGGCAGCATCCTTACCACCCGTGGGCCCAAGTGCTGCAAAAGGCAGGCAACACACACCGGCTGGAATCCCAGAAGCCTGGGAAACCTGCCTCTTGGAGCCAGAGTGTGTTCCTGTTCTCCCTAAAAACAGACTAAGCAGTCCCTAAGGAGGCTAGGGATTCCCAAACAGGCCACGTCGAGGAATTACATTCAGGCAGGAATTGCCTTGGTGGAAGTACATAAATATGCATATGAAATACATCCCCACTACAGTACAAATGACTGAAGCAAGGCTGAGGCATTGTTTTTGTTTTTGAGATCTAGTCTCGCCCTGTTGCCCAGGCTGGATTGCAATGGCGCGATCTTGGCTTATTGCCTCCTGGGTTTAAACGATTCTCTCGCCTCAGCCTCCAGAGTAGCTGGGATTAGAGGCACCTGCCACCATGCCCAGCTAATGTTTGTATTTTTAGTAGAGACGGGGGTTTCACCATGTTGGCCAGGCTGGTCTTGAACTCCTGACCTCGTGATCCACCCTCCTTGGCCTCCCAAAATGCTGGGATTACAGGCGTGAGTCACTGCACCTGGCCTGAGACATTGTTAACCACTGCGAGGTTACCCTAAGCCCTGGCAAAGCCACTGCATTTCACCATATTCTCTGTGGCCTCCCTCTAACGGTGGCATCCATGAAAATGTCAATTCTTCTCCTAGTCACTAAGTGGGTAGCAGGTCAACCACTGTTAAATAGAAAATGCAGCTTATAATTACAAGTATAACCCTGGAAGATTAATACATTATCCCAGATATTCAATAAATAAAGATGTTTTCAATGCATTATATTTAAGCTTTATAACAACCACACAAGCTGGGTAATATCAACCTCTCCACACATACCTTTCAAAAACAGAGGAGGGGCCGGGAGTGGTGGTGGTATGCTTGTAGTCCCAGCTACTCAGGAGGCTGAGGCAGGAGGATCACCTGAGGCCAGGAGTTGGAGGCTGCAGTGTGCTGTGATTGCTCCTGCACTGCACTGCAGCCTGGGCAACACAGCGGATCCCATCCTCTAAAACAAACAAATAAAAGTTTTTAAACAGATGACAAAACTGAGGCTCAACTCAGATGACTTGCCCCACAACTAAGCCGTGAAGCCTAAATTCAAATCCAAGTCGGTCTGACTTTAAAACCTAGATTTCTTTTAATACATTACAGCCCAGAAACCCTCTCCAGGATGTCTGCAAGTAAATAATTAGGAAAAGCAACGTAAGAAAGACAAGTCAGAGGATACCTATATTGTCATTCTAAATTTTTATGGAAAGCACATTTAACATAGGCATAAAACAATTCTCATGTGACTTTGGACTGCAGGGAAGGAAAAAAAGAAAAAGAAACCTAAAAATTCTCATGTGACAACATGAAGAGTATGAGGGAGGGCTCCAGAGGGAAGCAGCTGCCTGCCCTGCCTCTCCTGGCCATGTCACAAGCCAACGCTGAGCCCTCTGGGTGGACCATCTAAGGAAGAGCAATTCAAAATTCAGACCTCAAGGCTGATGTGGAGGAAGTAGAACGCTCACACACTGCTTGTGTGAATATAAAATGGTACAGGTGCCTTAGGAAACAGTTGGACAGTTTATTAAAGAGTAAAACATACACCTACCATATAACCCAGCCCGTCCACTCCTAGATATTCACCCAATAAAAATGAAAGCACATGGCCACACAAAGACCTGTACACAGCTGCTCAGAGCAGCATTCTCTGTAATAGTCAAACTGGAAACAACTAAAATGTCCATAAGGCCAGGCGCAGTGACTCACGCCTGTAATCCCAGCACTTTGGGAGGCTGAGGCGGGTGGATCATCTGCCATCAGGAGTTTGAGACCAGCTTGGCCAACATGGTGAAACCCCAGCTCTACAAAAAATACAAAAATTAGCCAGGCATGGTGGCGCATGCCTGTAATACCAGCTACTCGGGAGGGTGAGGCAGGAGAATCACTTGAACTGAGGAAGAGGAAGTTGCAGTGAACTGAGATTGTGCCACTGCACTCCAGCCTGGGCAACAGAGTGAGACTCCGTCTCAAAAATAAATAAATAGGTAAATAAATAGAATGCCTATCAACAGGTAAATGAAAAACAAATTGTGGTGTATCCATGTCTTAGTCAGCTTGGGCTGTCACGGCAAACATCATAGACTGGGCGGCTTAAACAACAGATATTTCTTCTGTCCCAGTTCAGGAGGCTGGAAGTCCAAGTTTAGGGTGCCGTCATGGCCAGGGTCTGATGTGGGCCTTCTTCCTGGCTTGCAGTAAGCTGCCTTCTTGCGGTGTCCTCACGTGCCAGAAGGAGAGATCTCTCTCTCTTCTTCTTCTGGTAAGGCCATCCATCCTAACGAATTACGACCCACCCTTATGACCTCCGTCAACCTTAATTACCTCCTAAAAGCCCTATCACCACATACAGTCACATTGAGCGCTAGGGCTTCAGCATATAAATTTGGGGGCGGGGGTGGGGAGGCACAATTCAGTCCACAGCATCACAGAATAAAATGAACACTACTCAACAATAAATAAAGGGCTGATCCACCCAACAGTATGCATGAGTCTCACAGTAATCATACCAAAAAGCAAAAAAATTCCCCCCAACCAAGAGTATTTTCCATATGAGTCCATTTATATAACTTATGTAAAATTATATATAATATATAAATTTACATACAATTCTAGAAAATGCTAACTAATCTATAGCAATTAAAAGTGGCAGATAAGTTGCTGCCTGGAGACAGGGACGGGGGTTGGATTACAGAGAGGCCGGAGGACGCTTCAGGAGATGACAAATGTGTACCTTATCTTGATTGTACAGATAGTCTGATGTCCATAAGCCAAATCTCTAATTTGTACACTTTAAATATGCACAACGTGTTATTACACGTCAGTATTATAAATCAATAGTTATAAAATTATAATTTCATAATGGATAAAAAATAAAGCTGAAAAAAATCCAAGCCTCTTTCCTGTTCCATTTTGTTCCTTCTTTTACAACAATAGCTTTCTGACATGTTTCAAGTTTTTGCACTGGTCAGAAATAATTTAGATTCTAATGTCCTTACATGGAGAGAACCTTAAATATCTCCGGAAATAAGGTCCACTGAAACACCTTCCTTGCAATTTCGAATTAAATGTACCTGTCACTCCCAAAGCCTCCAGGAATGCTAGTATGATTATTTTTAACTTTTTACTGTTGTATCTCAATTACCTCAACTTCTAAGTCAGCCGATCTATTAAATTCTCAGGGTAGAGCCCACTGGGGATAAATTTTAAAATTAAAAAGATTTTTAAGAATCTACTCTTAGAAGTTCCATCATAATTTTAAATTTCACTGAAAACAATTTGAATTTTAACACTCCTCTGGAGAAATTTCAATCAAGCCTCCAGAAATAGAAAAAGAGTAACATGGCATTGTAAAAGGGACACAGACCAAAAAAAGTCACAGGTTCTTTCCATAATATTCTAAAAAGCAGAGGTGCATGGACAGCTAGACACAGCCTTACCATAATTCTCTAAAAAGCAGAGGTCCGGCTGGGTGTGGTGGCTCACGCCTGTATCCCCAACACTTTGGGATGCCAAGGCGAGCGGATCACCTGAGGTCAGGATTTTGAGACCAGCCTGGCCAATATGGTGAAACCCCGTCTTTACTAAAAAATACAAAAATTAGCTGGGCATGGTGGCATGCACCTGTAGTCCCAGCTACCCAGGAGGCTGAGGCACGAGAATCACTTGAACCCAGGAGGTGGAGGTTGCAGCAAGCCGAGATCGCACCACTCCAGCCTGGGCAATAGAGTAAGACTCTGTTTCAAAAAAAAAAAAAATCACAGGTCCATAAACAGCCAGACACAGCTTTACCATAATACTCTAAAAAGCAGAGGTTCATACACAGCTAGACACAGTCTTATCATGCCAGTCACACCTCTAGGTGTTTACCCAACTGATCTGAAAACTTGTATGTGCACAAAAACCTGTATACAGATGTTTATAGCAGCTTTATTCATAATCATCCAAAACTGGTAGTAATCAAGATGCCCTTCAATAGGTGAAAGGATAAACAAACTGTGGTACATCCATTCAATGGAATATTATTATGCAATAAAAAGAAATGAGCTATCAAGACAAGAAAGACACAAATGAACCTTAAATGCATATTGCAAAGTGAAAGAAACCAGTCTAAAAAAGCAACATACTATCTGATTCCAATTAGATGACATTCTGGAAAAAGCAAAACCTCAGAGGTGGTGAAAAGGTCTGTTGTTGCCAGGGGTTTAAAGGGAAAGGGAGAAGATGAATGGTGATACACAGGGTTTTTCCAGGGGGGTGAAACCATTCTGTATGACACAGTAATGGTGGGTACATGACACTATGCATTTGCCAAAACCCATTGACCTTTACGGCATCAAGAGTGAATCTCAAAGTATGCACCTTAAAAAAAATCATTTAGGAAGTCAGGATGGGATATACAATGTGACAAAACAATTACAAATGGCATCACAAATGTATAAAGGAACCTCACTGACCAGGTAAGAGGGAAGTTGCTGGCTCACTGTGCACAGCTTTGTAGAAAAACAAGTGGATAGGATTTGGCCCAAGGGCTACAAGGCTACAGGTGGTGGACTCCTGCTCTAAAGCCTGGCAATGACCTCTGGGGTAACTCAAAAGCCCATGGAAGGAGGGCTATGGTGATGTGGACTCCATGCCAGACCCACGGCTTTGCCAACACCTGGCCCAGAGTCAATGCTAAAGTCCTCACTGGGACCTAGAAGGTTCCCCATGATCTGGGGCCCCCGTGCTCCACACCCCACCCCCAGCCCCCACCTTGACCTTGTTCTCTAATGGGCTTATAGTTGTTCTCTCCCACAAGGACTTGCCCCTTGCTGTCCCCTAGGTAACCACATGGCATGCTCCTTCCCTCCACCCAGGGCTCTGTCCAAATGCCATCCTCCCAGTAGGGCCCTCCTCGCCTTCCCCCAACTCCCACCTGCACTCCCTGTCCCTCTGCCTTGGCTTCACTTTTCTCCAGGACATTCATCAGCATCTGATACATGACCACACATATATATGCCATCATCATTACTATCACACACACATGTCATCATCATTACTATCATCACACACATATACATCACCGTCATTACTATTATCACACACGTCATAATCATTACTATTAACACACATACATGTCATCATCATTACTATTATACACACATCACCATCATTACTATTATCACACACACATGTCACCATCGTTACTATTATCACACATACATGTCATCATCGTTACTATTATCACACACACATCACCGTCATTACTATTATCACACACACATCACCATCATTACTATTATCACACACATATACATCATCATCATTACTATTATCACACATACATGCCATCATCATTACTATTATCACACATACATGCCATCATCATTACTATTATCACAAACATGTCATCATTACTATTATCACACACATGTCACTATTACCATGCATGGTATGGACCAGTATTCCTCAATGCTGGTTTATTTTATTTTATTATTTGTTTTATTTTGGTTTATTTTATTTTATTATTTATTTAATTATTATTATTATTTTTTAGAGATGGGGTCTTACTCTGTTGCCCAGGCTGGAGTACAGTGGCACGTTCTTAGCTCACTGCAGGCTTGAACTCCTGGTCTCAAGCAATCCTCCCACCTCAGCCTACTGAGAAGCTGGGACTACAGGTGTGTGCCACCACCCCTGGCTAAGTTTTTACTTTTTTTGTAGACACAGGGTCTCACTGTGTTGGCCACACTGGTCTCAAACTCCTAGCCTTAAGGTATCATCCCACCTCTGCCTCCCGAAGTGCTCAGATTACAGGTGTGAGCTTCACTTATTTGTGTTTTCTCTAATCCCTAGCAGGAGGTAAGCGCCTAGAAGACAGGGATTTCTGCCTGCCTGTTCACTGCCATTTCCCAGCAACTGGAATGGTGCTTGCCACAGCATAGGTGCTCCATGAGTAACTGCCACCCAGATGAGTTTGCCAAGCAAACACTTTAGATCTCTGGGTTTCAGAGAGCCCCGTCCTTCACATGCTATACATAAAGACAATTAGGGGCCGGGCGCGATGGCTGATGCCTGCAATCCCACCACTTTGGGAGGCTGAGGCAGGCGGATCACCTGAGGTCAAGAGTTCAAGACCAGCCTGGACAACATGGTGCAACCCCATCTCTACTAAAAATACAAAAATTAGCCAGGCATGGTGGTAGGTGCCTGTAGTCCCAGCTATTCGGGAGGCTGGGGCAGGAGAATCGCTTGAATCTGGGAGGCAAAGGTTGCAGTGAACCAAGATCACACCACTGCACTCCAGCCTGGGTGACAGAGTGAGACTCCATCTCAAAAAAAAAAAAAGACAATTAGGTCTCGAGTGATTAGGTAATTCTCTAGTTTCAGGAACCAGCACTGGAACCTCCTTGATGTTTTGTGACTGCCACAACTGGAACACCTACACTTCGCGGTACACCAGGGCCCCTCAATCACCACTGGGCCAACACTTCAGGCTGTCCCATGGGAAAACTTCAGAGCTGATCTGCATTCTCAGCAACCTTGACAGCTTCTTCCATGTAAAGTATTTAAATGGGTCAACAAAGTTTAATATTTTATTGCATTTTGCCCTTATTATTTTATAAATGTAAGTGGAAAAAAATAGAAGAAAGAAAATGCTGACCCTAGTGATTGGGAGAAGTTATCTAAGGAATGCAGATGACGAACAGGAGTGAAATCTTTCAGGCTGCATCAGAGGCTTCCTAGGCCCTGGCCGATGACCTGACACTCACACAAAGTGCTAGAAACCCTATCAGAGCTGTGTGTAAATGGAGAGACGTGGTAAGGGACTGAATAGCATTTCCTTTCCCTCTTGGAATACCTCACCATGTTAGGCAGAATGACAGTTCTACTTTCTACTCTGTCCTTTTTAGTTCCCTAGTATCTTTTCAGAAACAGACACACCAAGAATTCCCTGCTCATTATACCTGCTTGGCAACCTTACAGTACGTGCTTTAGGGACACCTGTGTGAGCTGGGAATCCAATTTCATTTATTCATAAGTAATTATGGAGCACTAAAAATTGGCTAAGCATGTGCTTCAAAATGTGTCCTTTCTTGCTCACCCAGTGCCCAATACACAGCAGGCTGTAAATATTTATAGAAGCCTGAGCAACATAGGCTGGGCACGGTGGCTCACGCCTGTAATCCCAGCACTTTGGGAGGCCGAGGCGGGCAGATTACCTGAGGTTGGGAGTTCGAGACCAGCCTGGCCAACATGGTGAAACCCTGACTCTACTAAAAATATAAAAAACATTAGTCGGGCATGGTGGCAGGTGCCTGTAATCCCAGCTACTCGGGAGGAGAATTGCTTGAACCTGGGAGGCAGAGGGATTGCAGTGAGTTGAGATCATACTACTTCACTCCAGCCTGGTCAACAGAGAGAGACTCCATCTCAAAAAAAAAAAAAAAAAAAAAGCCTGGGCAACATAGCAAGACTCTGTCTCTACCAATAAATTCAATAAATTAAAAATTTAGCCAGGTGTGGTGGTGCACATCTGGAATCCCAGTTACTTGGGAGGCTGAGAGAAGAGGATCACTTGAGCCTAGGAGTTCAAGGCTTCAGTGAGCCATGATCACGTCACTGCACTCCAGCCTGGGCAACAGAGTGAGACCCTGTCTCTAAAACATGAATAAATAACTAAATATTTACAGAATGCATGGAAAGGCTTCAGTTCCTCGAATAAGGAGTAAATGTCTATCAAAACTAACCCCATGTTTGCTTAGAGACAAGTTTACATGCCCTGTAAAATTCTAGCCTTCAGAAACATTTACAAAGCCAGTCACAGTGGTATGCACCTATAGTCCCAGCTATTTGGGAGGCTGAAGCAGGAGAATCACTTGAGGCCAGGAGTCTAAGGATGAAGTATCCTAGGATGGCACTTGTGAATAGCCACAGCACTCCAGCCAGGGTAACACAGTGAGACCCCATCTCAAAGAAAGAAAGAAAAAAAGCACACAACTATTATATATCAATTTTAAAGAAGTTTTTAAAAATGTTAATCTCATCCACAGACACCCTCACAGAAACATCCAGAATAATGTTTCACCAAATATCTGGGCACCCTGTCGAGTTGACACATGAAATTAACCATCACACATACAATGGAATACTCTGATGCCTTTAAGGAAGGAAATCCTGTCACACATTACAATGTGGGTGAAACTTCAGAACATGCTGAGGGAAATAAGGCAGCTGCAAAAAGACAGATATTGTATGATTCCAATTCTATGAGGTAACTAAAAGTAATCAAATTCATAGAAACACAAAGTAGAATGATGGTTACCAGGGGGTGGTCAGGATGAGGCATAAGAGAGTTGTTGTTTAACAGATATAGAGTTTCAATTTTGCAGATGAAAAAGTTCTAGAGATCTGTTTCACAACGATACAAACATACTTAATACTACCGAACTGCACACTTAAAAACGGTTAAAATCATAATTTTTTTGAAAGGACATTTTGTTATATGCTACGACATGGATAAACCGCAAAGATATTAGGCTAAGCAAAATAAGCTAGTCCCAAAAGGACAAATACTACATGATTCTACTTATATGAAATACCAAGAATAGTTAAATTTACAGAGACAGAAAGTAGAATGATATCTACCAGGGACTGGGAGGAGGAAAGAGGCATTGTTATTTAACAGACACACAGTTTCAGTTTAAGAAGAAGAAAAACGTCCTGTATATGGATGGAGATGATGGCTGCACAAAAGGGTGAAAGTATTAATGCTGCTACACTGTACACTTAAAAATGGTTATGATAATTTTTATTTTGTTTGTTTGTTTGTTTGTTTGTTTGTTTCTGAGACGGAGCCTCGCTCTGTCACCCAGGCTGGAGTGCAGTGGTGCGATCTTGGCTCACTGCAAGCTCCGCCTCCCGGGTTCACGCCATTCTCCTGCCTCAGCCTCCCAAGTAGCTGGGACTACAGGCGCCCAACACCGCGCCCAGCTAATTTTTTGTATTTTTAGTAGAGACGGGGTTTCACCGTGTTAGCCAGGATGGTTTCGATCTCCTGGCCTCGTGATCCACCCGCCTCGGCCTCCCAAAGTGCTGGGATTACAGGCTTGAGCCACCACACCGGGCCCGATAATTTTTATGTTACGTACATTTCACCACAATTTTTAAGAGACATCTAACAAATGCAATATGTAGGCTTTATTGAAATAAACTGTAAATTCAAATAAACTATAAATAACTGTACAGCATAACAAGAAAATACAGTGTCTGGATATTTGATGATATTAAATTAGTAATTTGGAGGAGATACATTAGTAAACTATGGACTGCATCTTACATAGGCTTCTAGCAATACATATTGAAACACATATAGACAAAAATATGTTTGCTGAGATTTGCTTCAAGATAATTCCAAACTAGAGAAACAGGGAAGGTAGAGAGGACACAAGATTGGCCAGCAGCTGGTATTTACAGGAGCAAAGTGATGGGTACATAGGGGAAAATTATACTGTTCCTCTACTTCTGTTTATGTTTGACACTTTCCATAACAAAAACTTTTTTTTTTAATGAATGGCATCTTAGAATCAAAGAAATAGGATAACCTCAGGCCTGTAATTTCAGCACTTTGGGAGGTGAGGTGGGTGGATCGCTTGAGCCCAGGAGTTCCAGACCAGCCTGGGCAACACAGCAAAACCCGTCTCTACAAAAAATATAAAAAATTAGCCAGGGGTGGTGGTGTGCACCTGTGATCCCAGCTACTTGGGAAGCTGAGGTGGGAGGACCACTTGAGCCTGGGAAGTAGAGGCTGCAGTGAGTCAACATCACACCACTGCACTCCATCCTGCATGACAGTGGGAGACCCTGTTTCAAAAAGAAAAAAAAAAGAAATAGGATAACTGTTGTGCCATGATGGAATGATGCTCTCAGGGACTATTGAGACCATCTGTCCTAAATGGCCCACCATAGGCAAAAGATGATGGTTCCCAAAGATATCTCCCACCCCAAATCCCTGATCTGTGACTATGTTAACTTATACAGCAAAGGGATTCTGGAAGTGTGATTAAAGTTACAGATCCTGAGATGGAAATTGTCCCGGGTATCTAGATGGGCCAAATCTAATCACAGGGGTCCTTAAAGCAGAGAATCTTTCCAGGATGCAATAAGACATGAGTTGGAGGAGGAGAAGAGATCACAAGTATCATACATACCTATGAAAAAGTTTAATTTATAAATTAGGCACAGTAAGAGATTCACAACAATAATTAATAATAAAATAGAACAATTATAACAATATATGGAAGTGTGAGATGGACATGCTGTTGCTGGCTTTGAAGACAGGAGAAGGGGGCCTCAAGCCAAGGAATGCAAGTAGGCTCTAGAATGGCCCTCAGCTGATGGCCCGTAAGAAAATGGTGCTCTCAGTCCTCAAACCAGAGGAACTGCCCTCTGCCAATAACCTGAATGGGCAGGGAAATGGATCCTCTCCTACAGCCTCCCCAGAAAGGAATGCACCTTGATTCTAACCGAGTGAGACCCATGATACACTTCTGACCCACACTGCTAAAAGATAATAAATTTGTGTCCTTTTAAGAATATGAGGCCGGACATAATGGCTCATCCCTGTAATCCCAGCACTTTGGGAGGCCGAGGAGGGCAGATCACGAGGTCAGGAGTTGAGACCAGCCTGTCCAATATGATGAAACCCCATCTCTACTAAAAAATACAAAAATTAGACAGGCATTGTGGCGCTCACCTATAGTCCCAGCTACTTGGGAGGCTGAGGCAGGAGAATCGCTTGAACCCAGGAGGAAGAGGTTGCAGCGAGCCAAGATTGTGCCACCACACTCCAGCCTGGGCAACAGAGTGAGACTCCATCTCCAAAAAAAAAAAGAATATGAATGCTTGGGAATTTGTTATAACAATAGAAAGCTAACAAATGGCCCAAATGCCTTATGGTTTTGAATGTTTCTGTCTGCATTTTACAGGGTTTTTTCTATTCTCCTTTGGTAGGAGGCTATACAGCAGCTCTCCCTTAGCTGCAGGAGACATGTTGCAAGACCCCCAAAGGATGCCTGAAAAAACCTCAAACAGCACCAAACCCTATCTATACTATGCTTTTTCCTATACATACATGCCTATAATAAAGTGTAATTTATAAATTAGGCACAGTAAGAGTTTCACAACAATAATAATACAATTGAACTATTATAACAATATAGCAATTGTTATATTGCTATATTGAACTATAATTGAACTATTATAACAATTATAACATGTAATAAAAATTATATGAATGTGGTCTGTCTTTCTCTCTCTCCTTCTCTTAAAAGATCTTACTGGGCCAGATGCAGTGGCTCACACCTGTAATCCCAGCACTTTGGAGGCTGAGGAGGGCGGATTGTTCGAGACCAGCCTGGGCAACATGGCAAAACCCCGTCTCTACAACACACACACACACACATACACACACACACACACACAAATACTCAGGTGTGGTGGCATGCACCTGTAGTCACAGCTGCTTAGGGGGCTAAGGTGGGTGGATGTCTTTAGCCTGGGAGGTTGAAGCTACAGCGAGCCATGTTCCTACCACTGCACTCTAGCATGGGTGACAAAGCGAGACCTCTCTCTCTCTCTCTCTCTCCCTCTCTCTCTCTCTCTCTCTCTCTCTCTCTATATATATATATATATATATGTATATAAACTTATTTTTATATAATATCTATATAAATATCATATATATAATATTAAATATTTGGAGGCCAAGGTAGGCAGATTGTTTGAGACCTGGGCTGGTCTCAACCCCATCTATACAAAAAATTAGCCAGATGTGGTGGTGTGCACCTGTAGCCACAGCTACTCAGGGGGCTGAGGTGGGAGGATGGCTTGAGCCTGGGAGGCCAAGGCTGCAGACAGAAATATTCAAAACCATAAGGCATTTGAACCATTTATTAGTTTTCTATTGTTATAACAAATTCCCACACATTCATATTCTTAAAAGAACACAAATATTATATATTTATATAAATATATTCATAAATATTTATTTATACATAGATTTATATTTATATAATTTATATAATATATATTTTAAGTATTTATATATTTATTTCTTTATATAAATATAAATTTTTATATATTTATATATAAATATGCTTTTATATATTTATATCTTATTGTACTGTATTCACCTATTTTGGGCCTGCAGTTGACCATGGGTAGCTGAAACTGTGAAATGAAACTGTGGATAAGGAGGTACTACTGTAGTGTATATGAATGCTGCTTATTTACCGTTTCAAATGTGCCAAGGGAGGGAAAAGCAAATAGCATTGGCTCACTCACTTAATGCCAGAGAGCAGGAGTTCCTGCTCCATACCAGGCAGGCAGCAGGATAATGACCAGGGCGGTCATGGGGCCAGCCAGAGTCGGGTGTGCACACCCCAATCTAGAGCAACACCCCACAGGATTTTTTTTTTAGACGTAGTTTCACTCTTGTTGCCCAGGCTGGAATGCAATGGCGCGATCTTGGCTCACCTCAACCTCCCCTTCCCGGGTTCAAGTGATTCTCCTGCCTCAGCCTCCCGAGTAGCTGGGATTACAGACATGCGCCCCACGCCCAGTTAATTTTGTATTTTTAGTAGAGACGGGGTTTCTCCATGTTGGTGAGGCTGGTCTCGAACTCCCAACCTCAGGTGATCCGCCTGCCTCGGCCTCCCAAAGTACTGGGATTACAGGCGTGAGCCACCGCGCCTGGTCCCCCACGGGCTTTTATTACAGGCAGCCTGACTACGACCAAGAGCATCCAGCCAGATGTCGCATGCTGGCTGCAGCTGGGCTTAGCAGGCTGCAAGGCTGCCCAGAGAATTGGTGTTATCATTGGAGTGTGTCCAGGTTCTTGGCATTTTGAACAAAGAATTGGACAGGACACACAAAGCAAGGAAAGAATAAAGCCACAAAAGCAGAGATTTATTGAAAACGAAAGTACACTCCACAGGGTGGGAGCGGCCCGAGCAGCCGCTCAAGGGCCTAGATGCAGAATCTTCTAGGGTCCAAATACCCGCTAGAGGGTTCCCACTGGCCACTTGCTGTTCACTATCTGTAAATAAAGTAGTGGCCCGCAATCAGTCTGATTGGCTGAAGAAAACAACCAATCGGAGGTACTTTCAATTTCCCATCTGCCGCACAGAAAAGGTGAGGGTTTGCAAAGGGAGTACCCTCTGGTCCTTTGGTTACTTAGGCATGGAAAGTCAGGGTTTTCCTTTCAATTTAGTTCGAGGAAGTCGGCCTTAGGTTCCCTGCCTCCAGACCCTATTCCCTTGCCTCATTGGTACCAGCAATTCGTTGGTGCAGAATTCTTAAAATGTTTCCAAGATTACTAGCGTGAGTTGCCTGAGCTGAGTACTTATAAACCCTGGGCCCTAGAATTTAAAAAATAGCAGGGATGGGGCCTGGGAAACTGCATTTTAACGAGCTTTTCAAGTGATTCTTAAGCATCCAGAGGTTTGAGAAGCAAGGCCACAATGGATTGGGGGGCCCAACTCAGGCTCTTTGGGCATAACCAGCTCTGAGTGAGAACCACTGAACTTGTAAGTAACGCGTGAAAACAACAATGAAAGGGGAAAAGTGCAAAGATTTGAGGGTATCTATTTTGGTGTTTGCAGAGGTGAAATATTAATGATGGCTCATAAGCAATTAAGTCTGCAAACTACCTTCAAACACACACAAACCGAGAGTATACTTTGTTTACAGACTTCTCCAGCAATATAACAAAAAGTTTAAAGAACACACATGAAACCGTAAACACTGGCAAATGCTCAGCGTTGGGATTTTAGTGGATTTGCACTTTTTTGTACTATGCACTTCAATGTTGTTTGAATATTTAAAAACAAAGACAGTCATACATCACTTAAGAGCAGGGATACAGCACTTCTGAGAAATGTGTGGCTAGATGATTTCACCGTTGTGGTGAAATCATGAACATCAGAGAGTGCACTTACACAAATCTAGATGGTATGGCCTACTACGCACCTAGGCTATATGGTGTAGCCTATTGCTCCTAGACTAAAAATCTGTACAGCGTGTTACTGTACTGAATACCATAGACAACTGTAGCACAATGGCATTCATGTATCTAAACATAGAAAAGGGATAGTAAAAATACCAGTATAAAGATAAAAAGTGGGCTGAGCATGGTGGCCCATGCCTGTAATCCCAGCACTTTGGGAGGCTGAGGTGGGTGAATCACTTGAGGTCAGGAGTTCGAGACCAGCCTGGCCAACATGGTGAAACCCCATCTCTACTAAAAATACAAAAATTGGCCGGCTGTAGTGATGCACACCTGTAGTCCCAGCTACTCAGGAGGCTGAGGCAGGAGAATGGCTTCAACCCAGGAGGCAGAGTTTGCAGTGAGCCAAGATTGTGCGACCGTACTCCTTCCTGGACGACAGGGTGAAACTTGGTCTCAAAAAGATAAAAAGTGTACACATGCAATATGGTTCGGATGCTTGTCCCCTCCACATCTCATGTTGAAATGTAATCCCCAAGGTTGGAGGTGGGGCCTGGTGGGAGGTGTCGGATCACGGGAGCAAATCCCTCATGCATGCCTTAGCACCATCCGCTTGGGGATAAGCGTGTTCTCACTCTGTTAGTTCATCGTGAGAACTGGCTGTTTAAAAGAAGTCCGGCACTTCTTCCTCTCTCTCTGGCTCCCTCTCTTGCCGTGTGACGTGCTGGCCTTCCTTCACCTCCAGCATGAGTGGAAGCTTCCTCAGGCCCTCACCAGAAGCGGAGGCCAGCACTATGCTTCCCGTACAGCCTCCAGAACCATGAGCCAAATAAATCTCTTTTCTTTATGTGAATAAATTACCGGTCTCGGGTATTCCTTTATAGCAACTCAAACAGACTAATACAACCTGTATAGGGCACTTACCAAGACTGGAGCTTGCCATAACTGAAAGTTGTTCTGGATGAGTCAGTGAGTCAGTGGTGAGAGAATGCGAAGGCCTCCTGGGCTATCCGAGAGAGAGAACACAGTCATGGCTTCTTAGTTTCTGTTTCTGGCTGGGCCAGTAAAGCCCCTCGTCTCTACTAAAAATATAAAAATTAGCCAGATGTGGTGACACAAGCCTGTAGTCCCAGCTACTCGGGAGGCTGAGGCAGGAGAATCACTTGAACCCAGGAGGCGGAGGTTGCAGTGAGCCGAGATCATGTCACTGCACTCTAGCCTGGGCAACAGAGAGAGATGCCATCTCAAAAAAAAAAAAATTCACTGTAGCTACTGAAGGTTGCCATATTGTTCTCTGTGAAGCCTGACCAATGAAGACATCTTAAGTCCTAAAGAAACAAATTGGTTATTGTTTAGGATTAAATTAGAAGACCATTTTCACAATATTAATAACACAGAAAGCTTTACAAGTCACAATGCTTGCTTCCAACCCCCCCACACCCCATTTTAGCCAATTTTCAAACAACCATAACAATGAAGACCAGCTAATGACAACCCAAAAACACCACCCCAACTCTATTTCTCTGCAAAAAAAAACAAAAACAAAAAACAAGTTTAAGTCAATAAAATCATCTACAGAAGATCAAGAGAGTATTGGCAGAATATTCCCTTAGACTGGAGAGAAGGAAAATAAGCAACTAGGAACTAAAAATCCACTATATGAGATATCTAGAGTAGACAAAATCACAGAAACAGAAAGTAGAATGGTGGCTGCCAGTGACCAAAGGGAAAGAAGGTAGGGAGTTGTTTAACGAATGACAAGCCTCAGTTTTGCAAGATGAAAAAGTTCTGGTGATCGCTCACAACAATGTGAATATACTTAGCACTACTGAGCTGTACACTTAAAAATGGTTAAGATTGCCGGGCACAGTGGCTCACACCTGTAATCCCAGCATTTTGGATTGCCGGGCACGGTGGATTACACGCCTGTAATCCGAAGTGGGTGGATCACTTGAGGTCAGGAGTTCAAGATCAGCCTGGCCAAAATGGTGAAACCCCATCTTTACTAAAAATACAAAAAAAAAAAATTAGCCTGGTATGATCTCAGCTGCCCAGGAGGCTGAGGCAGGAGGATCACTTGAACCCGGGAGGCAGAGGTTACAGTAAGCCAAGATTGCACCACTGTACTCCAGCCTGAGCAACAGAGTGAGATTCCATCTAAAAAAAAAAGAAAAAAGAAAAAAAAAACAGTTAAGATGGCAAATTTTATGTTCTGTGCATTTCATCAAAATAAAAAAGAGACAAAAAAAAAACCTACGATAAGATAGCTCTTCACACCTACTAAAATGGCTACAATAAAAACAAGTGTTGGTGAGATGTGGAGAAACTGGAACTCATGCATTGCCGGTGGGAATGTCAAATGCCATAGCCATTTTGAAAAGCAGTTTGGCAGATTCTTAAAATGTTAAACATAGCCAGGCATGGTGGCTCACACCTATAGTCCCAGCTACTCAGGAGGCTGAGTTGGGAGGATTGCTTGAGGCCAGGAATTCAAGACCAGCCTGGGCAATATAATGAGACCCCATCTCTATGAAAAATTAAAAAATTAGCCAGGCATGGTGGCATGCACCTTAGCCCCAGCTACTCAAGAGGCCAAGAGAAAAGAAAAAAGAAAAGAAAAAAAATGTAGTATATCCATACAATGAAATATTATACTATTCACCAATAAAAAGGAATTAAGTATTGATACATGCTACCAGGTGGCTGAACTTCAAAACGTGCTGAAATGAAAGCCAGTCATAAAACGCTACGTATTATATGTTTATGATTCCATTTATATGAAATAGCCAGAAAAGGTGAATTCATAGAAAAAGAAAGTAGATCATTGGTTGCCTGGGGTGAAATGGGGAGTGACTGACTGAAAATAGGCTCAGGGCATCTTTTTGGTTTGATGAAAATGTTATTTCAATAGCAAACTGGTGCTTAAAAAATTGATAATAATAAAAGAAATAATCTAAAATTGATTGTGGCAGTGATTAATATAAGTTTACTAAAAATTGTTAAATTTAAAATGAGTGAATTTTGTGATATGTAAATTATACCTCACTAAAACATAAAGCTTTTTTAATAAAATGAAGTCAGACTTCTGGATTACACATTGAGGCCCATGTTGGCCAGTGAGGTGCTTTGCCAGACAATTTCCACACACTAAATGAACAATCTATAACTCCTAGATTTTGCTTAAAATATAGTTAAAACATACATACAATACATACAGGATAGGATGGTAATGATATCCTTTATAACTCTTTAGGAGTATAATGAAAAATACTTTACTGTCAACTTACAAAGGTACAAGAGGGAAATTCATTTTTTTTCCACCAAGAGCTTGGGAATAGGGCCCCCACCCCATGTCAGCTCACTGCCATGGCAACTGGGAGGATGAGACCTCACTCTAGAAGCTAGAAGTCACCTGCCCCAGAGCAAGTGCTGGGGATTTCAGTGCATTCTCAATATTAACTGAGAGAACCATTAGAAGGCCAACACTAGGCTGGGCACAGTGGTTCATGCCTGTAATCCCAGTACTTTGGGAAGCTAAGGAGGGAGAGTCACTTGAAGCTGGGAGTTCCAGACCAGCCTGGGCAACATAGGGAAACCCTAGCTACACACACACACACACAAAACCCCAGCTACACACACACACACACACACACATATAAATTAGCTGGGCATGGTGGCTCATGCCTGTGGTCCTAGCTACCTAAGAGTCTGAGGTGGGAGGCTCGCTTGAGCCCAGGAGGTAGAGGCTACAGTGAGCTATGATCGTGCCACTGCATTGCAGCCTGGGTAGCAGAGCAAGATTGTGTCTTGCTCTGATTTAGCTCATTTAGTTTATAGGAAGAGAAGGAGAAAGAGAAAGAGAGAAGACAAGAAAGCAAGCCAGCCAGCCAACACCAAATGTCAGGTTGCATCTTTTCTCTCTCATCCTTTCATTATGGGAAAGCCCCACAGGAGGCATTTACCTTGCAAAACAACTCTTGACCTCCACTGCCCCTGGGACTGGGACAAAGCTGAAATACAAAGATAACCAAAAATAAATACATATATAAAAATTAAAATTTAAAAAAGGTGTGGGGCTTTCAAGAACCCATGTCCTTCAATGGTAATACTGACCTTAACTGATTTTCCCTGGAGACTGAGCTTCCGTATCAGACCCAACCCTCCTATACAACAGTCCCCCAAAGTGATATGTTCCAAGACCCCCAGTGGATACTTCAAACCATGGATAGTACTGAAGCCTATGATTCTGTAAAAAAATAAAATAAAATAAAAAATAAAAATACTATTATTTTTCCTATACCCACATTAACTATGATAAAGCTTAATTTATAAATTAGGCACAGTAAGAGATTAACAACAACAATAATAAAAGAGAACAATTATAACAATATACTATAATAAAAGTTATGTGAATGTGTTCTCTCTCCCAAATTATCTATCTATATCTATTTTTGAGATGGAGTTTTGCTATTGTTGCCCGGGCTGGAGTGCAATGGTGCAATCTCGGCTCACTGAAACCTCTGCCTCCCAGGTTCAAGTGATTCTCCTGCCTCAGCCTCCCAAGTAGCTGGGATTACAGGAATGCGCTGCCACACCCTGCTAATTTTTTGTATTTAGTAGAGAGGGGGTTTCACCATGTTGGCCGGGCTGGTCTCAAACTCCTGACCTCAGGTGGTCCACCCGCCTCGGCCTCCCAAAGTGCTGGTATTACAGGCTTGCGCCACTGCACCCAGCCAAATTATCTTAATATTTTCAGACCGAGGTTGACTGACTTAAATGGAGGAAAACAAAACCATGGATAGGAGGGACTACAGTACTTGTTGAAATTCTTCTTTCAGACTGATGTAGAACCGTCAAACTCACTTCTTACCACCTAGCCTGGCCAAACTTGCCTCAGACTCCTCCACTCAGACACCTGCTAGGTGCTGGGATACAGGGTGAGCAAAGTTGTCTTTGCTCTGTCCTGCTTCTTGTGGAAAAAGTATTCATCAAACGTTAAGCAGTCGAAACAGTGATTAAGTAAACACAGAAGCAAGATTATAACTGTGGTGACAGGCAGGGAAGTGGAGGCAGGTGGATAACGGTGCATCAGAAGGTTCACTCTGATCCAAACCTTTATCCATATTAACTCATTTAACCACCAAAAAGTCCTACAGGTACGTTCTGTTATTATCCCCATTTTAGGGATGAGAAAACAGATGCACAAGGAGGTAAAGTGCCTTGCCCTGGGTCACACAGCTCAGCAGTGGTCCAACCAGATTCACATCTAGGTCTGACTCCAGAAGCCGGGTATAATCCCCAAATTCACTGCCTCCATAAATATTGAAGGAGGTTAGGAATGGAGGCAGCCACATTCTCCCAAGGGCTGACCCAGATGGCACCAGCCTACACGTGGGGAGCACGTGCCAAGATGGGAAATCAAGCGGACAAGCCCGCAGGCCGCAGGGGAGGCCGGAGGGACCCTGAGCAGCTGCTGGATCTCCCTGAGTTCTGGGGTCAACATGCCCGTTTCTCATCTAGGGAAACTGAGGCCCACAAGGAGTAGGAAAACTGAGGATCTGAGGTGCCCCTGGGCCTCCCCAAACTCCCCCTTTGTGAGGTGGTAGGGGTGCAGGGGCTGCAGAAGTCAAGGCTGCAGTGAGCTAGGATTGCCTCACTACTCCAGCCTGGGTGACAGAGTAAGACCCTGTCTCAAAAAAAAAAAAAAAGAAGCCAGATGTGGTGGTTATTCATGCCTGTAATCCCAGCACTTTGGGAGGCCGAGGCGGGTGGATCACCTGAGGTCAGGAGTTCGAGACCAGCCTGGCCAACATGGCAAAACCCTATCTCTACCAAAAATACAGAATTCAGCTGGGCATGGGGGCAGGTGCCTGTATTCCCAGCTACACAGGAGGCTGAGGCAGAAGAATTGCTTGAACCTGGGAGGCAGAGGTTGCAGTGAATCGAGATCATGCCATTGGACTCCAGCCTGGGCAATAAGAGTGAAACTCCATCTCAAAGAAAAAAAAGAGAGAGAGAGAGAGAGAAAGACATTTGTGTGCCAGAAATTGTTCAAAACATTGGGGGTATGGCGGAGAGGATAAAATTTCTGTGGTCATCAGCTTACATTCTAGTATGAGAAGACAACAATGAAACAACACAGCTTATCACCCACAGCTGAGATTCATTTTACATCATTTCTCAGTACACACACAGACACAGACACATCAGTATAAAACTGAAACTCAAGTTTTACAAAACAATGCTTACCTCATAGCCTGTCAGCTCCTCAAAAGACCATCAAAAAACCAAAAAACAAGCCATCAAGCAAAGCTAACTTTGTTAGATGTTCTGCAGTCATGGAGACCACCATCTTGACAATCTTCATAGTATTTTAGAAAGGGGAAGGCGAGGAAAGGAAATGTATATTATTGGGATCTGGGCTCAAGTGGTTCAAAGAAGGTCTTTCAAGACAGAAATTGATTGGGATTGGGCACATTTCATGACATGATACTTTAGGATTGGTGAACACATCAAGGCAAGGGTCTTAAAACCAGTCTCAATCAGTGAAACTGCTGTTTGATAGGCAAGCTGTTTTCCCAGATGAGCAATCTGTTACCCAGATGGGAGAGCTCGTTCAGCAAACTGTCCAGATAAATTGGCTTGGATGAATTCCCTAAAGCAAAAGAATCAGTTCTTACTGGTTTACAGCCTTATCTTACTACACACAGCATCATTTTTGCTGTATTCTATAGATCCAAGCAATAGCAAAGAGAACCCTCATTCAAGAGAAGGGGTCTTAGACCCTGTGATATAAGGAATGTTAAAGAATTTACAGCCATCTTAAATTCTCCATGCTGGGATTACTTGGAAAATAAGGAGTTCCTTCTTCTGAGCTAAAGAAAGAAGAGGAACCAAGGAGAAGCAGGCAGCATGGATTGGCTGGTTATATCCAGTGGAACTTTCCTTCCAGCACAGAGAACTACATGTGACTTCTCCTGCCCTTGCCAGTCTCACCTTTGGGTCTCAAGATTGGGTCTAGTCTTCCTAGACACTTTCTTTCTCCTTTCTTGGGAACCACATCATAAGGTGAATTAGGCTGTTCCTTGGGTCTATGATTATAGCAATTTTCAGAAAAGTTTTTAAGGAAGGCTTTTTCCCATGTTCTTGTCTCTGAAAGGGTGTTCCACTTGTTCAGGATATGGAATGGGGAATAATGAGGTGACCAGCCTACAAAGCTGGAAACATACATAGCAATCATTTTTTCCTTTGAACATTGACTATTGAATGAGCCATATATAACCACCTATTAATATCATACCCAGAAATAAGCAACAAAATTCATAAATCTAGAAAAAAAAGTTAACAAAAGCAATTATTGGCCAGGCACTGTAGCTCACATCTGTAATCCCAGCACTTTGGGAGGTCAAGCCAGGAAGATCACTTGAGGCCAAGAGCTTGAGACCAATCTGGGCAACATATTAAGACCCTGTCTCTACAAAAAATTAAAAAATTAGCCAAATGTGGTGATGTGCACCTGTAGTCCCAGCTACTTGAGAGGCTGAGACAGGAGGATCGCTTAAGCCCAGGAGTTCAAGGCTGCAGTGAACTATGATTGCACCACTGCACTCCAGCCTGGGTGACAGGGTGAAACCCTATCTCTTAAAAAAAATTATCTCCTTCTTTATATTCAAGTAAATGAGCAAAGAATGGAGAGCAGAGTAACTAGACTATATCAAAGAAGATTTAAAAGGCAAAAAAAAGAAAAGCAAGGTGAGGTTTTGATTTGGAATTTGGAGCAGAAGCTGTCTATTTCGCATGTCATCTACTTGATCTCATAGTCTCGTGTAGCTGTTTTTCTTCCTGTTACTGTCTGTTTCTAAAGGACTCTGAGCATCTTCCAATGGCTGTCTAATTGGCAGAGGATGAAACTCTGTGTTATTCCAGCTGAGAGACATGAATCCAGGAATGGGTACCCTGGAACTTCACCACTGCGCCAGTGCTCAAAGTACCTGGTGGGTCAAGGTGGCACAGAACAGTTTCTCCCTGCTCCTCCCCTCAAAGCAAAACTATAAACCCTGGAAGCAATGCAAAAGGCAACCAAGAGAGAACTCTGAAAGACAGTAAGAAGAAGGCAAACTGGTCTGGGTCCCCAAGACTGGAAGAACAACAAAGCAGGAGGGCATCTTATGTTCCCCCCAAACCCAATCCAGACCTGGCATTTCCCAACCCACACTGTTGTTACAGAAACCAGCCCAGATATGGTCATTTCTCCCCCAAATTGAACAGGACCTCTGACAACATCAGGGTAGTCCAACACTACCAGCAGGGGGACAGATTGGAAGTCCCACCAACACTAAGCAGCCAGGGTGAGCATTAGCTGGGCCCAAGAGTCCTCTCCCCTGCCAAGAGGTGCCAAAGCAGACAGGAGGAACTGGCAGGAGGCACCCAGCCACAAGGAGCAAGCAGACTGCTACAGGAGCCTCTTTGTCCCCGTAGAACTAAGACTCCATTCCCCCATATCTGGGCAAGAACTGTAAGAGGGACGTGGCCAGGACGAGCAGCCTGGCTCTGGGAGCCTCTTTGACCCTGTGAGCCTGATACTCCCCTCCCCTGACTGGAAGAAGCACTGAAGCAGCTGGAGGGCACTGGTGGGAAGATCCCAGCATGACAAACACCTAGTTCAGGAAATACTCTCCATCCCCAATACAAGGCGCCAGCCAGGAGAGCCTCTTTGTCCCATGGGCCTGAGACTCCCCTCTTCCACCTGCTCAGGCAGCATGAGCAGAGACCAGCAGGAGCCCCAGAGGCACAGAAAACAAAGCAGGCCTCTAAGACACTGAAAATTAAACTGTCATTGGAACCACAGCCCACAAAAGTAGCTAGGACCTCCATGCCAAACCTAAAAAGGATGCTTACCTGCTAAAATAAGAGATTTAAAGAGAACCCAGAGTATCCTAACGTGATATCTAATTTACAATCCAAAACCACCTGTCACTGGGCACAGTGGCTCATGCCTGTAATCCCAGAACTTTGCCAGGCCAAGGTGGGTGGATCGCTTGAGCCCAGGAGTTCAAGACCAACCTGGGCAATATGGCAAAACCTCGTCTCTACAGAAAGTACAAAAATTAGCCAGGTGTGGTGGTGTGCACCTGTGGTCCCAGCTAGTTGGGAGGCTGAGGTGGGAGGATTGCTTGAGCCTGGGAGATAGAGGCTGCACTGAGCCAAGATTGCACCACTGCACTCAAGCCTGGGCAGTAGAGTGGGACCCTATCTCAAAAAAATAAACAAATAAATCACCTGTCATACCAAGAACCAGGAAAAATGACCATTTGAATGAGAAGATGCAATCAACTGAGAAGATGAATCCAATGTTGGAATTATCTGACAAGGATTTCAAAGCAGCCAACACAAAAATTCTCCAACAATCAATTACAAGTCCTCTTAAAACATGAAAAATGAAAAATCTCAGCAAAGAACTAGAAGCTATAAAAAAGAACCAAATGGATTTGCTTCTGGGTGTATACACAAAAGAAGTGAAAGCATCCCACTTGAGAGCAGTTGAAGAATAAAAAATAAATAAATAAATGTAAAAGTGAAAGTGGTGTACAGTCCTATGGCATTAAATGTATTCACATGTTGTGCAACCATCACCTTCTTCCATCTCCCAAACTCTTTTCTTCCTGCAAAACCCAAAATCTTTACACATTGAACAGTACTCCCCTTCAGTCCCTGGCAACCACTGTTCTACTTTCTGTCTCTATGAATTTGACTTATTCTAGGTACCTCATATGATCCTCAAGCTTCATCTATGTTGTAGCGTGTGTCAGAATTTCCTTCCTTTTTGAAGCTAAGGTTCCATTGTGTATTGTTATAGACCGAATATTCATGTTCCCCCAAAGTTAATATGTTGAAGTCCTAATTCCTAGTGTGACTATATTTGAAGATGGGGCATCTAAGGAAGTAATTAAGGTTAAATGAAGTCATAGGTTTGGTCAATGATTGGACAAGACTAGTGTGCTTACAAGAAAAGACATCACAGAGCTTGTGCTCTCTCTCCCAGGGGCATGTACCAAAGAAAGGCCATGTGAGGACACAGCAAGAAGGCTGCCATTTGCAAGCCATAAAGAGAGCCCTCATCAGAAACCAAATTGCCTGGAATCTTCATCTGGGACTTCCTAACCTCCAGAACTGTGAGAAAGCAAATTTCTGTTGTTTAAGCCACCCAGTCTATGGCATTTTATGGCAACCTGAGCAGACTAACACGTGTGTATATACCACATTCTCTTTATCTATTATCTGTTGATGGACACCCGAGTTGCTTCCGCTTTTCAGTTACTGTGAATAATGCTGCTGTGAAGATGAGTTATCTCTTTGAGACCAGACTCAGTGGTTCACACCTGTAATCCCAGCACTTTGGCAGTCCAAGGCAAGTAGATCACTTGAGACAGGAGTTTGAGACCTGCCATGATTGCGACACTGCACTCCAGCCTGGATATCAGAGCAAGACCCTGTCTCAAAAACAATAAAAAATAAAAATAAAAGCAAGTATCTCTTTGAGACCCTGATTTCAATTCTTTTGGGTATACACCTAGATATGGAATTGATAGATCATATGGTAATCAAATCTTAGTTTTGTGAGGAAACACCACACTGTTTTCCACAGCAGCTGCCTCATTTTACCTTCCCACCCAGGGTACCCAAAGGTTCCAGTTTCTCCACATTCTTCTCTCACCTTGTCTTCCTGGACAAGATTTCCCTGGGACAAATTATTAAGCCAAGTGGTCTCAGCTCTCAGTCCTGATATGGAGGCAGTATGAATGGAAGTAGTCTCAGCCATCACGCTTATTAAATGTGATAGGCTGTCATATTTTCTGTTTCATTTTTTAATAAATTTCTATCTAAAATTTTAAAATACTTGTCCGGGCCCACTGGATTTCAAAACCCAGTAATGAGTGATAACCAGCAACTAGAAAACATCACTGAACTAGATCATTTCAAATGTATAATTACTCTGAACATCAAAAAATGAAAGAAGATAATGTGATAGTGTAGAGGAGGTTAATGGTGGGCCCCCGCAGTATATGTCCACCCAGAACGTGCAAATGTGACCTTATTTGGAAAAGGGGCTTTGCAGGTGTGATTAAGTTAAAGATCTCAAGGTAAGATCATCTTAGATTCCATGGGTGGGACGTCAATCTAATGGTAAGTATCCTTAGAAGAGAATAGAAAGGAGCTGGGCGTGGTGGCTCATGCCTATAATTCCAGCACTTTGGGAGTCCAAGCCAGAAGGATCACTTGAGCCCAGGAGTTTGACACTAGCATGGGCAACAGAAAGACCCTCTCCCCACAAAAAATTTAAAAATTAGCCCAGCGTGATGACGTGTGTCCATAGTCTCTACTATTCCAGAGGCTGAGGCAGGAGCATTGCTTAAGCCCAGGGGTTCAAGGCTGTTGCGAGCTATGATCATGCCACTGCACTGTAGCCTAGGCAACAAAGTGAGACCTTTTCTCAAAAAAAAAAAAAAAAAGATAAGAGAATGGGAGAAGACTCAGGGAATGAGGTGATGTGGGTGATGCGAAGATGAAGGCGAAGGTTGTTGGAGTGATACATCTACAAGCCAGCGAATGCCAAGGATTGCTGGTAGCCACCAAAAAGTAAAAGAGAGGCATGGAACACATTCTCCCTCAGGGCTTCCAGAAGGAAACAACTCTGTCAAGACCTTGGTTTGGGACTTCTGGCCTCCAGAACTGTGAGTGAATAAATTGCTGTTTTAAGCCCGTTAAGTTCATGGTAATTTGTTGTGGTGGCCCTGGGGAATGGGTTCAGAGATAGATGGGCAAGTCAGGAAAGCCATTCTGAGGAGGTGACCTTGAAGCTAGGTTTTGGATGAGAAGTTGCCAGTCTCATGAAGAACTGGGGGAAGAGATCCAGGCAGAGAGAACAGCAAATGCAGAGACTCGGGCAGGAGAGGATTGATACATGTGAGAGCTGACAGAAGGCCAGTGAGCCTGCAGAACAGAGGTGAACATGCAGTTGCAGATGGAGGTGACCCTGGCTGTGAAGGGTGGGACGGTATCGAAGAGCATGAGGCAGGAGCATCGGGTGGGGGAGCGGGAGGTGTCAGCCATGGAGCACAAACTTTCAGTTACGCATGATGAATCAGTTCTGGGGATCTAACGTACAGCAAGATGACTGTAGCTGAAAATACTGTATTATATACTTGAAATTTCCTGAAAGTGGCCAGGCATGGTGGTTCACACCTATAATCCCAGCACTTTGGGAGGCAGAGACAGGCAGATTGCCTGAGGTCAGGAGTTTGAGATCAGCCTTGTCAACATGATGAAACCCCATCTCTACTAAAAATACAAAAAAAAAATATGTATGTATTAGTCAGGTGTGGTGGCTCATGCCTGTAATCCCAGCTACTCAGGAGGCTGAGGCAGGAGAATCACTTGAGCCTGGGAGGCAGAGGTTACAGCGAGCCGAGATCGCACCACTGCACTCCAGCCTGGTCAACAGAGCGAGACTCCATTTCAAAAATAAATAAATAAATAAATAAATTTGCTGAAAGTAAATCTGAAGTATTCTTACCAGAAAAAAAAAAAAGTCACTATGTGATGATAGGTATGTTAATTAGCCTGATTGTTGTAATTATTTCACAATGTGTGTGTGTGTATCAAAACATCATGTCCTACACCTGAAATGTATGCCTTTTTTTTTTTAAGAGACAGGGTCTCACTCTGTTGCCCAGGCTGGAGTGCAGAGGTATAATCATAGCTCACTGTAACCCTGAATTTCTGACCTCAAACAATCCTCCTTCCTCAGCCTCCCAAATAGCCAGGACTACATGTTCATACCACTACATCCGGCTAATTTTTACATTTTTTTCGTAGAACAGGGTCTCGCTATGTTGCCCAGGCTGGCCTTGAGTTCCTGGCCTCAAGTGATCCTCCCACCTAGGCCTTCCAAAGGGCCAGGATTATAGGCGTGAGCCACCTCGCCCAGCCCTTACAAATCTTATTTGTCAATTATACCTCAGCAAAGCTGGAACAATTTTTTTCAGTAAATAAAATTATGCTTGATCCTCTCAAAAAATAAAAAATAAACAGGAGAGTTTGACCTAATTTAGGTGAGGGTGTAGGTAGATAAATTTGTGTAGGAGAGTAACTAAGCAAAGGATGTTGTGGGGAAGAAAGGAATTCTAGGCTGCGAAGAAGTTTGTATAAAGGCCTTGATGCAGAAACAAAGCAGAGATTTAGAGAAACATGTATTCAAAGTGGCCAGGTTCACACATGCCCAAACTCATGCTCATATACTGTTGGAGGGAGTTTGCACCTCTTAGTCTGTAGCCCCTTAGGAGCATAGCATAGCAATATCTTTCCACAAATTTGGCAATTGTTCGTATCCCTTGAAACAACAATTGCATTGCTAGAAATCTAGTTCATATAAAAGTTTATACATTTGCACAAAGATATGTGTTCATGAATGTAATGGTTACTTTCGTGTCAACTTAACTGGGCCAAGTTATCCAGCTATTTGGAAAAACATCATTCTGCACGTTTCTGTGAAGGTGATTTGAAATGAGATTGGCATTTAAATCAGGGGACTCTGAGTAAAGCAGACTGCCCTCCACCATGTGGGTGGACTTCATCCAATCAGTTGAAGGCTTGAATCCAATGAAAGACTGACCTCCCCCCAGCTAGAGGGGATTTTCCCGCAGAAGGCCTTTGGACTTGAACTGCAACATCCATCGGCTCTTCCCTGGGTTTCTAGCCTGACAACTACCCTGTAGATTTTGGACTTGCCAGCCTCAATAATCATGTGCACCATTTACTTAAAATAAATCTCTCTGTGTGTGTCTGTCTCTCAACACACACACACACACACACACATACACACACACACACACACACATAGATTTTTATACATATGAGTATTAGGATTCTCCAGGGAGACAAAACCAAGAGGATATATATATATAATATATATATCCATATCCATATATATATATAATATATATATCCATATCCATATATATATAAAATATATACATCCATATCCATATATATATAAAATATATATATCCATATCCATATATATATATATATATCCATTCTTGCATTGCAATTAAAAAAAAATACCTGAGGCTGGGTAATTTATAAAGAAAAGAGGCTAATTTGGCTTGCAGTTCTGCAGGCTGTACAGGAAGCATAGTGCTGACATCTGCTCAGCTCCTGGTGAAGCCTCAGGGAGCTTTCACTCATAACAGAAGGTAAAATAAAAGCAGGCATGTCACATGGCAAGAGAGGGAGCAAGAGAGAGAGGGGAGGCACCAGGCTCCTTAAACAACCAGCTCTCTTCTGAACTGGTTCTTCTAACAGAGCCAGGATGAACTGATTATTGTGAGGATGGCACTCAGCCATTTATGGGGGACCCACCCCAACGACCCAAACACCTGCCACCAGGCCTAATCTCCAACAGTGGAGGTCACACTTCAACATGAGATTTGGAGGGGAAAAACATCCAAACTATATCAAAGCCCATGTTAAATTCACTCATTTTTGCTCCTAAAGTCCCTTATTTGGCTTTGTTTATTCTTTCCTCACTATAGGATAGGATGGAAATCCCTACATCCCTCCCACCTTCCCTCCCTCCCTCTTTTCCACCCTTCCTTTAACAAGCATTTATTGAGCATATATTATGTGCTAAACAATGTTCCAGGTGCCTTGGTGAACCAAACAGCCAAGATCCCCTCAGGGAGCTTTCAGGCTGTTCAGGAAGCCAGACATTAAACAAACACACACCAGTGAATCATAAACTGCCAAAAGTGATTAACAGTTGGAAGGGAGAGAACAGGGTGTTCCTTCTGGCTATGAAAGGGCAGGATTGGACAATATTGAATACGATGTTCAAAAAAGGTCTCTTAGAAGTAGAGGCATTTGGCCAGGCATGGTGGCTCACACCTGTAATCTCAGCACTTTGGGAGGCCAAGGTTGGTGGATCACCTGAGGTCAGGAGTTCAAGACCAGGCTGGCCAACATAGTGAAACCCTGTCTCTACTAAAAATACAAAAATTAGCCAGGCATGGTGGTGCACACCTGTAATCCCAGCTACTCAGGAGGCTGAGGCAGAAGAATCACTTGAACCCAGGAGGCGGAGGTTGCAGTGAGCTGAGATCACGCCACTGCACTGCCACCTGGGCAACAGAGCAAGACTCTGTCTCAAAAGGAAAAAAAAGAGGAAGAAGAAGAAGTGAAGAAGTAGAGGCATTTGAGATAGATGTTAGCCGGGCAGAGGGTGGGAGCCCTTCCTACCAGAGGGTAAACCCTGCCTGGCTGTTGCTGCTTTCCTGGACTGAGAAAGAGGAACCGACCAGAATCGTGAGACTGGCCAATCTTGGATGAGGGTGCTAGTTTTATAAGATAAAATTGAAGAAGAAGCTGGGGCTAGGTTGCATATCCAGGTAAGGAATTTGGGCTTTATTTTAAGAGCAATGAAAGGGAAGAGATCTAACTTAGATTTTGTTTGTTTTGAGAGCCATAGTCTCACTCTGTCATCCAGGCTGGAGTGCCCTGTCATGATCATAGCTCACTGCAGCCTCAAACTCCTGGGCTCAAGGGATCCTCCTGCCATGATTGCTACTTTATTTTATTTTACTTTATTTTATTTTATTTTATTTTATTTTATTTTATTTTATTTTATTTTATTTTATTTCATAGAGATGGGATCTTGCTTTGTTGCCCAGGCTGGTCTCAAACTCCTAGCCTCAAGCAATTCTACCACCTCAGTCTCCCAAAGTGCTGGGATTGTAGGAGTGAGCCACCATCCCAGCCCAATTAACATTTGTAAAATCCTCTCTTAAATCCACAGTATGGATAAAATGACAAATCATTATTGAAGGACATTAAAGAATGTGTAAATAAATGAAAAGCTGTCCTGTGTTTCTGATGGAATAGTCAACATTATCAAGATGTTCCAAAATGACTTCTGGAGTCAATGCAATTCCAAAGTCTCAACAGAGCTTTTCATAAAACCAGTTGGGTCTAAAGTGGATATGGAAGAACAAAGGGCCAAGAATATTCAAGATACTCCTTAACCACAACAGTATGGTATTGACAGGGATAGACATATTGACAAACGGAACTGAGGAGAGGGCAGAAAGGGACCCATACACTAGGTGAAGCTTGATTATGACAGCCTTGCCCCAGCAGGTCTGTGGGAAAAGAATGGGCTATTTAGTAAATGGTACTGGGACAATTGGTAACCCATATGGGTATAAAGAGAACTTGCATAAACGCCTGGTGTTAAAAGATTCAAAGTTTTAAAATTTTCTTTAGCAGAAAACTTTGTACAATATCTTTATGACCTCAGAAATGAGAATAATTTTTTAAACAAGATCCAAAAAATACTATAAAGGAAACTATTGACAAATTTGACTAAATTAAAATTAAGAATTCTGTTCATCATCCTTTGCTGATAAAGGAAGTGAAAAAATAAGATATAAGCTGGGAGATGATATTTACATTAAATATAATCAATAAAATATTAGTATCCATGAAATACAAAGAACTTTAACAAATTGCGAAGACCAAAAATCCACTAATAAAATGGCAAAAGACATGGAAAGGCATTATCACTACATCATAATGGGATATCATCTTACACCCACTGGACAGGCACAAATTAAGAAGTGAGGATGTAGAGCAAATGTCAATTCTCATTCTGGGTTGGGGAGGGGTCAATTATTATAACTACATTGCAGAACCATTTGGCTTATCTGATAAAGATGAACATGTCCATATATACCCCATGGCTCAGCAATTCCACTCCTGTATATATGCCCAAACTGCCCTATGCCTCACCATCTCTGTATGCGTACATATATGCACTCAAGATTTTTCACACTACGAATTTGTTAGTCATGAAATCCTTTCGTAATCTGTATCAGCTTCTTTTTTTTTTTTCTTTTCTGTAGAGACAGAGTCTTGCTCTGTCACCCAGGCTGAAGTGCAGTGGTATGATCATAGCTTACTGCAGCCTCGAAATCCTGGGCTCACACAATCCTCCCACCTCAGCCTCCTGGGTAGCAATGCAATGGACAGTTGCAATGATTCCCACTCCCCACTTCCACTCTGGAACCCCTGCACCCCCAGTAATTCTCCATAGTGCAACCCAAGAGGGCATGTTCCCCTTTTATTCCTTTTAAAATGACAAAATATTTAATATGTACAAAAACATGTAAGTACATATATGTAAGCATACGGAAGTGGTGAGGCATGACCATAAAACAGCCCCTGTGAGCCCTCCTTGCACTCTAGGAAATGGAATAGTAGCAAATCCTCTGATGTCTCATTTGTCACCTCCATATGCTTACATATATGTACTCATATATTTTTGTACATATTAAATATTTTTTTCATTTTAAAGGGGATAAAAGGGGAACATGCCCTCTTGGGTTACACTATAAAGAATTACCAGGGATGCAGGGGTTCCAAGTGTGAGCCAGTGTACCTGGCTAACATCTTCTAAAAAAATGAAATAGAATAGCATAGAAAATGCCGCCAAAGTGCATCACAAAAAGTGACAATAATTATATGTGTCTGTGTGTACTGGGTCATGGCATTAAAGACACTACTTATCAAGAGTGGAGGGAGAGAAAAGTACTAACTATTTTTTAGCCACTACCCAAGAGAAACTCCTGTACACCAGGAGACAGGTACAAGCATTGTGCATAAGAGAAATAAGGAGAAGAGAAAAGAAGAAGCAACCAAACGGCTATCAACAGTAGAATGTATGTATAAATCATGGATTTTTACAATGGATCCTTCAGTAGTGGTGAAAATGACTGACTGATGGCTACATACATCAACAGAGATGAATCTTAGAATTAATAATGGTAAACAAACGAACCAATTTTAAAGGAATATTCACAACATGACAATGTTTTAATAAAATTTACAAACAAGCAAAACCAAATAATAAATTACTTAGGAATACTACATATGTAGTAAAGCTCTAAAGGAAAGCAAGGGAATAATTTTAGAAAGAACCAGCAATCCCAGCACTTTGGAAGGCCAAGGCGGGTGGATCACGAGGTCAGGAGATCAAGATCATCCTGGTCAACATGGTGAAACCCCATCTCTACTAAAAATACAAAAATTAGCAGGGCGTGGTGGTGTGCACCTGTAGTCACAGCTAAGGTAAGAGAATAGCTTGAACCCGGGAGGCGGGGGTTGCAGTGAGCCGACATCGCACCACTCCCCTCCAGCCTGGGAGACAGAGCGAGACTCCGTCTCAAAAAAAAAGAAAAAAAGGCCGAGCGCAGGGGCTCACGCCTGTAATCCCAGACTTTGGGAGGCTGAAGCGGGTGGATCACAAGGCAAGGAGTTCAAGGCCAGCCTGACCAACATGGTGAAACCCCGTCTCTACTAAAAATACAAAAATACAAAAATTAGCCGGGCATGGTGTTGCACACCTGTAATCCCAGCTACTCAGGAGGCTGAGGCAAGAGAATTGCTTGAACCCAGGAGGTGGAGGTTGCAGTGAGCTGAGATCGTGTCATTGCACTCCAGGGTGGATGGCAGAGCGATACTCTGTCTCAAAAAAGAAAGAAAGAAGGAAGGAAGGAAGGAAGGGAAAGAAAGAAGGATGGAAGGAAGGAAGGAAGGAAGGAAGAGAAAGAAAGGAAGAAAGAGAGAGAGAGAAAGAAAGAAAGAAAGAAAGAAAGAAAGAAAGAAAGAAAGAAAGAAAGAACCAGTTTCCAAGAGTATTGAGAAGGGCAAATGAGACATAAGAGGATTTGCTACTGTTCCATTTCCTAGGGTGCAAGGGGTGCTTACAGGGGCTGTTTAATGGCCATGCCTCACCACCTCCATATGCTTACATGTATGTACTTAAATGTGTTTGTACATATTAATTATTTTGTCATTTTAAAAGGGATGAAAGGGGAACATGCCCTCTTGGGTTGCACTATGGGGAAATACAGGGGGTGCAGGGGTTCCAGAGTGGAAGTGGGGAGTGGGAACCATCCCAACTGTCCAGCTGAAAAATAACAGCCATAAAAAAAGAACAAAATCTTGTTTTTTGTGGGAACATGGATGGAGCTGGAGGCTATTATCCTCAGCAAGCTAATGCAGGAAGAGAAAACCAAATACCACATGTTCTCACTTATAAGTGCAAGCTAAATGATGAGAACTTATACATCAACACAGATGAATCTTAGAATTAATAATGGTAAACAAACCAATTTCAAAGGAATATTCACAATGTGACACTATTTTAATAAAATTAAAAACAAAGAAGGAAACAAGACACTGAGGTCTACTTGAGAGTGGAGAATGGGAGGAGGGAGAGGAGCAGAAAAGATAACTATTGGGTACTGGGCTTTATTCTTGGGCAATACAGTTTGGCTCTTTGCCCCCACCCAAATCTCATCTTGAATTGTAATCCCCACATGTCAGAGTAGGGGCCTGGTGGGAGATGAGTGGATCATGGGGATGAACTTCTCCCTTGCTGTTCTCATGAGAGGGAGTGAGCTCTCATGAGAGCTGGTGGTTTTACAGTGTGGCACTTCCCCCCTTGCTTGCTCTCTCTCCTGCTGCCATGCGAGACATGCCTCCTTCCCTTTTCACTCTCCATTATGATTGTAAGTTTCCTGTCTGGGCATAGTGATTCATGCCTGTAATCCCAGTACTTTTGGAGGCCTAGACAGATGGATCACTTGAGGTCAGGAGTTTGAGACCAGCCTGGCCAACATAGCGAAACCCCATCTCTAATAAAAATTTAAAAATTAGCCAGATGGTGAAACCTTGTCTCTACTAAAATACAAAAAGTTAGCCAGGTGTGGTGGTTCATGCCTGTAGTCCCAGCTACTCGGGAGGCTGAGGCACGAGAATCACTTGAATCTGGGAGGTGAAAGTTGCAGTGAGCCGAGATTGTGCCACTGCACTCCAGCCTGGGTGACAGAGAGAGACTCTGTCTCAAAAAAAAAAAAAAAAAAAAAATCAGCCAAGTATGTTGGCATGCACCTGTAGTCCCAGCTAGTCTGGAGTCTGAGGCACAAGAATCACTTCAACCTGGGAGGTCAGGGCTGCAGTGAGTCGAGATTGTGCCATTGCACTCCAGCTGGGGTGACAGAGCAAGACCCTGTCTCAGAAAAAAAAAAAAAAAAAGATTTTATGTGTCCTGAGGCCTCCTCAGCCATGCAGAAATGTGAGTCAATTAAATCTCTTCTCTTTAAAAACTACCCAGACTCAGGTATGTCTTTATAGCAGTGTAAGAATGGACTAATATAGAAAATTGGTACCAAGAGTGGGGTACTGCTATAAGGATACCTGAAAATGCGGAAGTGACTTTGGAACTGAGTAATGAGCAGAGGTTGGAACAGTTTGGAGAGCTCAGAAGAAGACAAAGATGTGGGAAAGTTTGGAACTTCCAAGAGACTTGTTGAATGGTTTTGACCAAGATGCTGATAGTGATATGGACAATGAGGTCCAGGCTGAGGTGGTCTCAAATGGAGATGAGGAACTTAATGGGAACTGGAGTAAAGGTCTCTCTTGCTATGCTTTAGCAAAGAGACTGGTGGCATTTTGCCCCTGCCCTAGAGATCTGCGGAACTTTGAACTTGAGAGATGATTTATGATATCTGGAGGAAGAAGCTTCTAAGCAGTAAAGTGTTCAAGATGTGACCTGGCTATTGCAAAAAGTGTATGCTCGTATGTTTGAAGAAAGAGATGGTCTGAAATTGGGACTTATGTTTAAAAGGGAAGCAGAGCATAAAAGTTGGGAAATTTTGCAGCCTGACCACGTGGTAGAAAAGAAAAACCCATTTTCTGGAGAGAAATTCAAGCCGCTGGCGGCAGAAATTTGCATAAGTAAAGAGAAGCTGAATGTTAATAGCTAAGACAATGGGGAAAATGTCTCCAGGATATTTCAGAGATCTTCATAGCAGCCCCTCCCATCTGAGGCCTGGAGGCCCAGGAAAGAAAAATGGTTTTGTGGTAGGCCAGGCCCAGGACCCCACCGCTCTGTGCAGCCTCAGGGCATGGCACCCTGCATCCCAGCTACTCCAGCTCCAGCCACGGCTAAAAGGGGCCAAGGTATAGCTCCAGCTTTTGCTTCAGAGGGTGCAAGCCCCAAGCCTTAGTGGCTTCCACATAGTGTTGGACCACAGGATGCGCAAAAGACAAGAGTTGAGCTTTAAAAACCTCCCCCTAGATTTCACAGGACGTATGGAAACGCCAGGATGTCCAGGCAGAGGTTTGCTGCAGGGACGGAACCCTCATGGAGAACCTCCACTAGGGCAATGCAGAGGGGAAGTGTAAAGTTGGAGCCCCCACACAGAATCTCCACTGGGGCATTACCTAGTGGAGCTGTGAGAAGAAGGCTGCAGTCTTCCAGATCCCAGAATCATAGATCCACCAACAGCTTGCACCATGCACCTGGAAAAGCTGCAGGCACTCAACACCCGCCCATGAAAGCAGCCATGGGGGCTGTACCCTGCAGAGCCACAGGGACAGAGTTGCCCAAGGCCTAGGGAGCCCACCCCTGCATCAGCATGCCCTGGGTGTGAGACATGGAGTCAAAGGAGATCATTTCAGACCTTTAAGATTTAATGACTTCCCTGCTGGGTTTCAGACTTGCATGAGGCCTGTAGCCCCTTTGTTTTGGCCAATTTCGCCCACTTGGAACAGGAACATTTATCCAATGCCTGTACCCCTATTGTATCTTGGAAGTAACTAACTTGTTTTTGATTTTACAGGCTCATAGGCAGAAGGGACTTACATTGTGTCAGATGAGACTTTGGACTGGGACATTTGAGTTAATGTTGGAATGAGTTAAGACTTTGTGGGACTGTTGGAAAAGCATGAAGTGTTTTGAAATGTGAAAAGAACATGAGATTTGGGAGGGGCCAGAAGCAGAAATATATGGTTGGCTCTGCGTCTTCACACAAATCTCATCACAAATTGTAATCCCCACATGTTGGAGCAGCGGCCTGATGGGAGATGATTGGATCACGGGGGCAGATTTCTCCCTTGCTGTTCTCATGACAGGGCGTGAGTTCTCATGACAGCTGATGGTTTAATGTGTGGCACTTCCCTTCCTGCTCACTCTGTCCCCTGCCTCGATGTAAGACATGCCTTTCTTCCTTTTTCCCCTTTTCACCTTCCACCAGGATTGTAAGTTTCCTGAGGCCTCCCCAGCCATGCAGAATTGTGAGTCAATTAAACCTTTATAATTACCCTTTATAAAATCTTTATAATTACCCAGTCTCAGGTATATCTTTATAGAAGTGAGAACAGACTAATACACAGGGTGCTGAATTAATCTGTACAACAAACTCCCAAAACAAGAGTTCACCTGTGTAACAAACCTTCACATGTACCCCTGAACCTAAAATAAAAGTTTAAAAAGAAAAAGAACAGCAGTAGGCCAGGTGCAGTGGCTCAGGCTTGTAATTCCAGCACTTTGGGAGGCTGAGGTGGAAGGGTCACTTGAGTCCAGGAATTTGAGACCAGCCTGGACAACATAGTGAGACCCTCATCTCTATAAATTTTTTAAAAAATTAGCCAGGTGCGGTGGCACCTGCCTGTAGTCCCAACTACTCGGGAGGCTGAGGAGGGAGGATCACTTGAGCTAGGGAGGTTGAGGCTTCAGGAGTTATGATCGCACCACTGCACTCCAGCCTGGGTGACAGAACAAGACCCTGTCTCAAAATGAAAAAGCAAAATAACAGCAGCAGTGATGAGGAGTGGAGTAGAAGGGCTTTCACTGTGTTTGGAGGGAGGATGGACTTGCTGATGGATTGCATGTAAGGAGTGAGGAGGAGGGAAGATCAATAATGACTGCCCAGGCCAGGAGCAGTCTGTAATCCTAGCACTCTGGGAGGCCGAGGCTCATGCCTATAATCTCAGCATGCTGGGAGGCCAAGGTGGGCAGATTGCTTGAGCCCCAGAGTCAGGAGTTTGAGACCACCCTGGGCAACAAAGTGAGACCCTGTATCTACAGAAAATACAAACATTAGCCAGGCGTGGTGGCTCACACCTGTAATCCCAGCACTTTCGGAGGCCAAGGCAGGTAGATCACCTGAGGTCAAGGTTCAAGACCAGCCTGGCCAACATGGTGAAACCCCATCTTCACTAAAAACACAAAACAATTAGCCGGACATGATGGTGCATGCCTTTAATCCCAGCTACCCAGGAGGCTGAGGCAGGAGGATCACTTGGACCCAGGAGGCAGAGGTTGCAGTGAGCTGAGATTATGCCACTGCACTCCAGCCTGGGTGACAAAGTGAGAGAAAGAAAGAGAGAAAGAGAGAGAGAGAGAAAGAAAGGAAAGAAAGAAAGAGAGAAAGAGAGAAAGAGAAAGAAAGAAGAAGAAAAAAAGAAAGAGGAAAGAAAGGGAAAGAAAGAAAGAAAGAAAGAAAGAAAGAAAGAAAGAAAGAAAGAAAGAAAGAAAGAAAGAAAGAGAAAGAAAGCAAGCTACTCAGGAGGGTGAGGTGGAAGGATCACTTGGGCCCACGAGGTTGAGGTTGCAGTGGGCAAAGTTCATGCCACCGCATTCCAGCCTGAGAGAGAGAGACTCTGTCTCAAAAAGAAAAAAAAAAAAAGAAAAAGAAAAAGAATTCCTAGTGGAACAGAGCAGAGCCCAGAAACAGACCCTCGCAGACGTAGAAACTGGCTATAGCCTATGATGGCACTGGCCAAGCAGGGCAACAAAGAAAGGGCTTGGTAAACAGTGCTGGCACACCTGGTGGTCCATGTGGAAATAAAGAGAGATTGAATACATTCCTGACCAGCCCAAAGGCTTCAGTGTGAAAGGCAAAACTTGAGAACATTTAGGAGAAAAAGTGAAAGAAGTTAAGATACATTTTGAAGAATGGATTTGCTGATGGAAATGGGGAGAAAGGAAGGGCATGTATAACTCCTAAATTTTTGGCTTAAGCAACTGAATGGGTAATACAAACATTGATTTTTTGATAGAGAAGGGGTCTCACTATATTGCCCAGGCTGGTCGTGAACTCCTGGGTTCAAGCAATCCTCCTGCCTCAGCCTCACAAAGTGCTGGGATTACAGGTATGAACCACCAACTCCAGGCCAAAAATATTAATAATAATAGCTAATATTTATATAGCACTTGTGGGTGTAGGCCAGGCACTTTTCTAAACACTTTGCAGACACTATCCATTCAATCCTCACAGTCATCCTATGAGAAAGCTTCTCTTGCTATTTCACTCCACAGAGGAAGAACTGAAGCACAGGAGGGTTGCGTAACTTGCCTGAGATCACACAGCTGTCAACTGGCACAGCACTGATCAGCTGCAAAGACACCACAGTGGAAGAGTGACAACACCAGATGTGTGGAGCTCCGCCTGCTGTGGACACACCTGGACAGAGCACTTCAGCCTTGGCAGGGTCTCCTGGGATTTCCAGTCCCCACCTCCCCTGACCTCCTCAGGAAGGTGTGCACACCAATGAGAGGTCATGAAGAGAAGGGGTGTTATGTAAAACGAGTCCCAGAAAGCCACAAGGCCAGGCTGCGCCCTCTCTGAGCAGCTAATTCCTCCAAGAGTACCCAGACTTAGCTTCTTTCACTTTGCTTTAACCTAGGAAAGTTGTTAAATATTTATTATGGGACATCAGTGTGCTTTTTCATGGGGGTAAATATACACAACCTTAAAATACATATATAGCATAATTTCAACATTTTAGCCATTTTTACACATGCAATTCAGTGGTACATGTACATTCACAGTGCTGCGCAACCATTAAGTTTCATTCTCTGAACGCACACCTTGAGTTCCTGATATGTGTCAGGCATGGTTATAGTCACTGAGGAAAGCAAAATAGGTCTTTGCCCTAATGCAGCTCACATTCTAGTTGGAGAGACAGACAATAAACATGGAAGAAATATCAATAAATACAATTGTCACATATTGACAGGTGCTAGAAAGAAAACAGAACAGGGTAATTATGACCATATGTATGGAGCACTTTCTATGTTCCAGCAGTGATCCAAGGGCTTGGCAAGAATTATCTCACAGGATCCCTTCTGCAGTTCTTTGAGGACAGCACCTGCCTCAGTCACGGGTAAGAAAGTAAAGCACAGAGAGCTTCAAACTGCACAGCGAGTAAGCAGGATGCAGTGGTCCAGATGGTGATGGCAGAGGAATACTTATGGCTGGGGGAGGGGTGTAATCCCAGCACTTTGGGAGGCTGAGGTGGGTGGATCACTTGAGGTCATGAGTTCAAGACCAACCTGGCCAACAAGGTGAAACCCCATCTCTACTAAAAATACAAAAATGAGCCGGGCATGGTGGCACGTGCCTGTAATCCCAGCTACTCAGGAAGCTGAGACAGGAGAATCGCTTGAACCCAGGAGGTGGAGGTTGCAGCGAGCCAAGATTGCACCACTGCACTTCTGACTGGCAACAGAGCAAGACTCTGTCTCAAAAAAAAAAAGAAAAAAAGAGAGAGAGAGAGAAAGAGAAAAAGAGAAGTACTTAAGCTGGAGTGATCCAAGTCCTCTTTGCAGAAAGGGCATTGAGCTGAAGCCTGACATTGCAAGAGCAAGCCAGGGCAGGAGAGTTCCAGTGAGAAGAGGTAGCAAATGCAAAAATCCTAAAACAAGCATGGCTCTTTGAAGGATCCAATGGGGCTGGAGCCAAGTAAGCCTGGGAGAGTGCGGGGAGTGAGGGTAGAGGTGGGATGTGGGTGGGGGAGACCTGTGAGAAGCATCTGCAGAGGTAGGCAATGTCCAAGCCTACAGGGTCTTGTGTAGGGCGCCCAACTGTCGTGGTTTGCCTGGGACAAGTTGGTCACCCTACAAGGTGGAATATTCCTCAGATTTTATTTTAAGTGCAAAGGAAAGCAATGAGGAGGTGTTAGATAAGGAGGGACAGGCCCTCTCTGGTTACTGTACCAAGGAGGACCAGAAGGAGAGCAAGAGGTGAAGCAGGGAGATAGCGATGAGACGCTTGCAACCTTCCAGGCAACTGTGTTGATGGCCAGGACTTGGGTGACCATGGTAAGGGTGAGAGATGACTGGATTTGGGATCCATTCTGGAAGTAAGGTGACAGAGCTGATGGATTGGGTAATGGATGTGAGATTAAGAAGGGGACTCAAGGATGATCCCCAGTTCTTGCCTGAGCAAATAGTGGGTGGACACGGGGCCATTTACTAAAATGGTGACCATGGATAAAGAGCAGGTCTGGGGAGAATCAACTTGAGCCCCATGTCCTCTAAGAAGCCTCCTCTGACCCCCAGACTGAGGAAGAAGGGAGGGAGACTCTCGAGGGCAAGAATTCCCAGTTGTCCTGCTTCAAGACCTGGTCCTCCTTCCCTCCCCTGCTTCACCATCGCCCTTAACCCCAGTCTACAGAAGAAAGGCCCACCTCTCGCCCCGCTGAGTTACAATGGGGCGGTGCCCAGGTGCATGGAAGACAGCACTGGCTGCAGGAACAAGAAGGACATCTTATTCAAAATAAGGACACGCTTGAAGTCTCCTCAAACCATGAGCAATAAATCCATCCTGCACTCTTGGCTTTCTTGTCCTGTTTAGATTCTCAGTTAAGAGTGAAGCACTGGCTGGACATGGTGGCTCATGCCTGTAATCCCAGCACTTTGGGAGGTCATGGCAAAGATGGCCGGAGCCCAGGAGTTTGAGACCAGCCTGGGCAACAAAGGCAGGCCCCGTCTCTACAGATAATTTAGAAATTAGCCAGGTGTGGTGGCACCCGCCTGTGGTCCCAGCCACTTGGGAGCCTGAGGCAAGAGAATCCCTTGAGCCCAGGAGGCTGAGGCTGAAGTGAGCTGTGATCGCACCACTAAATTCACTAAATTCCAGTCTGGGTGACAGAATGCGACCCTGTCTGAAGAAAAACGTCTGGTGTGGTGACTCATGCCTGTAATCCCAGCACATTGGGAGGCCAAGGCAGGCGGATCACCTGAGGTCAGGAGTTGGAGACCAGCCTGGCCAACATGGCGAAACCCCATCTCTACTAAAAATACAAAAATAAGCTGGGCATGGTGGCGTGTGCCTGTAATCCCAGCTACTTGGGAGGCTGAGGCAGGAGAATCGCTTGAACCTGGGAGATGGAGGTCACAGTGAGCCAAGATTGAACCACTGCCCTCCAGCCTGGGTGACAGAGTGAGACTCTGTCTAAAAAAAAAAAAAAATGAGTAAAGCATTGCTTTGAATACAAACAATTTTTACAAACATGTTGAGTTTTCACAGGGATTTGCATTGAAAAGTGAAGTAAAGTTTCTGAGAGAAATTAAGTCTGATTTTACTGATCAGTTTGACAATAAGAACTGGCTTTGTGCATTAAAGAAAACGGTGAATAGTGTCTCCAAATCAAATGAACTAAATTGACTCCTTTGAGGTTTTGATGAAAATATATTTAAGATATGTGATAAGATAAAAAGCTTTTCTATTTTTCAAAAAACATTAGCAAAGATGTATCTTATATCACCAATATTACAATTTCCCCAATTGTTTCTGAGCCTATTGGGCTAAACAAGTTGTCTCTAAGTGAAGAAAGAATAGGTAACATTTGTTGCAATTTGACACATTTTAGTAAAGCCTTTTTGATACATTTTCCAGAAACTGAGGGTGTAAGAGAGTCTGACCAAGTAAGAAACCTTTAGCAAGGCCAGGCGCGGTGGCTCAGGCCTGAAATCCCAGCACTTTGGGAGGCCGAAGCAGGAGGATCACAAGGTCAGGAGATCCAGACCAACCTGGCCAACATGGTGAAATCACATCTTTACTAAAATACGAAAAAGCTGGGCATGGTGGTGCACAGCTGTAGTCTACCTACTCAGGAGGCTGAGGCAGGGGAATCGCTTGAATCCAAGAGGCGGAGGTTGCAGTGAGCAGAGATTGCACCACTGCACTCCAGCCTGGTGACAGAGCAAGACTCCATCAAAACAAACAAACAAGCAAACAAACAAAAAAACAAGAAATCTTTAGCAAAACAGGAAGTTTCCACAATACTGCAGGAGGATCTATCTAGAAAGAGCAAGACAAAGATTTTTTTTTTGATGATAGGTCACTATGTGACTTTAATTTTTTAAAACTGTAGTAAAATACTCATAAGTTTACCATCTTAGCCATTTTTAAATGTACAGCTCAATTCAGTTCAATATTAATACCTTCATCCTGCTGTGCAATCATCACCACCATCCATGCATGAAACAAAACTCTTCATCTTGCAAAACTGAAACTCCATACCTATTAAACACTAACTCTCCATTCCCTCCACCCCCAGCCCCTGGAAGCCACCATTCTATTTTCCGTCTGTATGAGTTTGACTACTCTAGGTGCCTCATATAAGCGGACTCAGAGTATTTGTCTTTTTGTGACTGGCTGATTTCACTTAGCACAGTGGCCTCAAGGCCCATCTATGTTGTAGCATGTGGCTGAACTTCCTTCCCTTTTATTGCTGAATAATATTCCATTGTACAGATATATTATCACCTTCTGCTTACCCATTCATCAGCTGGTAGACATTTGCTCCCATTTTTTTACTATTATAAATAATGCTGCTATGAACATTCACATACAAGCCTTTTTATGGACATATGTTTTCATCTTTCTTAGGTACACGAGAGTTGAACTGTTGGGTCATATGGTGATTTTTACGGGTTCATTTGTTGTGTTTTTGTTTCAGACAGTGTTGCTTTATCACCCAGGCTGGAGTGCGGTGGTGCCATCTCAGCTTACTGCAACCTCCGCGTTTGTGTATTATTTGTTTCTTTCAGACAGAGTCTTGCTCTGTTGCCCAGGCTAGAATGCAGTGGTGTGATCACATGTCACTGCAGCCTTCATCTCCTGGGCTCAAGCTATCCTCCCACCTCAGCCTCCCAAGTAGCTGGGACTACAGGCCTGCACCACCATGCCGTGCTATTTTTTTATTTTTTACAGAGATAGGATCTCCCTATGTTGCCCAGTCTGGTCTCAAACTCCTATGCTCAAGACAGCCTCCCACCTCAGCCTCCCAAAGTGTTAGGATTACAGGCATGAGCCACCTCACCCAGATGACTTTATGTTTTTAAGGAACTGCCCAACTTCTTGCCAATGTGGCCACACCATTCTACATTCCCATAAGTAATAGATAAGGATTCTAATTTATATATATCTATCCTCTACAACAATTGTTACTATGTTTTATTATTATTATCATGATTACTATTATAATCATCCTAATAGATGTGAGGTAGTATTTCACTGTGGTGTGATTTTGACTTGCATTTCCTTGGTGGCTAATGATGAACATCTTTGTCTATGCTTCTTGGCCATTCATATGCCGTTTTTGCAGTAGTATTTATTCAGATCCTTTGTCCATTTTGTATTTTATTTTACTTTATTTATTTATTTATTTTTTTTCAGGTTCTCACTTTGTTGCCAAGGCTGGAGTGCAGTGGCACAATCATAGCTCACGGCAACCAAGACC